>NC_000006.12:117798062-118101093 GCF_000001405.40 Homo sapiens
TAGGATACATGTGTAGAACGTGCAGGTTTGTAACATAGGTATACATGTGCCATGGTGGTTTGCTGAACACATCAATCCGTCATCTAGGTTTTTTTTTTTTTAACTTTGCATGTTATATATACTCTACTCTTAGAATAAAGCAAACTAGAGAAAAGAAAATATTACTAGGAAAATCATAAGGAAGAGAAAATACATTTACAGTACTATAATGTATTTATGGATATCATAAATTTATGCATCTGTCTACAAGTTGAACCACTTGTCTAAAATGGTGAGCAACTGCAGCTACAGACCTCAACCTATGGTACATATCAAGTAATTCAACTTTTTCTTGTAATGTCATAACTTTCCTTGGCTTCTTGGGAGCACTTTCGGCATCACTAGTGGTACTTCGTATGGGTCTCATGGTGTTATTCAAGGTTTGCAGTATTGCACTAAACACAATGAAAGATATGTGACAACCATGAGATATCACTTTTTACCTCGATAAGCAATTCACTGGAGAGACAAACTGCTCACACAGAGATGATTAGCTTAACAAGATGGGTTTTTTTTTGTCATTTTAACTTCCATTTTATTTATTTATTTATTTTTTACGCAATATATATTACTAAACATATTCTTTTTTAAAATTATACTTTAAATTCTAGGGTACATGTGCACAACGTGCAGGTTTGTTACATATGTATACATGTGCCATGTTGGTGTGCTGTACCCATTAACTCGTCATTTACATTAGGTATTTCTCCTAATGCTATCCCTCCTCCCTCCCCCCACCCCACAACAGGCCCCAGTGTGTGATGTTCCCCACCCTGTATCCAAGTTTCTCATTGTTCAATTCCCACCTGTGAGTGAGAACATGCAGTGTTTGGTTTTCTGTCCCTGCAATAGTTTGCTCAGAATGATGGTTTCCAGCTTCATCCATGTGCCTACAAAGAGCATGAACTCATCCTTTTTTATGGCTGCATAGTATTCCATAGTGTATATGTGCTACAATTTCTTAATCCAGTCTATCATTGATGGACATCTGGGTTGGTTCCAAGTCTTTGCTATTGTGAATAGTACCGCAACAAACACACGTGTGCATGTGTCTTTATAGCAGCATGATTTATAATCCTTTGGTTATATACCCAGTAATGGGATGGCTGGGTCAAATAGTATTTCTAGTTCTAGATCTTGAGGAATCACCACACTGCCTTCCACAATGGTTGAACTAGTTTACAGTCCCACCAACAGTGTAAAAGTGTTCCTATTTCTCCACATCCTTGCTAGCACCCATTGTTTCCTGACTTTTTAATGATCACCATTCTAACTGGTGTGAGATGGTATCTCATTGTGGTTTTGATTTGCATTTCTCTGATGACCAGTGATAATGAGCATTTTTTCACGTGTCTGTGGCTGCATAAAAGTCTTCTTTTGAGAAGTGTCTGTTCATATCCTTTGCCCACTTTTTGATGGGATTGTTTGATTTTTTTCTTGTGAATATGTTTAAGTTCCTTGTAGATTCTGGATATTAGCCCTTTGTCACATGGAGAGATTGCAAAAATTTTCTCCCATTCTGTAGGTTGCCTGTTCACTCTGATGGTAGTTTCTTTTGCTGTGCAGAAGCTCTTTAGTTTAACTAGATCCTATTTGACTATTTTGGCTTTTGTTTCCATTGCTTTTGTTGTTTTAGTCATAAAGTCCTTGCCTATGCCTAGGTCCTGAATGGTATTGCTTAGGTTTTCTTCTAGGGTTTTTATGGTTTTAGGTCTAACATTTAAGTCTTTAATCCATCTTGAATTAATTTTTGTATAAGGTGTAAGGAAGGGATCCAGTTTCAGCTTTCTACATATGGCTAGCCCATTTTCCCAGCACCATTTATCAAATAGCGAATCCTTTCCCCATTTCTTGTTTTTGTCAGGTTTGTCAAAGATCAGATGGTTGTAGATGTGTGGTATTATTTCTGAGGGCTCTGTTCTGTTTCATTGGTCTATATCTCTGTTTTGGTTATCAGTACCATGCTGTTTTGGTTACTGTAACTTGTAGTATAGTTTGAAGTCAGGTAGCATGATGCCTCCGGCTTTGTTCTTTTTGCTTAAGATTGTCTTGGCAATGCAGGCTCTTTTTTGGTTCCATATGAACTTTAAAGTAGTTTTTTCCAATTCTGTGAAGAAAGTCATTGGTAGCTTGATAGGGATGGCATTGAATCTATAAATTACCTTGGGCAGTATGGCCATTTTCACAATATTGATTCTTCCTATCCATGAGCATGGAATGTTCTTCCATTTGTTTGTGTCTTCTTTTATTTTGCTGAACAGTGGTTTGTAGTTCTCCTTGAAGAGTTCTTTCACATCCCTTGTAAGTTGGATTCCTAGGTGTTTTGTTCTCTTTGAAGCAATTGTGAATGGGAGTTCACTCATGATTTGCCTTTCTGTTTGTCTGTTATTGCTGTATAGGAATGCTTGTGATTTTTGCACATTGATTTTGTATCCTGAGACTTTGCTGAAGTTGCTCATCAGCTTAAGGAGATTTTGGGCTGAGACGATGGGGTTTTCTAAATATACAATCATGTCATCTGCAAACAGGGACAATTTGACTTCCTCTTTTCCTAATCCAATATCCTTTATGTCTTTCTCCTGCCTGATTGCCCTGGTCAGAACTTCCAACACTATGTTGAATAGGAGTGGTGAGAGAGGGCATCCCTGTCTTGTGCCAATTTTCAAAGGAAATGCTTCCAGTTTTTGCCCATTTAGTATGATATTAGCTGTGGGTTTGTCATAAATAGCTCTTATTATTTTGAGATACATCACATCAATACCTAGTTTATTGAGAGTTTTTAGCATGAAGGGCTGTTGAATTTTGTCAAAGGCCTTTTCTGCATCTATTGGGATAATCATGTGGTTTTTGTCTTCGGTTCTGTTTATATGCTGGATTACGTTTATTGATTTGCGTATGTTGAACCAGCCTTGCATCCCAGGGATGAAACCAACTTGATTGTGGTGGATAAGCTTTTTGATGTGCTGCTGGATTCAGTTTGCCAGTATCTTATTGAGGATTTTTGCATCGATGTTCATCAGAGATATTGGTCTAAAATTCTCTTTTTTTGTTGTGTCTCTGTCAGGCTTTGGTATCAGGAAGATGCTGGCCTCATAACATGAGTTAGGGAGGATTCCCTCTTTTTCTATTGATTGGAATAGTTTCAGAAGGAATGGTACCAACTCCTCTTTGTACCTCTGGTAGAATTCAGCTGTGAATCTGTCTGGTCCTGGACTTTTTTTGGTTGGTAGACTATTAATTATTGCCTCAATTTCAGAGCCTGTTATTGGTCTATTCAGGGATTCAACTTCTTCCTGGTTTAGTGTTGGGAGGGTGTATGTGTCGAGGAATTTATCCATTTCTTCTAGATTTTCTATTTTAATTGCATAGAGGTGTTTATAGTATTCTCTGATGGTAGTTTTTATTTCTGTGGGATCGGTGGTGATATCCCCTTTATCATTTTTTATTGCGTCTATTTGATTCTTCTCTCTTCTCTTCTTTATTAATCTTGCTAGTGTTCTATCTATTTTGTTGATATTTTCAAAAAACCATCTCCTGGATTCATTGATTTTTTGAAGGGTTTTTTGTGTCTCTATCTCCCTCAGTTCTGCTCTGGTCTTAGTTATTTCTTGCCTTCTGCTAGCTTTTGAATGTGTTTGCTCTTGCTTCTCTAGTTCTTTTAATTGTGATGTTAGGGTGTCAATTTTAGATCCTTCCTGCTTTCTTTTGTGGGCATATAGTGCTATAAATTTCCCTGTACACACTGCTTTAAATGTGTCCCAGAGATTCTGGTATGTTGTGTCTTTGTTCTCATTGGTTTCAAAGAACATCTTTATTTCTGCCTTCATTTTGTTATTTACCCAGTAGTCATTCAGGAGCAGGTTGTTCAGTTTCCATGTAGTTGTGCGGTTTTGAGTGAGTTTCTTAATCCTGCGTTCTAATTTGATTGCACTGTGGTCTCAGAGACAGTTTGTTATAATTTCTGTTCTTTTACATTTGTTGAGGAGTGCTTTACTTCCAACTATGTGGTCAATTTTGGAACAAGTACTATGTGGTACTGAGAAGAACATATATTCTGTTGATTTGGGGTGCAGGGTTCTGCAGATGTCTATTAAGTCCACTTGGTGCAAAGCTGAGTTCAAGTCCTCGATATCCTTGTTAACTTTCTGTCTCGTTGATCTGTCTAATGTTGACAGTGGGGTGTTAAAGTCTCCCATTATTATTGTGTGGGAGTCTAAGTCTCTTTGTAGGTCTCTAAAGACTTGCCTTATGAATCTGGGTGCTCCTGTATTGGGTGCATATATAGTTAGGATAGTTAGCTCTTCTTGTTGAATTGATCCCTTTACCATTATGTAATGGCCTTGATTGTCTCTTTTGATCTTTGTTGATTTAAAGTCTGTTTTATCAGAAACTAGGATTGCAACCTCTGCTTTTTTTTTTTTTTTTTTGGTTTTCATTTACTTGGTAAATATTCCTCCATTCCTTTATTTTGAGCCTATGTGTGTCTCTGCATATGAGATGGGTCTCCTGAATACAGCACACTGATAGGTCTTGACTGTTTATCCAATTTGCCAGTCTGTGTCTTTTAATTCAGGCATTTAGCTCATTTACATTTAACGTTAGTATTGTTATGTGTGAATTTGATCCAGTCATTACAATGTTAGCTGGTTATTTTGCTCATTAATTGATGCAGTTTCTTCCTAGCATCGATGGTTTTTACAATTTGGCATGTTTTTGCAGTGGCTGATACTGGTTGTTCCTTTCCATATTTAGTGCTTCCTTCAGGAGCTCTTGTAAGGCAGGCCTGGTGGTGACAAAATCTCTCAGCATTTGCTTGTCTGTAAAGGATTTTATTTCTCCTTCACTTATGAAGCTTAGTTTGGCTGGATATGAAATTCTGGGTTGAGAATTCTTTTCTTTAAGAATGTTGAATATTAGTCCCCACTCTCTTCTGGCTTGTAGAGTTTCTGCTGAGAGATCCACTGTTAGTCTGATGGGCTTCCCTTTGTGGGTAACCTGACCTTTCTCTCTGGCTGCCCTTAACATTTTTTCCTTCATTTCAACCTTGGTGAATGTGACAAATATATGTCTTGGGGTTGCTCTACTCTAGGAGTATCTTTGTAGTGTTCTCTGTATTTCCTGAATTTGAATGTTGGCCTGCCTTGCTATGTTGGGGATGTTATCCTGGATAATATCCTGAAGAATGTTTTCCAACTTGGTTCCATTCTCCCAGTCACTTTCAGATACACCAATCAGACGTAGATTAGGTCTTTTCACATAGTCCCATATTTCTTGAACACTTTGTTTGTTTCTTTTTACTCTTTTTTCTCTAAACTTCTCTTCTCACTTCTTTTCATTCATTTGATCTTCAATCACTGATACCCTTTCTTCCACTTGATTGAATTGGCCACCGAAGCTTGTGCATGTGTCACATAGTTCTCATGCCATGGTTTTCAGCTCCATCAGGTCATTTAAGGTCTTCTCTATGCTGTTTATTCTAGTAAGCCATTTGTCTAATCTTTTTTGAAGTTTTTTAGTTTCTTTGTGATGGATTCAAACATCCTCCTTTAGCTCGGTGAAGTTTGTTATTACCAATCTTCTGAAGCCTACTTCTCTCAACTCGTCAAAGTCATTCTCCATCCAGCTTTGTTCCATTGCTGGCGAGGAGTTGTGTTCCTTTGGAGGAGAAGAGGCCCTCTGATTTTTAGAATTTTCAGCTTTTCTGCTCTAGTTTCTCCCCATCTTTGTGGTTTTATCTACCTTTGGTCTTTGATGATGGTGACCTACAAATGAGGTTTTTGTGTGGATGCCCTTTTTGTTGATGTTATGCTATTCCTTTCTGTTTGTTAGTTTTTCTTCTAACAGTCAGGACCCCCAGCTGGAGTTTGCTGGAGTTTGGAGTTTGGTGGAGGTCCACCAAGTTTTTAGAATTTTCAGCTTTTCTGCTCTGGTTTCTCCACATCTTTCTGGTTTTATCTACCTTTTGTCTTTGATGATGGTGACCTACAAATGAGGTTTTGGTGTGGGTGTCCTTTTTGTTGATGTTATGCTAATCCTTTCTGTTTGTTAGTTTTCCTTCTAACAGTCAGGACCCTCAGCTGGTGTTTGCTGGAGGTTGGAGTTTGCTGGAGGTCCACTTCAGACCCTGTTTGCCTGGGTATCACCAGCAGAGGCTGCAGAACAGCAAATACTGCAGAACAGCAAATGTTGCTGCCTGATCTTTCCTCTGGAAGCTTCATCTCAGATGAGCACTCGGCTGTATGAGGTGTTAGTTAGCCCCTACTGGGAGGTTACTCCCAGTTAGGCTACTCGGGGTTCAGGGGCCCACTTGAGGAGGCAGTCTGTCCATTCTCAGATCTCAAACTCTGTGCTGGGAGAACCACTACTCTCTTCAAAGCTGTCAGACTGGGACGTTTAAGTCTGCAGAAGTTTCTGCTACCTTTTGTTTAGCTATGACCTGCCCCCAGATGTGGAGTCTACAGAGGCAAGCAGGCCTCCTTGAGCTGCAGTGGGCTCCACCCAGTTCAAGCTTCCCGGCTGCTTTGTTTACCTAGTCAAGCCTCAGCAATGGCAGATGCCCCTCCCCCAGCCTTGCTGCTGCCTTGCAGTTCGATCTCGGACTGCTGTGCTAGCAGTGAGCAAGGCTCTGTGGGCGTGGAACCCTCCAAGCCAAGTGCGAGATATAATCTCCTGGTGTGCCGTTTGCTAAGACCATTGGAAAAGCACAGTATTAGGGTGGGAGTGGCCCAATTTTCCAGGTACCATCTGTCATGGCTTCCCTTGGTTAGGAAAGGGAATTCCCCGACCCCTTGTGCTTCCCGGGTGAGGTGATGCCCCGCCCTGCTTTGGCTCACACTCCATGGACTGCACCCACTGTTCAACAAGTCCCAGTGAGATGAACCCAGTGCCTCAGTTGGAAATGCAGAAATTACCCATCTTCTGTGTTGCTCATGCTGGGAGCTGTAGACTGGAGCTGTTCCTATTCGGCCATCTTGGAACCGGAAGCCAACCCCATCTTCTAGGTTTTAAGCCCTGCATGCATTAGGTATTTGTCCTAATGCTCTCCCTCTCCTTGCCCACCACCCCCTGACAGGCCCCAGTGTGTGATGTTCCCCTCCCTGTGTCCATGTGTTCTCATTGTTCAACTCCCACCTATGAGTGAGAACATGCGGTGCTTGGTTATCTGTCCCTGTGTTAGTTTGCTGAGAATGATGGTTTCCAGCTTCTTCCATGTCCCTGCAAAGGACATGAACTCATTCTTTTTTATGGATGCATAGTATTCCATGATGTATATGTGCCACATTTCCTTTATCTATTCTACCATTGATGGGGATTTGGGTTGGTTCCAAATCTTTACTATTGTAAATAGTGCTGCAATAAATATATGTGTGCATGTGTCTTTATAGTAGAATGATTTATAATCCTCTGGATTTATACCCAGTAATGGGATTGCTGGGTCAAATGGTATTTCTTGTTCTATATAGTTCAGGTCTTGCCACACTGTCTTCCACAATAGTTTAGTGAATTTACACTCCCACCAACAGTGTAAAAGCATTCCTATTTCTCCACATCCTCTCCAGCATCTGTTGTTTCCTGACTTTTTAATGATCTCCCTTCTAACTGGTGTGAGATAGTATCTCATTTTGGTTTTGCTTTGCATTTCTCTAATGACCAGTGATGATGAGCTTTTTTTCATATATTTGTTGGCCACATAAATATCTTCCTTTGAGAAGCATCTCTTCATATCTTTCACCCACTTTTTGATGGGGTTGTTTTCTCTTTTTCTTGTAAATATGTTTAAGTTCCTTATAGATTCTGGATATTAGACTTTTGTCAGATGGATAGATTGCAAAAATTTTCTCCCATTCTGTAGGTTGCCTTTTAACTCTGATGATAGTTTCTTTTGCTGTGCAGAAGCTCTTTAGTTTAATTAGATGCTATTTGTCAGTTTTGGCTTTTGTTGCCATTGCTTTTGGTGTTTTAGTCATGAAGGCTTTGCCCATGCCTATGTCTTGAATGGTATTGCTTAGGTTTTCTTCTAGGGTTTTTATGGTTGTATGTCTTACTTTTAAGTCTTTAATCCATCTTGATTTAATTTTTGTATATGGTGTAAGGAAGGGATTCAGTTTCAGTTTTCTGCATATGACTAGCTAGTTTTCCCAGCACCATTTATTAAATAGGGAATCCTTTCCCCATTGCTTGTTTTTGTCAGGTTTGTCAAAGATCAGATGGTTATAGACATGTGGTGTTATTTCCGAGGCCTCTGTTCTGTTCCATTGGTCTATATATCTGTTTTGGAACCAGTACCATGCTGTTTTGGTTACTGTAGCCTTGTAGTGTAGTTTGAAGTCAGGTAGCATGATGCCTCCAGCTCTGTTCTTTTTGCTTAGAATTTTCTTTCCTATGTGGGCTCTTTTTTGGTTCCATATGAAATTTAAAGTAGTTTTTTTCCAATTCTGTGAAGAAAGTGAATCGTTGAATCTATACTTTGGGCAGTATGGCCATTTTCATGATATTGATTCTTCCTATGTATGAGCATAGAATGTTTTTCCATTTGTTTGTGTCCTGTCTTATTTCCTTGAGCAGTGGTTTGTAGTTCTCTGTGAAGAGATCTTTCACATCCCTTGTAAGTTGTATTCCTAGGTATTTTATTCTCTTTGTAGCAATTGTGAATGGGAGTTCACTCATGATTTGGCTCTCTATTATTGGTGTATAGGAACGCTTCGGATTTTTGCACATGCTTTTTTATCCTGAGACTTCGCTGAGGTTGCTTATCAGCTGAAGGAGTTTGTGGGCTGAGACAATGGAGTTTTCTAAATATACAATCATGTCATCTGCAAACAGAGACAATTTGACTTCCTCTTTTCCTATTTGAATACCCTTTATCTTTCTCTTGCCTGATTGCCCTGGCCCAAACTTCCAATACTATGTTGAATAAGTTTGGTGAGCGAGGGCATCCTTGTCTTGTGCCGGTTTTCAAAGGGAATGCTTCCAGCTTTTGCCCATTCATTATAATGTTGGCTATGGGTTTGCCATAAACAGCTCTTATTATTTTGAGATATGTTCCATCCATACCTTGTTTATTGAGTGTTTTTAGCATGAAGGGGTGTTGAATTTTGTTGGCAGCCTTTTCTGCATCTGTTGAGATAATTATATGTATTTTGTCATTGGTTCTGTTTATGTGATGGATTACACTTACTGACTTGTGTATGTTGAACCTGCCTTGCATCTCAGGGATGAAGCTGACTTGATTGTGGTGGATAAGCTTTTTGATGTTCTGCTGGATTCAGTTTGCCAGTATCTTATTGAGAATTTTTGCATCAATGTTCATCAGTAATATTGGCCTGAAATTTTCTTTTTTTATTGTGTCTTTGCCAGGTTTTGGTTTCAGGATGATGTTGGCCTCCTAAAATGAGTTAGAGAGGAGTCCCTCTTTTTCTACTGTTTGGAATAGTTTCAGAAGAAATGGACCAGCTCCTCTTTCTACCTCTGGTAGAATTCAGCTGTGAATCTGTCTGGTCCTGTGCTTTTTTTGTTGGTAGGCTATTAGTTACTGCCTCAATTTCAGAACATGTTATTGGTCTATTCAGGGAATTGACTTCTTCCTGGTTTAGTCTTGGGAGAGTGTATATGTCCAGGAATTTATCCATTTCTTCCTATTTTCTAGTTTACTTGCATAAAGGTGTTTATAGTACTCTCTAATGGTAGTTTGTATTTCTGTGGGATCAGTGGTGATATCCTCTTTATCATTTTCTATTGTGTCTATTTAATTATTCTCTGTTTTCTTCTTTATTAGTCTGGATAGCAGTCTATCTATTTTGTTAATTTTTTAAAAAACTAGCTCCTGAATTCATTGATTTTTAAAGGGTTTTTCTCCTTCAGAAACACCTATATCTGTATCTCCTTCAGTTCTGCTCTGATCTTAGTTATTTCTTGTCTTCTGCTAGCTTTCGAATTCGTTTGCTCTTGCTTTTCTACTTCTTTTAATTGTGATGTTACGGTGTTGATTTTAGATCTTTCCCGCTTTCTGTTATGGGCATTTAGTACTATAAATTTCTCTCTAAACACTGCTTTAGCTGTGTCCCAGAGATTCTGGTACATTGTGTCTTTATTCTCATTGGTTTCAAAGATCTTATTTATTTCTGACCTCATTTCGTTATTTACCTAGTAGTCACTCAGGGGCAAATTGTTCAGTTTCCATGTAGTCGTGTGGTTTTCTGTGAGTTTCTTAGTCCTGAGTTCTAATTTGCTTGCACTGTGGTCTGAGAGACTGTTTGTTATGATTTCCATTCTCTTGCATTTGCTGAGAACTGTTTTACTTCCAATTATGTGATCAATTTTAGAATAAGTACTATGTGGTTCTGAGAAGAATGTATATTCTGTTGCTTTGGGGTGGAGAGTTCAGTAGATGTCTATTAGGTCTGCTTGGTCCAGAGCTGAGTTCATGTTCTGAATATCCTTGTTAATTTTCTGTCTTGTTGAGCTGTCTAATATTGACAGTGGGGTGTTAAAATCTCCCACTATTATTGTTGTAGGAGTCTAAGTCTCTTTGTAGGTCTCTAAGAACTTGCTTTATGAATCTGGATGCTCCTGTATTGGGCGCATATATATTTAGGATCTTAGCTCTTCTTGTTGCATTGATCCCTTTACCACTATGTAATGCCCTTCTTTGTCTTTTTTGATCTTTATTGGTTTCAAGTCTGTTTTCTCCGAGACTGGGATTGCAACCTCTGCTTTTTTTTTTTTGGTTTCCATTTACTTGGTAAATATTCCTCCATTCCTTTATTTTGAGCCTATGTGTGTCTTTGCATGTGAGATGGGTCTCCAGAATACAGCACACTGATGGGTCTTGACTCTTTATCCAATTTGCCAGTCTGTGTCTTTTAATTGGGGCATTTAGCCCTTTACATTTAAGGTTAATATTGTTATATGTGAATTTGATCCCATCATCATGATGCTAGCTGGTTATTTTGCCCATTAGTTGATGCAGTTCCTTTGTACTGTCATTGATCTTTATATTTTGGTATGTTTATTTTTTTTCAGTGGCTGGTACCAGTTTTTTCTTTTCATATTTAGTGTTTCCTTCTGGAGCTCTTGTAAGGCAGGCCTGGTGGTGACAAAATCCCTCAGCATTTGCTTGTCTGTAAAGGATTTTATTTCTCCTTCACTTGTGAAGCTTAGTTTGGCTGGATATGAAATTCTGGGTTGAAAATTCTTTTCTTCAACAATGTTCAATATTGGTCCCCACTATTTTCTGGGTTGCAGGGTTTCTGCTGAGAGATCCACTGTTAGTCTGATGGGCTTCCCTTTGTGGGTAACCCTATTTTTCTCTCTGGTTGCCCTTAACATTTTTTTCCTTCATTTCAACCTTGGTGAATCTGACAGTTATGTGTCTTGGGGTTGCTCTTCTCGAGGAGTATCTTTGTGGTGTTCTCTGTATTTCCTGAATTTGAATGTTGGCCTGTCTTGCTAGGTTTGGGAATTTCTCCTGGATAATAACCTGAAGTGTGTTTTCCAACTTGGTTCCATTCTCCCCATCACTTTCAGGTACACCAATCAATTATATGTTTGGTCTTTTTACATAGTTCTATTTTTCTTGGAGGATTTGTTCATTGCTTTTTGTTCTTTTTTCTCTAATCTTGTCTTCATGCTTTATTTCATTAAGTTGATCTTCAGTCTCTGATATCCTTTCTTCCACTTGATTGATTTAGTTATTGATACTTGTGTATGCTTCACGAAGTTCTGGCGCAGTGTTTTTCAGCTCCATCAGGTTGTTTTATGTTCTTCTCTAAACTGGTTATTCTAGTTAGCAGGTCCTGTAACCTTTTATCAATGTTCTTAGCTTCCTTGCATTGCATTAGAATGTGCTCCTTTAGCTCAGAGGAATTTGTTATTACCCACCTTCTGAGGCCTACTTCTGTCAATTTGTCAAACTCATTCTCCACCCAGTTTTGTGCCCTTGCTGTTGAGGAGCTGTGATCCTTTGGAGAAGAGGCATTCTGGTTCTTGGAATTTTCAGCATTTTTGCACTGTTTTTTCATCTTCTTCATGGATTTATCTACCTTTGATCTTTGATGCTGATGACCTTTGGATGGGGTTTTTGAGTGGGTATCTTTTTGTTGGTGTTTATCTTATTGCTTTCTGTTTGCTAGTTTTTCTTCTAACATTCAGGCCCCTCTTCTGCAGGTCTGCTGGAGTTTGCTGGAGGTCCAGTCCAGACCCTGTTTGCCTGGGTATCACCAGTGGAGGCTGCAGAACAGCAAGATTGCTGTCTGCTCCTTCCTCTGGAAGCTTCGTCCCACAGGGGCACCTAGCAGATGACAGCTGGAGCTCTCCTGTATGAGGTGTCTGTCAACTCCTGCTGGGAAGATTATCCCAGTCAGGAGGCACCGGGTCAGGGGCCCACTTGGGTAGGCAGTCTGTCTCTTAGCAGAGCTTCAGCACTGTGCTGGGAGATCTGCTGCTCGCTTCAGAGCAGGCAGGCAGGAACGTTTAAGTCTGCTGAAGCTGTGTCCACGGCTGCCCCTTCCCCCGGGTGCTCTGTCCCAGGGAGCTGGGAGTTTTATCTGTAGCCCCTGACTGGGGCTGCTACCTTTCTTTCAGAGATGCCCTGCCAACTGAGGAGGAATCTAGAGAGGCAGGCTGGCCACAGCATCTTTGCTGCACTTCATTGGGTTTCTCTCAGTCTGAACTTCCAGGTGGCTTTGTTTACACTGTGAGGGGAAAACTGCCTACTCAAGCCTCGGTAATGCCAGACGCCCCTCCCTCACCTAGCTGGACCATTTCAGATCAACTTTGGACTGCTGTCCTGGCAGTGAGAATTTTAAGCCAGTGGATCTTAGCTTGCTGGGCTCCATGGGGGTGGGACCTGCTAGGCAAGACCATTTGGCTCTGTGGCTTCAGCCTGCTTTCCAAGTGAGTGAACAGTTCTGTCTCACTGGGGTTCCAGGTGACACTATGGTACAAAAAAAACCTCCTTCAGCTAGCTTGGTGTCTGCCCAAACAGCTGCCCCGTTTTGTGCTTGAAACCCAGGGCCCTGGTGGTGTAGGCACATTAGGGAATCTCCTGGTCTGCGGGTTGCAAAAACTGTGGGCAAATTGTAGTATCTGGGCCAGATAGCACAATCCCTCATGGCTTCCCTTGGCTGGGGGGGTGGGTGAAGTTCCCAGCCCGTTGCACTTCCCGGGTGAGGCAACACCCACCCTGCTTGTTTACCTTCCATGGGCTGCACCTACTGTCTAACCAGTCCCAGTGAGATGAACCGGGTACCTCAGTTGGAAATGCAGAAATCACCCACCTTCTGCATTGGTCTTGCTGGGAGCTGCAGAATGCAGCTGTTCCTATTCGGCCATCTTGCCAGTGAAAAACCATTTTTTCTTATTCTTTAGCCATTCCTTAAGGGTTATTTATAGGCTCATTATTTTTTTTTTCTTTTTTTTGAGACAGAGTCTCCCTCTATCACCCAGGCTGGAGTGCAGTGGTGTGATCTCAGTTCACTGCAATCTGGGTTCAAACAATTCTCCTGCCTTAGCCTCCTGAGTAGCTGAGATTGTAGGCATGCACCACCATGGCCCAGCTAATTTTTGTACTTTTAGTAGAGATGGGGTTTTGCCATGTTGGCTAGGCTGGGCTTGAACTCCTGACCTCAGATGTGTCGGCCTGCTAAAGTGCGGAGATTACAGGTGTGAGCCACCACGCCTGGCAGGCTCATGATTCTTAAAGGGTGGCCACTTTGAATTTCTTCATGTGGGTGAGAACATGTTTTTCAGAACTATTGTAGATATTTTGTTGGCACTATTGGCTTAGGGATGATGCATCTGGAGTGTGTAAATTTTAAAGCAGAAATTTGAAAAGTGAAAGAAGGAACAAGCGGATAAAAGATTCCAGGCCCAGTTTCATGACAAATTAGTGTAATATGTCTTAGGATATTTGTTTATGCTATATTAAGATCCTTGTCTCTTAAAATCACTGTATATATGGAGCTGAGTCTAGTAACATGTGTGACCAGGAACTTAGTTTTCATTTGATCACAATGTTTGAAAATAATTTCTTAAACTGCTCTGAGGCATTAGATCAGCCAGGCAGGATTTCGCCCAACAAAAACCAGGTCCGTTTTCCCAAACTGGATGTTTGCTCATGTGGCTGGTGATCCTACTTGCCAGTCAGGAAATGAAACCTACTAACCTTAGAACCCAGATCTCCTCTGAAGTTTTTCATATGAATGAATTTTAAGGGCAATCTAGTCATGAGGTCTTGTTAGACATGTTTTGCTTTTTGTCAGTGATCCTACAATTAAACTCTCAAGTTTCTTCACAAATTTAGGATAGATTTTTAAAATCTTTATCTTACTTTTTAATATATTTTGCTTTGTTCTGAAGTATCAGTGTGTTTGTTATTCTTATTCAATATAGTATCTTTGATCTATCTGCTTCAAGGCAATTTGAAAGTGGAAATCTTTTTAACTTTTTCCAAAGTAAAGACCAAAAAGGATATCAAATGGACACTATTTTTTTTATTTTTGAGATGGAGTTTCACTCTTGTTGCCCAGGCTAGAGCGCAGTGGTGCAATCTCGGCTCACTTCAACCTCCGCCTCCCGGGTTCAAGCGAGTCTCCTGTCTCAGCCTCCCAAGTAGCTGGGATTACATGCGCATGCCACCATGCCTGGCTAATTTTTGTATTTTTAGTAGAGACAAAGTTTCATCATATTGGTCAAGCTGGTCTCAAACTCCTGACCTCAGGAACTTTGCCCACCTCGGCCTCCCAAAGTGTTGGGATTACAGGCGTGAGCCACTGTGCCTGGCCAAATGAACATGTTTTGAAAATAAAGTGCTCCTCCCAGATTATGCCACTGCACTCCAGCCTGGGCAACAAGAGTGAAACTCAGTCTCAAAAAATAAATAAATAAATAAAAAAGACTGGTCCTCAAATTCAAGGCACCATGCTAAATGCCCTAAACAACCACCAAAGACATGGTACTCTTTGCTTTTTAATCCACTAATTTCACCTTTTGCTCTGTGATTATGAAATAATCCTTCAGAATTTGAACCTGGTTATCTCTTTTACATTTTTTAAATTTTTAGAAAATGCATTTGCATTTTTATTCCTTTGCAAAATTTTCCTTGAATTTCTTCTTTTGGTTTCTGCTAACTTCTGGTTTGTACCTTCCTTTCCAGTTTGAATTTGCTTATTTCTTCTATTTCTTTAGCTGCCTTTTCACTTAAAAGGATACTTTTGGGCCAGGAGTGGTAGCTCATGACTGTAATTCTAGCCCTTTGGAGACAGGAGGGTTGTTGAGCCCAGGAATCTGAGACTAGCCCGAGCAATATGATAAAACCCCATCTCTACAAAAAATTAGCCTGGTGTGGTGGCATGAGCCTGCACTCCCAGCTACTTGGGAGGCTGAGGTGGGCAGATCCTTGAGCTTGGGAGGTCAAGGCTGCAGTGAGCCATGATTGTGTCACTGCACTACCACTTGGGGAGCACTGTGAAATCCTGTCTCAAAAAAATAATAAAATAAAATAAAAGGATATTTTCTACTCAAACATAAAGATGACAACAATAGACACTTGGGACTACTAAAGGGAGGAGAGGGACATGGAAGAGGGAGTGATGAGGGGAGGGGTTGAAAAACTAACGGTTGGGTACTATGCTCAGTACCTGGGTGATGTGATTATTCATACTCCAAACCTCAGCATCTCACAATGTAACAGTTAACAAAGATGCACATGTATCCCCTGAATCTAAAACTAAAGTTGACAAAAAAAAAATAAAAGCATACTTTCTTCCCCATAATGTTCCTCCACCCTCACCCCCTGGTCTTGTTATTTTGTCCCTTGGCCCATATTTATCCCAGGACTTTGAGAAGTTGTATTAAGTTATTCACCAGGCTTTTTGGAGCTTCAAAATACCCCTGTTCTAAGGTAAAATTCTTTGTCCTTTACCAAAAATTGTATCTTTCAGTATCTTATGAATTAAAAACTCTCCACTATTGTTATCTAACCTATTACTACTTCTTCTTCGATGTCATGTTGCTTTCTCGGATCAGTTGTATTTTCCAATCCACATGAATTTTGTCAAGTATGGAGGCAACCACAGAGATTCTGCTATTCCTTCTTTGTCCAGAAAGCTGTGTCTGCAACATTTCCATTTTTTCTTGGATATGACCCAATATTAGCTCCCCCTTTATGATGTATCTGTACTCTTCCTTTAGATTTCTTGACTCTACCAAATTCCATTGGTTGCACTTATTTCTTCAAAGTTCTGTAATGTGCATTATATCTAAGCTCTTGCTTGTTTACACAGAAAACATTAGGAACACACACTCACACACATACACACCCACTTCTCTTTAAAGAAAAACAATCTAATTATAATGATCATTAATATTGGAGAAGATCATGTACATTTTAAGATAGAAAATGATTTAAAAATAAAATATCGTTGATCAGTAGGTCTTTGGAAGTAAAGAGGTTATTGCAGTATATGTCTATGTGCTACTTCTATTAGGGTAACTCTAGAATAAAAACTTAATCAAAATTGTTCAGTGGAATAAATTATTTTTCTCTCATGAATAAAGTTATAAAAAATCATGGAGTCTTAGCTATGATATTCAAAATGCAAACCAGTGTAAGAAGGAGGTAAGAAGTTGTTGGTACATTTACATATTGTTGCTGCATTTATTTCCTAAGGGAACATAAATGTCTTGGGGTTGGGGGGAAACAGAAGGAAGAAACCCTTTTATTCTCCTCCAAGCATAGCCAAATACAATGTCTTTTTTTCCCCAAGACTTTATAAGTTTGTGTTTGATGTTACGAAGTTATGAAGATTGAGCATTCAATGGTCTAAACATGTAAGGAAGTGATGGTGTGAAACATATTTTCTGATGTTGACTTTTAAAGCCTTTAGTAAAATACTTAATAAACAACAGGGGAAAAATTCTCTTTGGTGGTATTTCTTACACCATATGTTTTAGTTTGAAATAATGTATTTCAGCTTCATAAGGAATAACAGTAAAAACAACCAAAATTAATCAGGAAATAAAACCTTGAGTGTGTCTCCTGAACCAAATTGTTTTCTAAGGAAACTTTGATATTCTAATATAAAGGTTGACCCCATTCAATGAGTGGCTCTGTCCCCTGCTTCCTGGGATGTCCTGTAAGATGACTGTGGTATTCTAATACTGACATTCAATGGTTGAAAGACAACCTTTTATTTACTGGGGTTTGTAAATTTATAATTGCTGTGATTTTGTCTATATAAAGCTCTGCCAACAAATCAATTCAATCAACACTATGAATAAAATCAGCAGGAGTAAATAAAATTTATTGTTTGAGTTCATATTCATTTACTCAATAAATTTTTACTAAGCTCCTGTATGGGCTGGATACTATTTTAACAACAGTAAACCCAACAAACCGCCCTGATCTCACAAAGGTTAGATTCTAGTAGAGAAGACAGAAAAGAATAAATAAATAAATATTAACCTATCTATATATAAGCACCCAGAATAGTGACTGGCATATCATAGGCTTTTAAAAAAGCCATTTTTATTGAGATAAAATTTACATAAAGTATGGTAGGTAGAATAAGGTTTCCCCAAAGATGTTCATGTCTTAATCCCCAGGATCTGTTATTGTTACTTGACTAGGGTGATTAGGGTCACAGATGGAATTCGAATTGCAATCAGCTGAATTTAAAATAAAATTATCCTGGATTATCTTGATGAGCCCAGCTATGGTTTAAATGTTTGTACCTTTTACTTTTTTATTTGTTTATTTTTTCATTATGAAATTTTACATCAGTAAGTATAAGGGTTACCTTTTTTTATTATACTTTAAGTTCTAGGGTACATGTGCACAACGTGCAAGTTTGTTACATGTGTATACATGTGCCATGTTGGTGTGCTGCACCCATTAACTTGTCATTTACATTAGGTATTTCCCCTAATGCTATCCCTCCCCCCTCCCTCCACCCCATGACAGGCCCTGGTGTGTGATGTTCCCCTCCCTGCATCCAAGTGTTCTCATTGTTCAATTCCCACCTATGAGTGAGAACATGTGGTGTTTGGTTTTCTGTCCTTGCAATAGTTTGCTCAGAATGATGGTTTCCAGCTTCATCCATGTCCCTACAAAGGACATGAACTCATCCTTTTTTATGGCTGCATAGTATTCCATAGTGTATATGTGCCACATTTTCTTAATCCAGTCTATCATTGATGGACATTTGGGTTGGTTCCAAGTCTTTGCTATTGTGAATAGTGCTGCAGTAAACATACGTGTGCATGTGTCTTTATAGCAGGATGTTTTATAATCCTTTGGTTATATACCCAGTAATGGGATGGCTGCATCAAATGGTATCTCTAGTTCTAGATCCCTGAGGAATCGCCACATTGTCTTCCACAATGGTTGAACTAGTTTACAGTCCCACCAACAGTGTAAAAGTGTTCCTATTTCTCCACATCCTCTCCAGCACCTGTTGTTTCCTGACTTTTTAATGATCACCATTCTAAATGGTGTGAGATGGTATCTCATTGTGGTTTTGATTTGCATTTCTCTGATGACCAGTGATGATGAGCATTTTTTCATGTGTCTGTTAGCTGCATAAATGTCTTCTTTTGAGAAGTGTCTGTTCATATCCTTCACCCACTTTTTGATGGGGTTTGTTTGTACCTTTTTAAACTCACGTTGAAATGTAATTGCAATTGTAACTTTATTAAGATGCGAGACATTAAAAATGTGATTAGGCCATAAAGTTTCTGCCCTCGTGAATAGGTTAATGCCATTATTGCAAGAGTGGGTTCCTTATAAAATGACAAATTCAGCCCCCCTTTGCCTCCCTCTTGCCTCTCCTGGCCCTTCCATCATGGGATGATGCAGCAAGAAAGTCCTCATCAGATACCAGTCTTGATCTTGGACTTCCCAACCTCCAGAACCATGAGTCAATACCTTTCTATTCATTATTAATTACTAAGTCTGTCTTATTGTTTTATAGCAGCATAAAATGGACTAAGACAGGCCCAGTGTGATTGCCATCATATCTTTCAAATATGGAAAAAGGAGGCAGAAGAGTTAATGTCAGACTGATGCAATGTGAGAAAGACTTTACTGGCTCTTGCTGGCTTTGAAGATGAAAGAAATACATGAGCCAAGGATGGTGGGCAGCCTCTAGAAGCTGGAAAAGGCAAGAAAATATATTATCCCCCAGAAGCTCCAGAAGGAACCAGCCCCCTGACACCTTAATTTTAGCCCAGTGAGACCTATTTTGGGTTAATGATTTCCAGAACTATAAGATAATAAATTTGTGTTGTTTTCAGCTACTAAATTTGTATCAATTTGTTACAGAAGCAATAGGAAACTAATATGTAGAATACAATTTATAGATCCTAAGTATATAGTTGGGTAAGTCTTAACAAACATCTTCACTCATTTTTAATCTTGTGTTGAAATTTGGCCTTCAATATTAGAGGTGGGGCCTAATGGGAGGTGTTTGGGTCACAAGGTTGAATCCCTCATGAATAGATTAATGTCCTCCCTGGGGTGGGGGAAGTGAGCGAGTGAGTTCTTATTCTATCAGTTCCCTCTAGAGCTGCTTGTTAAAAACAAAACAAAACCAAAAACAGCCTAGCGCCTCTTCCCGCTCTATTGCTTCCTCTCTTGCCATGTGATCTCTGCATGCACTGGCTCTCCTTCACCTTCTGCCATGAGTGGAAGGAGCCTGAGGTGCAGATACTTGCACCGTGCTTCTTCTACAGCCTACAGAACCATAAGCCAAACGAATCTCTTTTCTTTATAAATTGCCCAGCCTCAGATATTCCTTCATAGCAACACAAAAAGGACTTAGACAACCATGTTACAGACATTTCTATCCCCTAAACAGGTTCCTCTTTGGCCCCTTCTAATCCAATTATACTTCCTCAAACAGAGGGAATCACAGTTTGAATTCCTATCAGATTAAATTACTCTTGCCTATTCTTGAACTTCATATAAATGAAATTATAAAGTATTCATTCCCTTGTGTCTGACTTTTTTCTTTCAATATACTGATTTTGATATTCATACAAGTGAATGTATCAGTAGTTCAAACCCTTTTATTGCTTAGTAGTATAGCATTGTCAGCACATATCAGATCAGTATCATGCCTGGAATTGACAGTGTTGCTTCTGTCATAGTATATTGGTCAAAGCAGTAACAACACCCATCTAGATTTGATAGGTTGGAGAAACAACTCCTCTTAATACAAATGGCAAATACCCTGTTATGAACTGAATTCATACATTCTTCCTAGTACCCCAGAATGTGGCTGAATTTGGCAATGGGGCTTTAAAGTATTAATTAAGGTAAAAATAAGGTCATGTGAGTGGTGGTGTTTTAAGACAATATGACAAGTGTCCTTTTAAGAAGAGGAGGACACTGGCAGGGATATGCACAGAGGAAAGACCATGCAAGTACAAAGGGAGAAGATAGCCATTTACAAGACAAAGAGAAGACTCAAAATGAAACCAACCCTGCTGACGTCTTGGTTTTGTTCTTCTAGCATCCAGAACTGTGAGGAAATAAATTTCTGTGGTTTGAGCCACCCAAGCTGTGGTATTTGTTACAGCAGCACTCACAAACTGATACAGACCCATTGTAGAAGATGGGAGATATTATTGTGGCTAAATACAATCTTCCATGGTTAGATTGGTTAGGTTTAAGCCCTCTGCTTTCTGTTGGTTTTCTATTTGTCCCATCTGTTGTTTTGTTTTGGTATTCTTTTGCCTTTCTTGCCTTCTTTTGGTTTAATTAATTTTTTTTTTTTACTTTTTTTGTGAGGTCCTTGCTTCACAGATTAATTTTTACAATTTGATTTTCCTCCTTTTAGCTGTAACTCTGTTGCATTATTTTAGTGGTTGCTCTAGGGATTACATTATGCATCCTTAACCTAGTTAGAATCAACATTGTACCACTTCCACTAACACTTAAGAGACTTGAAACAGGGGAAATCATTTGTGCTCTTGTCATATGTTTTTCTTATATATATTGTAAACATTACAAACAGTTTTATCATTTTTTCTTTAAGCAGTCAGTTGTCTTTTAAAGAAGTTAGGGAAAAAGGAAAATTGACCTTTATATCTACCCATTTATTCAACTTTTCTGGAGTTCTTCATATCTTCTTGTAGATTTGACATTCTATGTAGCATTTGCCTTCAATCTAAAGAATTTCCTTTAGTATTTCTTAAAGTAAGGGTCTGGTTGCCAAAAATATTTATTTTAGTATTATCCAAAAAAATTTTATCCTCAATTTGAAGCATATTTCCACAGTATTTAGAATGATAGTTTGACAGGTTTAAAAAATCTCTTTTTGTTAGGAGTTGAACTGTGTTCCCCTCCACCTCTAATTTCATAAGTTGATGTCCTAACTCTAGTACCACATGATATGACTGTGTTTGGAGATAGGGTCTTTACAGAGGGAATAAACCTAAAATGAGGTCCTTAGGATCTCCTAATCCAATATGGTTGGGGTTCTTATTAAAAAAAAAAAGAAATTTGTGTACAGAGACTTGCACAGAGGAAAGATGATGTGAATAGGCATAGAGAGAAGATGGCAACCTACCAGCCAAGCCATTTCTGTTATAGTACAGCTCATATCCCACTGGGGAATGAAGCAGCCCATAAAGAGAGAGGCTTTATGCTCAGGCAAATACCCAAGGGAATCACCACACAGATTTCTAGGGACCCCATTGTACTGCTTTCTCTATGCTGCACCATGACATGTGCATTCCAGCTCCTCGATACCCCTAAACGACTTTGTTCTCTCAGCTCACTGAGTTCATCTTTTCCTCCTGAGTTCCACATCCCTGGGTTGTCAGGAAAGTGCCCTGAGGAAGAAAACTGCAGAATTGTGCAGCTCATTTATGTGTTTCCTGTCTTGAAAGCATCAAAACCAGTGTTGGTGTTTAATACCTGAAGAAAAGTTTGCCCTTATAATTTCTACAGTTTTATAAGTTGTTTTTCATGGCAGAAAAAGTCCAATACCACTTACTCCATCATGTCCTGAAGTGGAAGTTTAATACTGAATACATTTTTAAGCATAAAGAACGAATTCGAGTTCGTGTTCCTAGTGTTTAGTATAATTCCTGGCACAGTTGGTGCTTAATACATTTTGGATAAATTTCTAAGATTTCAGAGAAAATCTACTGTTAAAACACATTATTGGTTCACAATAAATTTAGAAGAAAGGAAAACAGGAGTAGAGGCGGTATTTTAGGCAAATAGAAATAAATGTTTCCATTTCTGGAATGGTTTTATTGGTAAACACTATAGAGAAGATTGAGGGATAGCGTTGCAGTGCAGATTATATGTAGAGAGAAAATTGACTTCTATAATAGACTTGGCTATTGGGAAAAACAACCATGTTGGTGTTTTGGAAAAAAGCAACCATACTGGTGATATCAGAAGAAATAAATACACATAAGTTTCTGTGGGGATTAAGAAAAATATATCTTGACAAGAGACATATCTTGTCTGATGGTGGATGTCACTATCTTCTTTGTAAGAAGGCTATAGTAATGAGGGCAACATTTTCTCCTTTTCAGCAGTTTTCATCTTATTTTCTGAGGGATTTTTGTGGCTTAATGCATAGTCCAGCTGGGGAATCCTTCTATGTATGGATCCCAAAGGTCCATTCTGTATGTCACCAACTAGGATGGGTTGTCAGCATCATGCTTAGTTCTCAGGGATAGTTCTGTCACCCTAATAACATGGTGACACCTCACCTTTATGCTAACAGAATACAATGTTTATTGCTGCAACTCTTAAAAAGGACAATGCTTCTGCTTTTCTTCTTTTCAAGCTGGTATTCTCAGTAAAATATCCATTAAGGGAATCAATTGTGTTTCATTGTCACAGCTTGGATGCCCACTTTTTTTTCCTTTAACCTCTTTATTCCCCATCTCTGACCATTCTATGTAGACATAAACCTATGTTCTTATTTCCTAGAGAAACAAAGAGGCAGCAGAGTTAAAATTTGCCAATAAATCATGGAAACTTCTGTAGTACAGGTTTTATTAACGATGGAGTAGAATTATGCAGATCCCCCTAGCTGCCTGAGTCCTGACACTTCCTCCTTCAGAGAATTAACTTGATTCAAGACTCTGGAAAGCAAGAGGATGACTAAAGATATTAACAAGATTGATTTATGCAAAATAAACTGCAACAATGAATATAACGTGCATTATGCAAACCAGAGGCAATGTACTTCAGAACCAGTCATTTGAAATCTTAATTATAATGGTTGTATATTGAAGCACACAGCAATGACAATGTCCCATATTAAACATTTGACCTTAGAGCTATCATATAAAAATTTTAGTTTAGGCCGGGCGCGGTGGCTCACGCCTGTAATCCCAGCACTTTGGGAGGCCGAGGCGGGCGGATCACGAGGTCAGGAGATCGAGACCATCCCGGCTAAAAATGGTGAAACCCCGTCTCTACTAAAAATACAAAAATTAGCCGGGCGTAGTGGCGGGCGCCTGTAGTCCCAGCTACTTGGGAGGCTGAGGCAGGAGAATGGCGTGAACCCGGGAGGCGGAGCTTGCAGTGAGCCGAGATCCCGCCACTGCACTCCAGCCTGGGCGACAGAGCAAGACTCCGTCTCAAAAAAAAAAAAAAAAAAAAAAAAAAAAAAAAAAATTTAGTTTAAAAAGAAACTTTAAAAAAGCCATTAAAAGTCACAACACCTAAATTGTTATGAGCTTATATGTATTTTTTGACTTAACAAATGTGACAACATGACAAGCGATAGAAGACAGCTGAGCACATTTCACAGGTGCCTTTCTGCTCTACAACACACCTTATATGCCTAATGAGGATTTAACCTTTTCTATTGTAATACAGCTCATATCCCACTGGGGAATGAAGCAGCCATTAATGCACAGCTATTAACTTCTGTGTAACAGATAGATATGGAGCAAAACATCCTCTGTTTTGCTGTTGCCTTTTTGTGAAACAGCAGTGAAATTTCCTACAATAGTAATAATGATAATAATGCCCTACATTTAGTTAGTGATTTACAGTTTACACCGTGTTTTAAGATTTAGAATAACAATAGCTACTATTTATTCTCTGTTGTATGTATTTCAGGCATTACATGTACCTTGTTGGCTTAATCCTTACAACTCTGTGAGGCAGCCATTGTTTTCCCCACTTTCTGGATGAGAAAACTGAGCTTTGAGAAATTAAGTAATTGAATTAAGGTTATATAACTAGTGCTAGGTCAGAGCTGAGATCTGTGTGACTCAAAGTCAATGGTTAAAACTGTTTTGTACTGCCTAGTTTGATGCTCACAACAAATATGTTCTAATGTTAAACAATTATAGCAGTTCTCTGCCCTGTTCTCAAAGTGTTACAAACTATTATGATTTGAAAAATTATATATTTACCTAAAATGAACAAATGGAAAAAGCTGTTGCTTGGCTAAAATTGTTCTCTACTTTTTTTCATATTATCTTTCACATCTCCTGCACCCCCATATGCAATCACCTCTGACAGAGCTCACCACTCACACTGTTCATCAGCTTGGAAATCTTCCTGGCTACCCGGTCATGAGACAAGCTGTGTTCAATAGGAGACCATTATTCCATCACAAATTATCTCATGTGTGTGTGCATGTATGAGGTAGGGGAAGAGAACAAGCCAATCCAAGCAAATACAAAGGGAGCAATCAGTTTTTCTGTGGCAACAGTGATAGCTCCCATGCACCATATTTGCGATTTTGCTGAGTTATGCTGGGATATTATTAATATTCACTCACTCATTCATTTATTCAATAAGTAATACTTGAGCATCCACTCTATGATAGGCTTCATACTAGGTGCTAGAAATACAGTGAAAAATACAGATGTATTCCTTACCCTCACAGAGCTTATTATCTATCTGGGAATATAGATATTACCCCTTAAAACATAGTGTAAAAAAGGAGGTTTAGAAAATGGTGACAAAGCATAGGTCTTAGACCAGCAACAAACAAGGTTGCTTTTGAGAGTAGGGGAGCACTGCCTTCCAACTCCTGATGTTTCCATTCTTGTTGGAGGACATGAATTAATGTAACACCCAGCTTCTCTCAGTTTTGTTTCATTCTCTGGGTGTCACTCCTGTTTGTCTTCACTCTTGCTCTCCACTTTTCCCCATCCAATCTTAACTGACTGGTAAGTTTGGGAAGAGGAACCAGACACATGTAGCCCCATGCCTTCCATTCTCCTTCTCTGTGGGACTCCTGTCCACAGGAAGTATATGCTCTTATCTAAGCTTCCATACTGATAGCATCCCAGGCTGGCTCTGCCCTTGGGGAAGGCCTGTGGATTTCAGCCCTGTCTGGGACTTGAGGGGTCTAATTCTTGGGTGAAATATTATAATCACAGGGTTATGGTACATTTAAGCCACATTCTTACATATGTGCTTAAAGAATAGTAAGGTGGTACTTCAACCCAAAAGCATCTTACTTTTTTGTGTTATTTTTCAAATGCCTCAGAAAGCCATTTGGATGTGGAGAGATAGGTGTAAATTATTGAGTTCACCTACAGCCCAACTGTAGCCATAGAAAACACTGATTATAAAAAGCATATTTAAAACATATCTGCTTTAAAGGAGGACTAAGTAACATAAAATTATTCTTATATCCCAATTGTCAACATGATTACTGCCTGTTCTTTTGTTTCCCACAATGATATTGTTTGAATAAGGGTAGTACTGGAATGAAAAATTAGGGGATTATTTTGTGTTTAATAATTGGCATCTAATTCCTCTTTGGCCTTTACTACATATACCATTATCATTGGTAAATTTAACTTGTGGCTCTTTGTGAATGAATTTTTCTTGTTACATAATATTAAACCATGGAGATTTACTTTTTTGTGACATAATATATATGCAGAAAACTTTACAAAATATAAATGCTCACCAGCTCATTGAATTATGACTGGATATCAACTTTTCAAAGTGAATTCTGATAAGAAAAATAATATGATGGGTTTGTTTTCATTTCTGTTGATCTCCTTTTGTTGTTGTTGTTGATCTCTTTATGTGCCAAATACATCAGTCTACATATTTGTTCTTTATTCTCATCTTAGCAATGCAGCTCTTAGAATGCAGTTGATGATCAGGATACCTCCTAATGTGTGAATTGCCTCTTATTGACTGTGTGCGTGCTATTGAGATTGCTGTCTCCTCCTACCTTGCCAACATCTGTCATTGCCAGCATCACTCCATGCATGTATACAGACACACTTGTTTTATTCCACTTTGCTTTATTGAACTTCACAGATATTGAGTTTTTTATGAATTGAAGTTTTGTAGGAACCCTGCATCATGCAAGTCTATTGGTACCATTTTTCCAATAGCATGTGCTCACTTGACATCTCTGTGTCACATTTTGGTAATTTTCAGAATATTTTAAACTTTATTATTATTATTATATCTGTTATGATGATCTGTGATCAAGATCTTTGATGTTACCATCGTAATTGTTTTGGGGTCTCATGAACCATGGCCATATAAGACAACGAACTTAATAAATGTGTGTGTTCTAACTGCTCCAGCTATTCTCTCATGTCTCTTTCTCTCCTCAGGCCTCCTTATTCTCTTGAGACAAAATAATGTGGAGATTAGGCCAATCAATAATCCTACAATGGCTTCTAAGTATTAAATGAAAGGAAGAGTCACTTGTCTCTTACTTTATATCAAAATCTAGAAATGTGTAAGTTTAGGTGAGGAAGGCATGTTGAAAACTAAGATAAGCTGAAAGCTAGGTCTCTTGCAACAAACATTTAGCCAAGTTGTGAAAGAAAAGGAAAAGCTCTTGCTTTTACTTTTACTATTACTTTTACTATTGAAAATCTGTTGTTTAGTGCAGCCACCATCATCAGCGTTCTTAGCTAGCTCTTCTGGATAACTTCCTGCAACTTCTGCATCAGCACTTGCTGCTTCATCTTGCATTTTACGTTTTGTTATGGAGATAGCTTCTTTCCTTAAACTTCAAGAACCAATCTTGTTAGCTTCCAATTGTTTTTCTGCAGCTTCCTCACCTCGCTCAGTTTTCACAGAATTGAAGAGAATTAGGACCTTACTCTGGATTAGGCTTTGGCTTAAGGGAGTGTTGTGGCTGATTTGATCTTCTATCCAGACCACTAAAACTTTCTCTGTATCAATAATAAGACTGTCTCACCTTCTTATCATTCGTGTGTTCACTGGAGTAGCACTTTTAATTTCACTAGTAAAAGTGGAATAGCACTTTTACTATTACTGCTCCTTGACTATGCACCTGGTCATCTAAGACGTCTGATGGAGATGTACAACGAGATTAATATTGTTTTCATGCTTACCAACACAACATCTATTCTGCAGCTCATGGATGAAGGGTAATTTTTTATTTTAGAGTCTTATTATTTAAGAGATACATTTTATAAAGCTATAGCTGCCATAGAGAGTGATTCCTCTGATGGATTTGGGCAAAGTAAATTTTGGAAAGGAGTCACCATTCTGGACATCATTACGAACATTCATGGTTCATAGGAGGAGGTCAAAATATCAACATTAACAGGAGTTTGGAAAAAGTTGGTTCCAACCCTCATGGATGACTTTGAGAGATACAAGACTTCAATGGACAAAGTAACTGCAGATTTGGTGGAAACAGCAAGAGAACTAGAATTAGAAGTGGAGCCTGAAGGTGTGACTGAATTGATGCAATCTCATAATCAAAATTTAATGGATTGGGAATTGCTTCTTATAAATGAGCAAAGACAGTAGTTTCTTGAGATGGAATCTACTCCTGGTGAAGATGCTATGCACCTATTTGATATGACAATAAAGGATCTAGAATATTACATAAACTTATTTGATAAAGCCACAGTAGGGTTTAAGAGGATTTACTCCAATTTTGAAGTAAATCCTACTGTGGTTAAAATGCTATCAAACAGATGTTACAGAGAAATCTTTTGAGGAAGGATAATCAGGGCAACAAACTTTATTGCCTTTTTGTCAGAGATTGCCACAGCCATTCCAACCTTCAGCAACCACCACCCCGATCAGTCAGCACCCATCAACATTGAGGCAAGACCCTCCATCAGCAAAAAGATTACAACTTAGCATGTTTAGCAATCAAGTATTTTTCAATTAAGTTATGTACACTGTTTTTTGGTGTACTGTTAGTAGACTACAGTACAGTGTAAGCATAACTGCTATATGTACCAGGAAACAAAAAAATTTCTGTGACTCACTTTACTGCAGTGGCCTGGAACTGAACCTGCAATATATTCAAGGTATTCCTATATATGTAGAGAGTCCATAAAGAGAGGCTGTCAACCTGAGGATATTGTTCCACTTCCTTAGGGTCTTGGGACGGTTGGAGGGGAAAAAAGGAAAATGTAATCCCCCTTTTTTTTCATTTTGAATGATATGAGTCATATTTTTGTAGATGAATCCTCCAGTTCATTCAACTTAGAACTATATCTTTGCTTGATTAACTCTCACACAAATACAATCAACCCTTCCTCTAAACAATATATATGACAATTTTTGCTGTATTAATTACACTTACTACTATGTTGTTCTGGTGTTCATTCAGTCACTTATTTAACATTTAGTAAGGCTTTTTCTAGGTCCTAGTCCTGGGAATGCAGGTAGATGAACAGGAAACCGAATTATAAAAGGGTAATGAGCTCTAGAGTAGACTTAGGAAATAAATTTGGAAGCACAGACGAAAAGTTCTTAATATAGACCCACTGGAGCCATTAGAGAAGAATTCATGATGAAGGAGGTGAGAAAAACGCTGAAAGGCGGAGAATTTATATACAGAGGATTTGGAGATTCAAAGGGCACAATGGAATAGGTGGAGATAAAATTCAGAGGTGAAGAAATAGGGACATGAAAGGCCAGCTAGGTGGGAATGATGGTAGGCAAAAGGATAGAAAATTTCAAGATTTTACATCTGGGATAAAAATGAGGAGTTATGGGAAAAGAATTAATTGTTTTCAAGGTTCCAAAATGAACTATAGGGAAAAGCTATTTTGGAGGTACTTAGACGCAAAAATAATTTTTTGTATACTTATGGGAATGCCATTAGGGTCAATTCTGCTCACTATCAATTAGAAGGGAGAAGTGTTAGAGAAAGAAGGTAGCAGAAAAGAGTTTGGTCTTGAGAAAATGCATTCTAAAATATCCTGGTGATGATAATTACCTACAATGATATTCAGCTCTGTTACGATTTTCCAAACAAATTTCTCATTTTAAAATAGTTGTATTTAGAGAAAAATTGCAAAGATAGTACAAAATTCTCATATACTTCATATCGTTTCCTTTGTTATTAATATCATATATTAGTATAGTACATTTGTCACAATTAATGAACCAATATTGATATATTATAATTAAAGTAGATACTTTTTTGAAATTTTTTAGTTTTTCCCCTAATATCTTTTTCATTTTCCAGAATCTGATCCAGGATACCACATTACATTTCATCCTCATATCTCCTTAGACTACTACTAAAAGTATATGTATAAAGTAATAGGGACCAAGACATTATGTATAAAGTAATAGGAACCAAGGAAAATAGGCCTCTGGGGTGGGAATTTAAATTAATGGGGCTAGAAGTTGGATTGTGTTAATGTTTGCTGTTGCAATAGGTGTCAGAGTCTTAAAATTGCTCTACTCATCTCATTTTTATCTCGTTCTTGACTTGAGATTTTCTAAGTACCCTCCCTCAGAGAGAATCTATGTCTTGAATCTCTTCCCACTGTAATCCATTGTTATTATACTGGAGCCCTGTTGGTGTTGCAATGAGATGTGGAAGAGAGATAGCATTCTATAATATCATGATTAACTCTTGGTCTTTCAGTGGGCCTGTGTCTCAGGTGTGTTACTGTTCCAAGTATTCCTCCAGTGGTATAGTTACACACAACACACAGTTATACTCCCTACTCCTTTCTCTTGTTGCAGTATTGCCGATCTGTTTCCCTGAAGCTCTGATCCATAATGATAGTGCTTTTTTCCCCTGGGGTGAGTTCCTTTTAATAAATGTTTATTTAGCACCTACTCTTTTCTAGGTACTGCTTTGATACTGGGAGAGTAAATTGGTTTTGAGGAAAAAATTATGTTGAAGGAGAAATTAAGGAAAATGGGAAAATTTCCTTCATTAGGAGATAGATTATGTGATCCAGTTTACAAGTAGAGAGATTAACCTTAGATAGTAGCTTGTACAGTTGATCATAGGGTATTGTAACATGCAGGAAGACAATATGTCAGCCCAGATGCAAAGTTGGTTAGTTGATTTAGGTTTATGAAGGTCTAAAGTTAGGAAAGACATCGGAAACTGAGCAGCCTCTCTCTCTGTCTGTGTTTCCCTCTCTCATAACTGTTTACGATAGAGAAAAACACAGAAACCTCTTCTTGTTTGCGCCATTCTCCAGTCTCTCTGAAGTTGACATTTGACACCATACTGCTGTGATGATACTGCTGTGATGGCTGCTCTACACTTCCTTCAGGTCCTCAGTTTAAGAGTGTAGAGTTGCTGTGTCTCAATGATAAGTTTCTGGAAGATAGAACTATACAATTTTCTCATCTGAGGCCAGGTGTCTATCACAGTTTCAGTTACTTACCTATAGACAATAATTTGCTCCACTGTTCACTTTGCATGGACTGTGATGACTGACTTTCTGAGAAGCATATATAAGCAGTTTCTAAAAGGACACATGAGTTGGGGGAAAATTATTTCAATTTCTAGCAAATGGGTTTGTATGTGTGTGTGCGTACACAGTGTATGCCGGTAAAACATCCAAAGTTGATCTATAAATTTCATTTGACATCCTTAAAAATACAGCTACGCTCACATGAATTTAGGATTTGATTTTGGAATAAGGACTCAAGAATAGTGAAATTCAGTTTAAACTATTGGTGCATAGTTTAAATTATAGTTGTAACTATTGGCACATCTTCTTTTATTAACTTTGGATACTTACTCAAGAATATATTTGATTACATACTGCCATGTGAATTCTACACCATAGTGGGTGAGCCATGGCCTTGAAAATATATGCCATAGCTATTCCTCTTTCACTTCTAGTACATTTATCACACTCCAAAATGTCTTTTTAAAACCAACCTTTCACTATGCTTAATAATATCTATTGTATATTTTCAAATAGCTAGAAGAGATGATTTTGAATGTTCTCAACACAAAGAAATGATAAGTGTTTGAGGTGATGAATATGCTAATAACCCAGATTTGATCATTACATATTGTATACATGTATTGAAATATCACTCTGGACAAAAATGGTCAACTGGAAGCAAGCTGCCTTGATTCTCCCACCACAGAAAAACAAAAATAAATGTACAGCACCATGGTGATCACCAGCAATATCCCAGAACCTAAATATGAAGATGAGACAGTTCCCAGAGCCACAGAGAAGTTTTAAAACTTAGCATAGATGATAACAGAATTGGATTTTTATGTCTGCAATGCCCTTCCCCCAATCTCTCAGGCACAAAGCATACAGAAAATTTAACCCTAACACATGATTATACTGGAAAGAGTGAGATTAAGGTGGACAACCAGCTTTTTCACCATTTTGGGTTCCCTGACAGGAGACCTATATTTGTCTCAAGCCATGGGAAGCGTGATGAGTACCTCAAGGGAAAATAATTCCTGAGGACAGTCAGAGACAAAGGGAGGAGGTGGGGCTAGCATCCCAGAGTGGAAAACTCCACTCTGTATCTCAGCCAAAGAAAATGCCAAATAAGAGTGGCTCTTCAGCAGCACCACACAGTAGGAGACACATTCCATGGGTCCCTTGGGCAAAAATCACTAGCCAGCTTTCCCACACTGCCAGGATTTTTTTTTCGGCGGGTCGCGGCCAGGGGGGCGGTGGGGATCGTCTCCATCTGGGATAGGCAGTGCTGCAAAGTTTGCTACGCTGGAGCTGGGGCAAATCTGGGTGTAATGCACCATCTAGTGCTGAAACTGAGGCAGTGACCAAGCAAAAAAAAAAAAAAAAAAAAAAAAAAGAAAAAAATGTATTCAACAGGTATATTACACAGAAATCTCTAGGCAAACATACCCAATACAAATCAAAACAAACAAGACAGAGAAGACTGGAATAAATAATCCTTTCATGCAAAGACATAGACATACATACATGAGAAAAATAGCAGGTGGAAAACCATCATCTCCCCAAATGGACAAAGTAAAGAGCCAGTAACTAAACCTAACTAGATGGTGATGGGTGGGCTCTCTGGTCACAATTCAAAATGGCAGTTTAAAAAAAACTCACTTATCTCCAATACCATCCAGAAAATCATCTCAGAAATTTTTCAAATAAATTTAACAAAGAGATTGTAATAAAAAATCAAACAGAAATCCTGGAACTGAGAAATATAATTGCTTAAATGCAAAATTCATTAGAGGCTCTAAACAGCAGAATGGATCAAGCAGAGAAAACTGGTGAGCTCAAAGACAGGTTATTAGAAAATACAGAGTCAGAGAAGAAAAAAGAAAAAATAATGCAAACAAATTAAGAACACCTACAAGATATAGACAATTACCTAAAAAGAGGAAATCTAAGAATTATTGGTGTTCAAGAGAGAGCTGAGCAGAAGCATGGGGTAGAAAGCTAATTCAAGGAAATAATAACAGAAAAATTTCCAAAACTCGAGAAAGATAGAAATATCCAGGTACAGGAAGGTCAGAGATCACCAAACAGATTAAGTGCCAAATAAAACTACCCCATGGCATATAATAATCAAACTCTCAGGGGTTAAGGACAAAGAAAAGTTTCTAAAGCAGCAAGAGAAAAGAAGCAAATAACATATAAACGAGTTTCAATTCATCTGGCAACAGATTTTTCAGCGAAAATCATAGACCAGGAAAAAGTGGGATGACATATTCACAGTACCGAAAGAAAAAAACTGCCAATCAAGAATTCTGTATCCAGCAAAGCTTTTTTTTTAAACATGAAGGAAACAGAAAGTCTCCCAGAGAAACAAAAGCTGAGGGAATTCATCACCACCAGACCCATTTTCTAAGAAATGCTGAAGGGAATTCAATCTGAAAGAAAAAAAAAAACAAAAAAACTAATGCACAAAAGGAAAACATTTAAAGATATAAAACTCATTGGTAAAGGTAAGTGCACAGACAAACTCAGAATACTCTAATGGTAATTGTGGTGTGCAATCTACTTGTGACTGAGGTATGAAGAATAAAAGACAAATATATCCAAAAAATAGCTACAGAAACTTGCTAAGAATTACACAACATAAAAATACATGAATTGAGACAACAAAAAGTCAAAATATGGGGGTTGGAGTATGGAGTTAAAGTGAAGAGTCTTAAAAGTTTTTTCCATATTCATTTGCTTAATTATTTTCTTTGTGATGAAAGATAAGTTGTCATCTGTTTAAAATAATTAGTGATATGTAGAAGATTTTTTGTAAGGCTCACAGTAACACAGAGCAAAAACCTATAATAAATACACTAAAAATAAAAAAAATGAATTGAAACATGCTACCAGAAAATCACTTAAGCACAAAGGAAGACAGTAAAAAAGGAAGAAGAGAGAAGATACAAAACAACCACAAAACAGGTAACAAAATATCAGTAGTAAGTCTTACCTATTAATAACAACGTTAAATATAAATGGACTAAATTATTCAATGAAAAGACATAGATTGGCTAAATGGATAAATAATCAAGACCTAACCATATGCTGCCCACAAGAAACTCACTTCACTCATAAAGACAGGTACACTAAGAGTGAAGAGATGGAAAAAGATATTCCATGTAAATGGAAACTGAAAAGATTAGGAGTAGCTATACTTAGATAAAATAGAGTACAAGTCAAAGACTGTAAAAAGAGACAAAGAAGGTCACTGTACAATGATAAAGGGGTCAGCAAGAGAACATAACAACAGGATCTATATTGTTTAAAATTTAAAATTTAAACTATTTATATTATATTTATAATATTTTATATTTATTAAATATTAAATATTTATATTTATATTAAATAAATTTTATATTTATAATATAAAATTTAAAATTTAAACAATATAATATAAATATACCCATGTATATAAAGCAAACATTAGTAGATCTAAAGGGAGAGGTAAATTGTGGTTCAATATTAGTAAAAGACTTCAATGCTCCATCTCAGTAACAGATCATCCAGAGAGAAAAATCAAGAAACATTGAAGTTAAACTACACACTAAACCAAATGGGCCCAACTGACACTTACAGAACATTCAACCCCACTACTGAAGAATACACATTTTTCTCATCAGCACATGGAACATTCTCCAGAATAGACCCTAGGTTAGAAAACAAGTCTCAAAAAATTCAAAAAAGTTGAAATCATATCAAGTATTATTTCTGGCCACAATGGAATAAAACTGAAAATCAATAACAATAAGAACCTTGGAAACTAGGCAAATGTATGGAAATTAAACAACATGCTCCTGAACAATCAATTGGTCAATGAAGAAAGTAAGAACACGATTTAAAAATGTCTTGAAACAAATAAAAATAGAAATACAACATATCAAAATCTATGGTATACATCAAAAACAATGCTGAAATGGGAGTTTATAGCAATACATCCTTATCGAAAAAGTAGGCTGGGTGCAGTGGCTTGCACCTGTAATCTCAGCACTTTGGCAGGCTGAAGTGGGAGCATCACTTGAGTCCAGGAATTTGAGACCAGCCTGGACAACATAGGGAGAACCCTGTCTCTACCAAAAATAAAAAAAATAGCTGGGCATGGTGGCACCAACTACTTGGTAGGCTAAGGTTGGAGGATCACTTGAGCTTGGGAGATCAAGGCTGCAGTGAGCTGTGATCATGCCACTTGAACTCCAGCCTGGGTGACAAAGTAAGGCAGTGTCTAAAAAAAAAAAAAAACAACAACAACTAAAAAGTAAAAAGATTTCAAATTAACAAGCTAATGATGCACCTCAAAAAACTAGAAAAACAAAAACAAACCAAAGCTACAAAAGCTACATTTAGTAGAAGGAAAGAAAGAATAAAGGTCAGAACAGAAATAAATGTAGTTGAGACTAAAAAAAATCTGCAAGATTAACAAAACAAAAATTTGGTTTTTTGAAAAGATAAACAACATTGACAAACCTTTATCTAGACTAAGAAAAAACCCAAATAAATAAAATCAGAAACATAAAATGAGACATAACAGCTGATACCACAGAAATACAATGAATTATTAGAGACTACTATGGAAGACTATACACCAACAAATTGGGAATCCTAGAAGAAATGGATAAATTTCTGGACACATACAACTTACCAAGATTGAATCTTGAAGAAATAGAAAGCCTGAGCCTATCAATAACTAGTAATGAGATCAAAGCCATATAAGTTCCCCATTGAAGAAAGAAAGCTCAAGATCTGATGGCTTCACTCCTGAATTCTACCAAACATTTAAAGAAGAAGCTGTCTCAATTCTACTCAAATTAAAAAAAATTAAAATATTGAAGAGGAAGGAATTATACCTAACTCATCCCTGACTCATTCTATGATGCCACTGTTCACCTGTAAGGACACAAGAACAAAAGAAGACTAGAGGCCAATATTCCTAATGAACATAGACATAGACATCCTCAACAAAATATTAATACTAGCAAACAGAATTCAACAACACATTAAAAAATTATTCACCATAATCAAGTCAAATCATTTCAGGAGTGCAAGGATGGTTGTACATAGGCAAATCAATGTATATAATACACCACATTAACAGAACCAAGAACAAAAACCATATGATCATTTCAATAGATGCTGAAAGAACATTGGATAAATGCTTCCTTCTTTACTCATTTTGCTGAGCATTATCATAAAGGGATGCTGAAAAAAACATTTTTTTCAGAAAAGAAGAAACATACCTCAAAACAAGAAAGGCCACATATGACAAAACTATAAGTAACATTATAGTGAATGAAGAAAAATTAAAAACCTTTTCTCTAATACCTGAAACAAAACAAGAATGTGTACTTTTACCACTTTCACTCTACATAATACTAGTTGTCCTAGCCAGAGCAATCAGATAATATAAAGAAATAAAGGACATCCATGTTGGAAAGGAAAAAGTCAAATTATCCCTGTTCCCAGATGACATGATCTTATATTTAGACCTAAAGATTCTGCTAGAAAAGTATAAAAACTGATTCATGATGTTAGTGAAATCACAAGGTAGAAAAATCAACATACAAAAATTAGTATCATTTATATATGCCAAGAGTAAACAATCAAGTAAGCAATCCCTTTCATAAAGCTAAAAAATATAAGATACTTAGAAATAAATTTAAACAAAGAAGTGAAAGATCGCTACAAGAAAAACTATAAAACTCTCGTGAAAAAAACTGAAGAAGACACAAAATTGGAAAGATATTTTATGCTCATGGATTCCAAGAATTAATATTGTTAAAATGTCAATACCACCCAAAGTAATGTACAGATTCAATGCAATCCTTATCAAAATACCTATAACATTCTTCACAGAAATAGAAAAAACAATCCTAAAATTTATTTGGAATCACAAAAGACCCCCTAATAACCAAAGCAATACTGAGCAAAAAGAACAAAGCTAGGGGCATCACACTACCTGATTTAAAAATATAAAATAAAACTATAGTAACCGAAACAGCATGGTACTGGCATAAAAACAGACACATAGATTCATGGGACAAAAATAGAGAACCCAGAAATATATCCACAAGTGTACAGTCAACTCATTTTTGACAAAGGTCCAAGAACATCCATTGGGAAAAGTGGTGCTGGGAAAGCCGTAACAGAAGAATGAAACTATACTCCTATCTATCACTTTATACAAAAATCAAATCAATATGGATTAAAGACTTAAATGTGAAACCTGAAACTATGAAACTACTAGAAGAGAACATTGGGGATGCTGCAATGTTTTCTTCTAGCAGAAAACTAGCTACTTACTAGTAGTTCCAAAAATGCACTAGAACATTGGTCTGTGCAAATATTTTTTGAGTAAAACTTCAAAAGCACAAGCAACAAAAGCAAAAATAGATACATGGCATTACATCAAGTTGAAAAGCCTCTGTACAACAAAGGAAATAATAAACAAAGTGAAGAAATAACATAGAGGATTGGAGAGAATATTTGCAAACTATCCATCCAACAAGAGATTAATAACCGCAGTACATAAGAAACTCAAACAGCATAATAGCAGAAGCCCAAATAATCCAATTTAAAAATAGGCAAAAGATTTGAATAGACATTTGTTCAAAAGAAGACATACAAATGGCCAACAGGTATATTAAAAAATGCTCAACATCCCTAATCATCAGATAAATGCAAATCAAAACCACAAGGAAATATCATCATACCCCAGTTTAAATAGCTTTTATCAGAAAAATGGAGAATAATGGATCTGGGGAGATGTAAAGAAGTGGAAACCTTGCACACTGTTAGTGAGAATGCAAAATAACAAGCCATTGTGGAAAACATAGTGGGGATTCCTCAAAAAACTAAAAATATAACTACCATATGATCCAGAAATCCCACTACTAGTGTATATATTCAAAAGAAAAAAAAATATTAAAGAGATATTTGCACTCCCATATTTACTGCAACACTATTCCAAAATTTGGAATCCACCTAAGTGTCCATCAATGGATGAATGGATAAAAAAAGTGGTATATATGCACAATGGAATATTATCAATCATAAAAAATGAAATCCTATCATTTGCAGCAACATGGATGAAACTGGGGGTCATTAAATTAAATGAAAATAAGCCAAGCACAGAAAGATGAATATCACAACCTCTCACTCTTAGGTGGGAGTTAAGAAAGTGGATCCCATGAAGACAGAGTAGTTTGGTGGTTATCAGATGCCAGGAAGGGTAGGGAGGATGGAGGGGTTGAAGAGAGATTGATTAAGGGTACAAAAATACAAGTAGAAACGTGAAATAAGACCTACTGTTTGATAAATCAGTAGAGTGACTATAGTAAACAATAATCTATTATCATTTCAAAATAGCTAGCAGAGAATAATTTGAATGTTCCCAACATAAAAAAAAGCTAAAGTAATGGATATCCTAAGTACTTTGATTTGATCATTACACATAATATGAATATATCAAAATATCATATTTACCCCCAAATATGTACATCTATTATATATCAATAAAAATGTAGAAAAAGGAGTTATCATTATGTACCTCATAAATGTATATAATTATTATGTGTCAGTTAAAAAAAATCTAGTCTTTCATCCCAGATGGAGTCTGTTATTGTACTTGATGACCACTTAAGACAAAAACAAATGCTTCTCTGTTCTAACACTTGCTAACACTGGCTGAATTATTTAGACAGTGGAACACTCTCTTTTGGCCTATTACCAAAAAAGTCTTTATCCCTGTAGCAAAAAGCAGAATTGCATAGCAGTAAAATGCTATACAAAAAAATTATATTTTGGATTTATGAATATCAATATTTCTTTAATTATTATTATAATTTAGCAATATATCCAGAAAGAAATGTATCTTAAATTCAGAAAACTGCTTTCATTTGGTAAGAGCCCTATATATGAACAAAAGTGAGGGAAACAGCAAACTTTTATCTGTCAGTATGTTTTACTGGCAAATGTAGCTTCCAATTGTCCCCCAGTATCTGTCCTCCCCTTCTTCTTTAGTGTTAGAGGCCCCAGTATGTATCTGGGCACAGGAAATAGGAATAAAGCCTACATTTTCCAATCCTCATTCTTTGCTGCTGATGTGACTATAACTAGGTTCCTACATAAAACTTCCAGCAAGTTTCCTTAAAAAGAGCATTTGTTCCTTTCTTCACACCTCCTTTTTTCCCTGCTGGCTGGGATTTAGATGTGATGGTTAAGCAACCACATTGAACTATGAAATAGAAGCTGTACATTGAGGATGCAGAGCTACAAAATATCCAGCATTTGGGTCCCTCACGCTTCTGAGCTTTCATATTTGCCTCAGACTGCTTTGTTCCTGTATCAGTTATCCAGTGCTGCAATAATACTGAGTAAGAAAGGTTCATAAAAATAAGTATTTTTCACACATATATGAGATTTAGCTGATCAGAAGCTAGCCTCCCTCATGCTTCCTGGAGGCCAATTGGGAGTTGGCTCATCTAAGCTGGGTTCAAATAGAGTAACTGGTATAACTCAGCCCTGCTCTATGTGCCTTTCGTCCTTCAGCAGACCAGCTGGGCACAACCCTGTCATGGTAATGATAAAACCACAAATGAGCCAGCAGAAACAGCACGACATCTTAAGGTTTAGGCTTGGAACTTGAATACCAGCACTTCTGCCTCATTCTATTGGCCAAAGCAAGTCACAAGACAGGATTAGATTCAAGGAAATACATCCCACCTCTTCAGTGAGAGAAACTTCAATTTACATGACAAAGGGGGTGATATAGGCAGCAGTGAAGAATAGGTGCTATTTTTGCAATCTTTCACATTTTCAGACTTCTTTTATGTAAGAGACAGACGTCTTTTAGTTTACAAGATATTGTAATTTAGTTTAGTTTTTGTTCTATGCAGCTGACCCTAATCTTAATTGATTTATTGGAATGTGAGCTCCATGACTATTGCAGACTATAATTTGGCTCATCCAGCTCCCATTCCAATCCCCTTTAACTTAATTTCTAGAACTATAAAGACTGAAAAGCTAAAAAATATGATATCCCACTCCCTAGCAGCCAAGGTACTGCAAGCAATCTATTTTTTTACTAGACTGACCCACCTATACTTGATTTGCAGATAGCAATGAGAAACATAGGTGGTGGCTGTACCAAGAAAGAGTGTATCTACTGGCAAAAATGATGTCAGAGGTGCCCATCTGAAGTGATAGTGAAGCTTCTGACTTGGTGTCACAAGTATTGGGGTGGGGAGCACAGTTGTGTTTTACATTTGGATACAGTAGTGTCTTTTGATTTTTCTCTTGGCTGCTCTATTCCTGGTTGGATAATCAGACCCAATACTTAGATACTCCAAGATACCTGTGAACTACGTAATTTTTTTTAAAAAAAACTTGTTCTTCATAAGCCAGCTAGAGGGGATTCTGTTGTCTGCAGTTATTTTCACAAACAATAGAAGATTTGATCAATTATAGTAATGCATCAATTAATGACAGGGATATATTTTGAGAAATGTGCTAGATGATTTCATCATTGTGAAAACATCTTGAGGGTGAACTTATACAAACCGAGGTGGTATAGCCTTCTATACACCTAGACTGTATATATCGCCTGTTGCTCCTATGTGAGTAATGCATTGCACCATGGTGTTACTACAGCTATGATGTCACTATACCATAGGAATTTTTAAACTCCATTGTACCTTTTTTTTTTTTTTTTTTTTGAGATGGAGTCTCGCTCTGTCGCCCAGGCTGGAGTGCAGTGGCACAATCTTGGCTCACTGCAAGCTCTGCCTCCCAGGTTCATGCCATTCTCCCACCTCAGCCTCCCCAGTAGCTGGGACTACAGGCGCCTGCCACCACGCCTGGCTAATTTTTTGTATTTTTAGTAGAGACGGGGTTTCACCGTGTTAGCCAGCATGGTCTAGATCTCACCTCATGATCCGCCCGCCTCGGCCTCCCAAAGTCTTCCACACTATTGACATTTTGGATGGGGTAATTCTTTGTTGTGGGGAGCTGTCCTGTGCATTGTGAGATGTTTAATAGCATTCTTGGCCTCTGTACACCAGATGCCAACAGCACAAAGCTTCTCAAGTTGTAACAATAAAAAACATCTCCACACTGGCAAATGTCCCCTTTGGGGCAAAATTACCCCCACTGAGAACCACTGACTTACGCAGACACACGAAACATGAAAGCAATTTCTAATGAAGCATTTAACAATATTTTTCAAGATCTTGAGAAACTACATCTTAGTGCATATACATCTTAGTGCATATATTATACCATAGATAGGAGATCTTGGTATCATATAACACATCTGAAATAAAATGGATACACCTTTCTACCTTTTCACTCTATTGCATTAGTGATATGAAGTTTGATTTTCTTTATATCAGACCTAAATAAGCAAGTTGTCAACTTTATAGGAAAAAATATATAAATATATAACGTATAAATTTTTTTTAAAAAAGCGTAAGTAGAGGCACAAAGCAATTACCTATGATTCATTTTTGAGCCTATGGTTTTTAAATTTTAATGTCTAGAGATACTGTTAACAGTTGGAATCTGATCTTGGAGGTGAAATGAAATTTTTTTTTCTTATTTTCCCCAAAACTGAGAAGAAATATGACTGTTTACCCGAGTTTCATTCTTAAACCATGTTGGGGTGGCCTTTGGGCTGATTGTCACCATTGTTTATATGCTCAGTGATTTCAGTCTGGGGGTGCTTTCAGGGTTTCTGGAGCAGTTTTGAAGCCACAGAAATAATAATTAATTTTTAAAATATCCTGTCAAAACAACTTTTTCTGACTCAAGCATTTGTTTGAAACAGAACATCAGGAATTTTCTGCACACTACAGAATGTCAGCAAGATGGCAGAATAGAAAGTTTCAGCCTTCACTCCCACTGCCTCCATGTAAATATCACTAGCAGGTATCCAAAGAACAGAACATCTCTTTGAAAACTCCACTTGGAAACAGGCCCAAGATACTTGCATGTCCCATAGTACTGAATGAAAACTGAATTACAAAGGTAAGAAGAGTGGTCTCACTTCAACCACATACACATCCACCCACCAATTTGGCACAATACTAGAGAAAGAGGATTTCCATGAGCCCACAGTGTCTACAGGGGGAAAAGGGAGTTGAAGTTATCAAGTTTCTCTAGCTTCCCAACACACTTCTCAGGATGCTCACTCTGGTCTCACCTCACAGGAAACATTGGGACCAATGACTTAGCTATAATGCCTGGAGTCAGGTAGAAAGAAAGAAGGCAGAGGTCATGGTGACTAGCACTAAAATCTTGGTGGTAGGTCTGTGTTCCTGCCAGTTACGGTGCTCAGTCAGAGATACCAGCAAACCTTATAGCCCACCTGCAAAACTGATCTGATCACCTTTGGAAGCATGGAGGAAGGTTAAACCTAGCCTGAGTCCCTAGATGGTTAGTCTCCATACCCAGTGTCAGAGTCCACAAAAATAACCTTGCCCAGGTCGAGACACCCACCTCTGCCCATTTCAAAGAACAGAAGCTAGATCTGATTGCCCTGGGCAGTCAAGCAGTAGCTCTACTCAGCCAAAAATCCTGCTCAATGACCCCATCCAGACAGGAAGGTGCCTGCCTCTGCCCATTTCAGAGAATCATAGGGACTGGACCTGCTTGACCCAGGAGGTCACAGTGTCTCAACTCAGTGAAATGTCCATACCATGGCTCCACCCTGACAAGGAGTCAATCCTCAATCATGCATTTCTAAGAAGTATAACCTCTGGTCTTGCCCATCCTCAGCAGAAACTATGCCTAACTTCAGAGACCAACTTCAGTCTTGCCTAACTGCAGACCACAAATAGCAAAATTGTTTGGCCAGGGAATGCATTCTGTGATTTATGAGACCACAAGCCATTGCAGTCCACAGCCAGCAGCTCTGACCAATAGCAGAATCCAGCCAGTGATCTTGCCAGACAGTGGAGGTAAGCCAGCAGCCCACCTGACATCAGAGGAAAGACGGCAGCCCAGCCAACTAGAGAACTCACAACAAGCTCTCCTTGTCTGGATTTATTATCACCTCACCGGCCCTTCAAGAATCACAAGCTAGATTAAATATCAAAGATCTATCCCTGTCAAAGAACACAAGTAATGGCCAGAAGAGGGGGCTGTTTCCTTAAAAATGTAGAGAATAATGCAAGGACACAAGGATTACAAAAAATTAGAGAATCATAATACATCCAATAGAAACCAATAAAGCTCCAGTAATGCACCCTAAGGAAATAAATAATAGTTGAAATCTAAAAAATAGAATAAAATTACAGTATTTGCTACTCAAAAAAAGAAGGAAAAAGAAATGGAGATCTATGAAATGACTGATAAAGAATTCAGATTAATCTCAAAGCATTTCAGTTACTTCAAAGAATACATGGATAGTAAATTAAATAAAATCTGGAAAATAATACATGAACAAATTAAGAAGTGTGACAAAAATGAAAACAATAAAAAACCAAATAGAAATCCTAGAGATAAAGAATATCATTACTAAATTTAAAAATTCAATAGAAAGTTTCAACATTAGACTTGATAAAGTGGAAGAAAGAATCAATGAACTCAAAGACAGAACATTTGAAATGAAAAACAAAAAGAAGAATGAAAAAGAATAAAGAAATCTTATGGGAATTATGGGATCCCCATCAAAAAGCCAAAACTTTACATATACAACCTAGCAGAGACTCACCTTACTTTTAAGGATACACATAGATTGAAAGTGAAGGGATTGAAAAAGATGTTCCCTACAAATAAAAACCAAAAGAGAGCAAGGATAGCTACACTAATATCACACAAAATAGACTTTAAGTCAAAAACTGTGAAAAGAGACAAAGAACTTATGTAATTATAAAGAAGCAATTAATCAAGAGATATAACAATTGTGAATATATATATATATATATATATAGCACCAAACATAGAAGCACCTAAATATATAAAACAAGTATTAAAGAATATGAGGGGAGAGATAGCTTGCAATACAATAATAATAAGGAACTTCAATATCCCACTTTCAACAATGGGCAGGTCATTCAGACATAAAACCAATGAGACAATACTGGACTTGAACAACACTATAGGCCAAGTGAAACCAACAGACAAATACAAGACATTCCATTCAACAACAGCAGAATATATATTCTTCTCAAGTGCACACACAGATAGGTCATATGTTAGATCACAAAATATGCCTTAGCAAATTTAAGGTGGATGAAATAATATCAAGTATCTTTTCCAACTATAATGAATTGAAACTAGAAATCAATAACAGGAGGAATTTTAGAAAATTTGCAAATACATGGAATTTAAACATGTTCCTGAACAACCAATGGGTCAATAAAGAAATTTAAAAGAAAATTTAAAAATATCTTTAGATAAATGAAAATGAAAACACAATATACCAAAACTTATGGGATACAACACAATCAGTTCTCAAAGGAAAGTTTACAGCAATAAACACCTACATCAAAAATAAACAAAACATCTAAAATAAACAACATTACTCCTCACTGAACTAGAAAAAGAACAAACTAAGCCCAAAGTTAGCAGAAGGAAGGAAATAATAAAAATCAGAGTAGATTTTTATTATTAAAATAAAATAAATAAAATAAAGACTAGAAAAAAAAACCATACAAAAGATCAACAAAACTTAAGAGTTAGTGATTTTAAATGATAAAATCCACAAGTCTTTAGCTAGAATAAGAAAAAGAGATGATTCAAATAAATAAAGTCAGAAACAAAAGAGGAGCCATTGCAACTAATATCACAGAAATACAAAGGATCACAAGAGACTACTATGACCAATTATACAACAAATTGGATAAACTAGAAGAAATTGACAAATTTCTTCACATATATTTAGGTTAGTGCAAAAGTAATTGCGGTTTTTGCCATTGCCATGCAACCTACCAAGACTGAATCATCATGAAGAAATGGACAATCTGAAAAGACCAATAATGGGTATTGAGATTTAATAAGTAATCAGTAATGGGTATTGAGATTTAATCAGTAATTAAAAAGTCTCCTATAATAAAAACCTTAAGACCTGATGGTTACCAATCTGAATTCTACCAAACATTTGAAGAACTAATACCGATCCTTCTGAAACTCTTCAAAAAAATGAAGAGGCAGAAATACTTCTAAACTTTTTACAAGGCCAGCATTTTCCTGATAGCAAGGCTGGGCAAGGACATTATAAGAAAAGATTACAGGCTAATATCTTTGATGAACATAGTTGTAAAAATCTTCAACAAAATACTAGCAAACCAAATTTAACAACACATTAAAAGGATCATTCACCATAATCAAGTGGGATTTATCCTTGTGATGTAAGTATGGTTCAATTTATGCAAATCAATAAAAGTTATACATCATATTAACAGAATGAAAGACAAAAACATATGATCATCTTATTAGATGCAGAAAAAACATTTGACAAATTCAATATCCTTTCACAATAAAAACTCTCACTAAAGTAGGTGTAGAGGGAATGTATTTCAACACAATAAAGGCCATATATGTGAAGCTCACAACTATTATTATACTCAATGGTGAAATTTGAAAGCCCTTGCTCTGAGATCTGGAACCAGACAAGATGTCCAGCCTTGACACTTTTATTCAACATAGTATTGGAAATCCTTGTCAGAGCAATTAGGCAAGAAGGAGAAATAAAGGGCACCTAAATAGGAAAAAAAGAATTGAAATTGTCAGTGTTTCCTGATGAGATGATCTTATATGTAATAAACCCTAAAGACTCCACCAAAAAACAGAACTATCAAACAAATACAGTAAAGTTGCAGGATACAAAATTAACACACATAAATCAGTAGTGTTTCTATATACTAAGAATAAATTATTTCCCCCAAAATAAAAAATTTCATTTCATAATAGCTATAAAAAATAATACTTATAAATACATTTAGCCAAGGAGATGAAAGACCAGTACACTGAAAACTAGAAAATGTTGAAGAAAGAAATAGAACACACAAATAAATGGAAAGATATCCTGTGTTCATGAATTGGAAAAATTAATATTGCTTAAATGTTCATATTATATACAGTAAGATGTGTCTATTTTAAATATAAATAAATCAATAGTTGAGTGGTTGCAAGGCACTGAGGATGAAGAAACAGTGCAGAGATAGGACACAGTGCATTGGTACTGAACTGAAACTATTCCATATGATAGAATAATAGCAGATACATGTAACTATGCCATTGCTCCAGTCCATAGAATTTACAACACCCAAGTGAATGCTAAGGAGAGCTATGTGGTCTCATCATGAGAGTGATGTGTCATTGTAGGTTGAATGATTGCAGCGAACGTACCACTCTATGACAGAAAGTTGTTAGTGAAAGGAACTATGCATCTAAGGGGGCAGAGGATATGGGGGACCTCTGTTTGTCCTGCCCAATTTTAGCATGAATCTAAAGGTTTTCTACGAATTGAGCTCGATTTTTAAAATGGGTATATGAACTTATTTTGTGAGTGTTGATTATACCAGAATTTCCTGTTGTCTGCATGGTACATGCATTGCACGCATGGGCATTAAATTTCTTCTACAAGTAAAAAACAAAACAAAACAAAAGTTCATATTACCCAAATCAATCTACAGATTTAATGCAATTCCCATCGAAATTTCAATAAAATTGAAAATGGAAAAAAACAATAATATGAAACCACAAAAAACTCTGAATAGCCAAGGCAATCATGAGCAAAAAGAACAAAGCTGGTGGTATCATACTACCTGATTTCAAACTACTACAAAGCTATTGTAATTAAAACAGCATGATGCTGGCATAAAAAAAGATACATTGACCAATGGAACAGAATGGAGAGTCCAGAAATGAACCCACACATGTATGGTTTTCAACAAAGGTACCAAGAATATGCAATGGAGAAAGGACAGTCACTTCAATAAATGATGTTGGGAAAACTGGATAGCCACAGGCAACAGAATAAAATTTGATCCTTATCTCATACCAAATACAAATATCTACTCAAAATGGATTAATGAACTAAATGTAAGAGCAGAAACTACAAAACTACTAGACAAAAACAAATTGGAGAAATCACAGAACATTTGCCAAGGTAATAATTTTTTTTATTTGACCCCCAAAGTGCCAATGACATAAACAAAAATAGAGAAATGGGATTACATTAAACTAAAAAGCTTCTGCACCATAAAGGAAACAACTAACAATGGGAAGAGATGACCTATGTGATGGGAGAAAATACTGGCAAGCCATAAATTTGATAAGGGGTTAATATTCAAAACATATAATAAACTCAAACAACTCAATAGCAAGAAAAAAATCCAATTCAAAAATGGACAAGGGACCTAGATGAACATTTCTCAAAAGTAGGCATACAAATTGCCAACAGACATATTTTAAAAAGCTCAACATCACTGATCATAAGGGAAATGCAAATTAAGACCAAAATGAATTATCATCTCACACCTGTCAGAATGGCTATTATCAATAAGATGATAAATAAATGTTGGTGATGATGTGGAGAAAAGTGAATTCTTGTACACTGTTGGTGGGAATGTTAATTAGTACAGCCATTATAGAAAACAGCATGGGGACAGGGCCAAGATGGCAGACTAAAAGTGGCTCACATATGCTGGTTCTCATGGAGAGGAACAAAAGGGCTAGTGAACACTCACCCTGCAGGCTGATCATCTAAGAAACTATGTCAGGATCCATCAAGGCAGCAGGGGAACACAGAGAGCAGAGAGGAGCAAAGCTGGGCACCAGCCTGCCTGGGCTCCGCATGGAGTCAGGAGAACCTCTCCAACATGGGAAAGGATAAGTCAGTGAGAACCCCCAGAAGGATTCACACTCTCTACAGGGACCTGTGCAAGATTGGAAATGGTAGAATCTTGCCGGCCCCTCTGCACTCCCCAATCATGCTTCTAGACTGAGACAGATAGCCACTTGGACATTTTGTGGGGGACAACTCTCAAGTCCAAGGGGACCTCTATAAGCTTTGAGCTCTGGAGCAGATCAGCCCTGGTGCCATAGCCCCAGTAGAGGCCACAGCTGTACTGCCTAGGAGCAGAGAGATTGCTCCACTCTCCCTTGCCAGATGGGGCTGGGCACCAGCTTCCAGCCCAGCAGTCCCACTTTCGTGTGAACTCAACTGGAGGGCAGAGCCTCCTGATGTCCTGGGAAATGCCTGGATGTCAGAGCATGAGGCCGCATTCAAGCCCACCACCAATAACCAGGAAGGCAGTGCTTGCTAGAGCTTCTGGCCCAGTGCTCCTGCTTCTGTGCGAACTCAGCTAGAGGGTGCAGCTTCCTATTGTCTCAGGAAACACCTAGATGATGGAGCACATGACTCCACCCAATCCTGCCACTGGTAGCCAGGTGGGCAATGCCTGCCAGAGCTTCAGGCCCTGTCATCCTGCTATTGTGGAAAGTCAGCTGGTGAGTGTAGGCTCCTGTTGTCCCAAGAAGAACCTGGATGGCAGGGAAGGCAACCCCACTCACCCCCACCACTGATAGCCAGGTGGACAGTGCCTGCTAGAGTTTCTGGCCCAGTGGTCCTGCTTCTGTGGGGACTCAGCCGAAGGATGCAGTCTCCTGTTGTCCCTGGCAACACCCAGATGGCAGGATGCATGACCCCACCCACCCCTGCAACCGATAGCTAGGTAGGCAATGCCTTATAGAGCTTCTGGGCCAGCAGCCCCACTTCTGTGTGAACTCAGCTAGAGGACACAGCTTCCTGTTCTTGGGAAACACATGGACAGCAGAGTACATGACCTTGTCCACACCGGCCACTGGTAACGAGGCAGGCAACCCCTGATAGAGCTTCAGGCCCAGTGGTCCTGCTTCTGTGGAAACTCAGCTGAGGGGTACAACCTCCTGTTGTCCCAGAAAGCATCCATATGTCAGGACAGGAGTCCCCACCCACCCCTGCCACTGGTAGCCAGGCTAGCCATGTCTGCTAGAGCTTCTGGTTCAGTGGTTGTAGTTCTGCCTGAATTTGCCAAGGGGCACAGCCTCTTGTTGCCCTGGAAACACCCAGACAGCAGGGTGGGCAACTCATCCACCCCACTTCCTGTAGCCTGACAGCCTACACCAGCTAGAGCTTCCAACCAAGCAGTCCTGCTTTTGCCTGAGCTCTGCAGACAAGCACAACCCCATGTTTTCTCAGGAAGCACACAGACAGCAGATTAGGACTGACCTGGTAAGGATACATCTTGTCTGCCAATTGTGGCCCCTGCCTGAGAGAGCCCTGTGGACCAGAACGCCAAACAAAAGAAATGCAGGCACAGAGACAATAATCAGAGAGGGTTCCTCTTAGACTCGGGCATAGACTAGAATTGAAGCCAGTCAACTGAATCCACCTTATACCATAAGCAAACCCCCAAGGGGCATCAAAGAAGAAAAAAGAGGAAAAACAACCATCCAAAGGACAGCAACTTCAAAGATTGAAGAAACATCAGCCCACACAAATGAGAATCAATCAGCACAAGAACTCTGGCAACTTAAAAAGCCAGAGTGCCTTCTTTCCTCCAAACAACCACACTGGTTCCCCAGCATGGGTTCTTAAATGGGCTAAAATGACAGAAATAGAATTTAGAATATGGGTAGGAATGAAGGTCATCAAGATTCAGGAGAATGTTGAAACCCAATCCAAGGAAACTAAGAATCACAATAAATTAATACAGGAGTCAGTATATGAAATAGCTGTTATAAAAAAGAACCAAGCTGATATGATAGAGCTGAAAAACACACTATAAGAACTGCATAATGAAATCACAAGTATTAACAGCAGAATAGACCCAGCTGAGGTAAGAATCTCAGAGCTAGAAGACTGGCTCTCTGAAATAACTCAGAAAAAAATTAAGGAAAAAGAATAAAAAAGAATGAACAAAATTTCTTAAAAATATAGAATTATGTAAAGACGCCAAATCTACAAATCATTGACATCCCTGAAAGCGAGGGAGAAAGCAAACAACTAGGAAAACATATTTCAGGATATCACCCATGAAAACTTCCCCAACATCACTACAGAGGCCAACATTCAAATCCGGGAAATACAAATAACCCCTGCAGGGTACAAAAGAAGACCATCCTCAAGACACATAATCATAAGAATTTCCAAGATCAAAATGAGAGAAAAAAATGTTAAAGGCAGCTAGAAAGAAGGGGAAGTTCACCTAAAATGGGAAACCCATCAGGCTAATAGTGGATGTTTCAGCAGAAACCTTACAAGCTGGAAGGGATTAAGGAGGGAACTACATTCAGCATTCTTAAAAAAAACTATTCCAACTATGAATTTTATATCCAGCCAAACTAAGCTTCATAAGTGAAGGAGAAACAAGATCCTTTTCAGAAAAGCTAATGCTAAGGGAATTTGTTACCACTAGACCTGCCTTATAAGAGGTCCTCAAAGAAGCTCTAAATATGGAAAGAAAAGACAATTACCAACCACTACAAAAACATACTTAAGTACACAAACCAATGACACTATGAAGCAACCACACAAACAAGTCTGTATGATAACCAGCCAATAATACAATGACACAATCAGACCCACATGTATCAATACTTAATTTTAAATGTAAATGAGCTAAGTGCCCAACTTAAAAGGCACAGAGTGGCAAGCTGAATAAAGAAGAAAGATTTAATGGTATACTGTGTTATAGACCCATCTCACATGCAATGACACCCATAGACTCAAAATAAACAATGGAGAAAAATTTACCAAGCAAATGGAAAACAGAAAAAAAAAACAGGGGTTGCAATCCTAATTTCACACAAAACAGACTTTAAACCAACAAAAATCAGAAAAGATAAAGAAGGGCATTATATAATGATAAAGGGTTAAATTCAACAAGAAGACCTAACTATCCTAAATATATATGCACCCACCACAGGAGCACCCAGATTTGTAAAGCAAATACTTAGAGACCTACAAAGAGATTTAGATTCCCATGCAATAATAGTGGAAGACTTCAACACCCCACTGACAGTATTAGACAGATTATTGAGGCAGAAAATTAACAAACATATTTAGGACCTGAACTCAATAAGTGAGCAAATAGGCTTAATAGACATCTACAGAACTGTACAGTACAGTAAATTACAATACAGTAAATTAAAAAAATTGAAATCATACCAACCACACTTTTGGACCACATTGCAATAAACATAGAAATCAATACTAAGAAAATCACTCAAAACTGTGAACCCAGAAAATCTGAGATAGGTCTCAGTTAATTTAGAAAAGTTATTTTGCCAAAGTTGAGAATGCACCTGTGACACAGGCTTAGGAAGTCCTGATGATAAGTGCCCAAGGTGGTTGGGGCACAGTTTGGTTTTATATATTTTAGGGAGACATGAGATATCAATCAATATATATAAGAAGTACATTGGTTTGATTTGGAAAGGTGAGAAAACTTGAAGCAAAGGCAGGAAGACTCAAAGTGGGAGGGAGCTTCTAGGTCACAGAGGTGAGACGCAATGGTTACATTCTTTTGAGTTCCTGATTAGCCTTTCCAAAGGAGGCAATCAGGTATGCATCTATCTCAGTGAGCAGAGGGATAACTTTGAATAGAACAGGAGGCAGGTTTGCCTTAAGCAGTTTCCAGCTTGACTTTTCCTCAGTGATTTTGGGGGTTCAAGATATTTTCCTTTCACATTTCCTCCCCTTTCTTTTTAAATATATTTTGGACAAAGCATTTTACTAGAAAATGAGTCTCTGGTCTCAGGTTTCATCTGATCTCTCATGACTAGGACCGTTTATTCCTAGATGGGTATGCCCCAAAAGCTCATTTTTAGCGGGTTGTGAAGTCTCATGTTGTATGAAGAGAAAATAGGGTGGAGGAAGAGAGAGAAAAAAACAACAAAGAAAACAACAATCCTGGAAAAATTGATATAGGCTACATTACTCTGAAGTCCATACATTAGTAGGCAGGTAGGAAAGTGGTTTATGTATGTAAATAGGTTGCCATTAGTTTCTTCTGAAGTTTAAGTTTTCTGGCTTCAGTTCACAGGGTTTTAAGAAAGCACAACTTAGTTTTCAGTGACTCCAAATTAGAAAAAAATGGAAATAGAAAGGGAAAAAAATTAAAAACATTATTTTGAAGACTTATAGCCAAGAAAAATTAGAATTCAGTCCAAACTGTAGACAATAATATAAATTTAAAAAAAAATAGGCAAAGCTGGAATCTAAGAACAGGTATATTATCATTTAGAAACATAATTTTTTTCTCTCTTTCCAGTTTCCAATTTTACTAAAGACAAATCATGGTAGGACTGGTTTGCTCATCATACTTCGCTTAATTATTTGTATACAGTATAGCAAGAATAATTATCTTTTACATAGGCTTTTAAATTGGCTTTGATGAAACTTTGTTCTATAGCAGGAATCTCAGATAAGACTTTTTAAAGCTTAGTCCAGCCATGGATTTGTGCCATCGAATACCTGTAAGTTGGGTGAATTTCCTCTCCTCTTCAGGTTCCAAGATAAACCTGGGGCTTCTGTGCCTGTCAGAAAAAGACATTCTGTACTTACCACAGGTCAGAAACCCTGTATAGGGACTGACCTGTAGTAAGTACAGGGACCCTGTACGCAAAATATGTAGGCCAGTTTTTCCAAGGGCTTTATTGGCCCAATAAGTCAAGTTTGAATCTTCAAAGGAAAGCCCACCATTCCAGTCAAAGCCTTGGTAAAATAACCAGTTTCTTCAATTGTACTAAATTGTGAAAAGCTGTCAATAGATCAAAAGAAAAATCTTAAGACTCTGAAAAACAAAACAAAGGATCAGTAAACATTTTAAGCAAAAAGTAAAAAAGATTGGTGCAGTCTATGCAGTTAATTCCTGTTATGCTTGATAGTCATGATTGTTTTAGATCTCCATGAGTCCTGAAAGTTTTTCCCCTATTCTGATGTCACAATCTCCAAAGTTATCAGAAACCTGCATTTAAGAGCACCTGTTGGAGTTTTATAGCTAATTATAAAACCATCTTCTAAAGAGGACCAAAACAAGAGAACAATTGGCCATGGATGAAAAAAAGTTTTAAGGCAGCCATAGTCAAAAGACACAATTGACAAATAAATTTGTTACCTCTGTGGCACACAATAATTTTAACATAACAATTATGATTCTTAATGATAATGTACACTAAGTTATATCAGAATTACAGGAGTTTCCCATAGCTTTGGAACATATACCAATAATGTATTTATACAAATACAGCCCAAAGAAAACTAAACACCATTTATATTTGACAATGCTTCCTGTACAATTTTTATGTCAAATGAGCCAAATTATGCCAATGTTGGACTTTAAGGAACTTAATGTTTTAAAGATGAAGTAGGTTAGAAAAAGATATAATTTATAATTTGATCTGGAAAAGTTTGTCAAATATAAAATGTTTAAAACACTTGATACTACAAAATAGGATTACAGGTCATTGTAAAGTCATTTATTTAACCAAAGTGATAATTCAAGGATTTAAAAAAAGCAGAAAACCCTCATTCTTTCAGAGAGGAGACTTAATTTTCTAAACAAGAAGCCCTAATAAAAAACAGTATGAAGCCAATTATATTGGTTTTACAAAATTTTGTAAAGAATCTAAAACTTAATCTTGATTATAAAATATAACTTCCATAAGCCCTTTATAATCTTTATAACCTTTATTAAGGAGTTGGTTAATGCTTCAAGAAAACCTTGTTAATCTGACACAGGGGTCCATGTACTGGTTTTGCATCAGTGTGCTTTTGACACTAACGATTAATTTATAGAGAAACTGGAGTTAATTTATTTTTCAAAATCAGCCCTTACAGTCTTACGTGCCAACCTCTCCCCTGATAGTCCCTGGGCATTGAAGAGTTGAATAGATTTAATTTCTTGCCCTTTGTCTCAGGAATGCAGTTTATTTATTTATTTTTATTATACTTTAAGTTTTAGGGTACATGTCCACGACGTGCAGGTTTATTACATATGTATACATGTGCCATGTTGGTGTGCTGCACCCATTAACTCATCATTTACATTAGGTGTATCTCCTAATGCTATCCCTCCCCCTTCCCCCCACCCCACAACAGGCACCAGTGTGTGATGTTCCCCTTCCCGTGTCCATGTGCTCTCATTGTTCAGTTCCCAACTATGAGTGAGAACATGCAGTGTTTGTTTTTTTGTCCTTGCAATAGTTTGCTGAGAATGATGGTTTCCATCTTCATCCATGTCCCTACAAAGGACATGAACTCATCATTTTTATGGCTGCCTAGTATTCCATGGTGTATATGTGCCACATTTTCTTAATCCAGTATATCATTATTGGATATTTCGGTTGGTTTCAAGTCTTTGCTATTGTGAATAGTGCCGCAATAAACATATGTGTGCATGTGTCTTTATAGCAGTATGTTTTATAATGCTTTGGGTATATACCCAGTAATGGGATGGCTGGGTCAAATGGTATTTCTAGTTCTAGATCCCTGAGGAATCGCCACACTGACTTCCACAATGGTTGAACTAGTTTACATTCCCACCAACAGTGTAAAAGTGTTCCTATTTCTCCACATCCTCTCCAGCACCTGTTGTTTCCTGACTTTATAATGATCACCATTCTAACTGGTATGAGATGGTATCTCATTGCAGTTTTGATTTGCATTTCTCTGATGGCCAGTGATGATGAGCATTTTTTCATGTGTCTGTTAGCTGCATAAATGTCTTCTTTTGAGAAGTGTCTGTTCATATCCTTTGCCCACTTGTTGATGGGGTTGTTGGTTTTTTTCTTGTAAATTTGTTAGAGTTCATTGTGGATTCTGGATATTAGCCCTTTGTCAGATGAGTAGATTGCAAAAATTTTCTCCCATTCTGTAGGTTGCCTGTTCACTCTGATGGTAGTTTCTTTTGCTGTGCAGAAGCTCTTTAGTTTAATTAGATCCCATTTGTCAATTTTGGCTTTTGTTGCCATTGCTTTTGTTGTTTTAGACATGAAGTCCTTGCCCATGCCTATGTCCTGAATGGTATTGCCTAGGTTTTCTTCCAGGGTTTTTATGGTTTTAGGTCTAATATTTAAGTCTTTAATCCATCTTGAATTAATTTTTGTATAGGGTGTAAGGAATGGATCCAGTTTCAGCTTTCTACATATGGCTAGCCCATGTTCCCAGCACCATTTATTAAATAGGGAATCCTTACCTCATTTCTTGTTTTTGTCAGGTTTGTCAAAGATCAGATAGTTGTAGATATGTGGCATTATTTCTCAGGGCTCTGTTCTGTTCCATTGGTTTATATCTCTGTTTTGGTTATCAGTACCATGCTGTTTTGGTTACTGTAGCCTTGTAGTATAGTTTGAAGTCAGGTAGCGTGATGCCTCCAGCTTTGTTCTTTTGGCTTAGGATTGACTTGGCAATGTGGGCTCTTTTTTACTTCCATATGAACTTTAAAGTAGCTTTTTCCAATTGTGTGAAGAAAGTCATTGGTAGCTTGATGGGGATGGCATTGAATCTATAAATTACCTTGGGCAGTATGGACATTTTTACAATATTGATTCTTCCTACCCATGAGCATGGAATGTTCTTCCATTTGTTGTCTCCTCTTTTATTTCATTGAGCAGTGGTTTGTAGTTCTCCTTGAAGAGGTCCTTCACATCCCTTGTAAGTTGGATTCCTAGGTATTTTATTCTCTTTGAAGCAACTGTGAATGGGAGTTCACTCATGATTTGGCTGTCTGTTTGTCTGTTATTGGTGTATAGGAATGCTTGTGATTTTTGCACATTGATTTTGTATCCTGAGACTTTGCTGAAGTTGCCTATCAGATTAAGGAGATTTTGGACTGAGACAATGGGGTTTTCTAGATATACAATCATGTCATCTGCAAACAGGGACAATTTGACTTCCTCTTTTCCTAATTGAATACCCTTTATTTCCTTCTCCTGCCTGATTGCCCTGGCCAGAACTTCCAGGCCAGGAATATGAATAGGAGTGGTGAGAGAGGTCATCCCTGTCTTGTGCCCGTTTTCAAAGGGAACGCTTCCAGTTTTTGCCCATTCAGTATGATATTGGCTGTGGGTTTGCCATAGATAGCTCTTATTATTTTGAGATACATCCCATTGATACCTAATTTATTGAGAGTTTTTAGCGTGAAGGGTGGTTGAATTTTGTCAAAGGCCTTTTCTGCATCTGTTGAGATAATCATGTGGTTTTTGTCGTTGGTTCTTTTTATATGCTGGATTACGTTTATTGATTTGCATATGTTGAACCAGGCTTGCATCCCAGAGATAAAGCCCATTTGATCATGGTGGATAAGCTTTTTGATGTGCTGCTGGATTTGGTTTGCCAGTATTTTATTGAGGATTTTTGCATCAATGTTCATAAGGGATATTGGTCTAAAATTCTCTTTTTTTGTTGTGTCTCTGCCAGGCTTTGGTATCAGGATGATGCTGGTCTCATAAAATGAATTAGGGAGGATTCCCTCTTTTTCTATTGATTGGAATAGTTTCAGAAGGAATGGTACCAGCTCCTCCTTGTACCTCTGGTAGAATTCAGCTGTGAATCCACCTGGTCCTGGACTTTTTTTGGTTGGTAAGCCATTAATTATTGCCTTAATTTCAGAGCCTGTTGTTGGTCTATTCAAAGATTCAACTTCTTCCTGATTTAGTCTAGGGAGGGTGTATGTGTCAAAGAATTTATCCATTTCTTCTAGATTTTCTAGTTTATTTGCATAGAGGTGTTTATAGTATTCTCTGATGGTAGTTTGTATTTCTGTGGGATTGGTGGTGATATCCCCTTTATCATTTTTTATTGTATCTATTTGATTCTTCTCTCTTTTTTTCTTTATTAGTCTTGCTAGCAGTCTATCAATTTTGTTGATCTTTTCAAAAACCAGCTCCTAGATTCATTGATTTTTTGAAGGGTTTTTTGTGTCTCTATTTCCTTCAGTTCTGCTCTGATCTTAGTTATTTCTTGCCTTCTGCTAGCTTTTGAATGTGTTTGCTCTTGCTTCTCTGGTTCTTTTAATTGTGATGTTAGGGTGTCAGTTTTATCTTTACATCACCATCATCAAAGACCGAAGGTAGATAAAACCACATAGATGGGGAAAAAACAGAGTAGAAAAACTGGAAACTCTAAAAATCAGAGTGCCTCTCCTCCTCCAAAGGAACACAGCTCCTCACCAGCAATGGAACAAAGCTGAATGGAGAATGACTTTGACGAGTTGAGAGAAGAGGGCTTCAGATGATCAAACTACTCCAAGCTAAAGGAGGAAGTTTGAACCCATGGCAAAGAAATTAAAAACCTTGAAAAATATTAGATGAATGGCTAACTAGAATAGCCAATGCAGAAAAGTCCTTAAAGGTCCTCACGGAGCTGAAAACCATGGCATGGGAACTATGCAACGAATGCACAAGCTTTAGTAGCTGATTCAATCAACTGGAAGAAAGGGTATCAGTGTTGGAAGATCAAATGAATGAAATGAAGTGAGAAGGGAAGTTTAGAGAAAAAAGAATAAAAAGAAACAAACAAAGCCTCCAAGAAATATGGGACTATGTGAAAAGATCAAATCTACGTCTGATTGGTGTACCTGAAAGTGACTGGGAGAATGGAACCAAGTTGGAAAGCACTCTGCAGGATATTATCCAGGAGAACTTCCCCAATCTAGCAAGGCAGGCCAACATTTAAATTCAGGAAATACAGAGAACACCACAAAGATACTCCTCGAGAGGAGCAACTCCAAGACACGTAATTGTCAGATTCACCAAAGTTGAAATGAAGGAAAAAATGTTAAGGGCAGCCAGAGAGAAATGTCAGGTTACCCACAAAGGGAAGCCCATCAGACTAACAGCTCAGCTGATCTCTCAGCAGAAACTCTACAAGCCAGAAGAGAGTGGGGACCAATATTCAACATTCTTAAAGAAAAAAATTTTCAACCCAGAATTTCATATCCAGCCAAAGTAAGCTTCATAAGTGAAGGAGAAATAAAATACTTTACAGACAAGCAAATGCTGAGAGATTTTATCCCCACCAGGCCTGCCCTAAAAGAGCTCCTGAAGGAAGCACTAAACATGGAAAGGAACAACCAGTGCCAGCCACTGCAAAAACATGCCAAATTGTAAAGTCCATCGAGGTTAGGAAGAAACTGCATCAACTAACGAGCAAAATAACCAGCTAACATCATAACGACTGGATCAAATTCACACATAACAATATTAACCTTAAATGTAAATGGGCTAAATGCCTGAATTAAAAGGCACAGACTGGCAAATTGGATAAAGAGTCAAGACCCATCAGTGTGCTGTATTCAGGAAACCCATTTTACCTGCAGAGACACACATAGGCTCAAAATAAAGGGATGAGGAAGATCTACCAAGCAAATGGAAAACAAAAAAAGGCAGGGGTTACAATCCTAGTCTCTGATAAAACAAACTTTAAAACAACAAAGATCAAAAGAGACAAAGAAGGCCATTACATAATGGTAAAGGGATCAATTCCACAAGAAGAGCTAACTATCCTAAATATATATGCACCCAATACAGGAGCACCCAGATTCATAAAGCAAGTCCTTAGAGACCTACAAAGAGACTTAGACTCCCACACAATAATAATGGGAGACCTTCACACCCCACTGTCAACATTAGACAGATCAATGAGACAGAAAGTTAACAAGGATACCCAGGAATTGAACTCAGCTCTGCACCAAGTGGACCTAATAGATATCTACAGAACTCTCCACCCTAAATCAACAGAATATACATTCTTCTCAGCACCACACCACACCTATTCCAAAATCGACCACATAGTTGGAAGTAAAGCACTCCTCAGCAAATGTAAAAGACCAGAAATTATAACAAACTGTCTCTCAGACCACAGTGCAATCAAACTGGAACTCAGGATTAAGAAACTCACTCAAAACCGCTCAACTACATGGAAACTGAACAACCTGCTCCTGAATGACTACTGGGTACATAACGAAATGAAGGCAGAAATAAAGATGTTCTTTGAAACCAATGAGAACAAAGACACAACATACCAGAATCTCTGGGACACATTTAATGCAGTGTGTAGAGGGAAATTTATAGCACTAAATGCCCGCAAGAGAAAGCAGGAATGCAGTTTATTTTGATTGGCATCTTCTATGGGGCCTGAAGATGAGAGCTTAATTGCTGTCAGTGTTTAAGATTTAGCAGTACTGAGTGTCCTTTTTAGACCCAGGAGTTAAAGCCCTCTAACTCGATGTTGCAAGGACTTTAAAAACACATGCAGGAAGATACATGGATAAAATGAACTTAAATTAAAAAATTTATCTCAGTTTTTTTCTAAGCAAACCAAAATGTAATAATAATATGACAACTTGATTATATAAAAGTTTTTGATTTTTTAAAAATATGAAATCCTTTTATTGTGACTTACACTGACCATTCTTGACATGCTTTGATTTTCTGGTTTTTCCTGAACATCCTCCTTTTTAAACAACCAGTTATTTTATTTTGGGACTAAATTTATCATATAACATTTATTCTTATATAAAATTATTCTCTTTAAGCTTTTTTACCTGAAAATCCCCCTTTATTTTTATAACTTTCTTTACAACTTTTTAAATTTCCTGGTATCTTTTACCTTGTTTTATACATAACTTTTAAATAAGTTTAGAATTAGACAAAACTTGTTCACTTTTTTATTTTTAAAAAAGGATACACCTTTTTATTTTTATTTATTTATTTATTTATTTATTTATTTTGAGATGGAGTCTCACTCTGCTGCCCAGGCTGGAGTGCAGTGGCATGATCTCGGCTCACTGCAAGATCTGTCTCCTGGGTTCGTGCCATTCTCCTGCCTCAGCCTCCCGGGTAGCTGGGACTACAGGTTCCCACTACCATGCCTGGCTAATTTTTTGTATTTTTAGTAGAGATAGGGTTTCACTGTGTTAGCCAGGATGGTCTCCATCTCCTGACCTCGTGATCCACCCAAGTCAGCCCCCCCAAAGTGCTGGGATTACAGGCATGAGCCACCGCGGTGGCCCCACACCTTTTTATTTTTAAAAAAGGGCACACCTTTTTATTTTTAATACAGGAATGTTTTCCTACAATATGTGTTTATTAGAAAATGCTCAGATAATGAAATATATATTATTTTATTTAATATAACTTTATATTCTAAATTATGACCAGTTTGTCTACAAGTATTTGTCCCATCATATTTACCTAATTATTTTATTTTAATTGTTTACCTAAATTATTTATGAAAATGGTGATAGTCATAATTTAAAATTATGAAGCCACCATTGCAAAATTATAACTGTGACAGTGAAAAAAAGTTGATTTAACTGACTCCATCTTGCTCTTAACCTCCAAGGTGTCCTTGTTTATTCCTGGGCATAGGCTGAACTAATTTTGGGAGGAACTTAGTTTATAATTTAGCTTTGAAACAAAGATAATAACAGTACTTTCCCAAAACAAACCTTCTTATTGTCTGTGGACTAGACTGCCTAAAGCCACAGGATTAGAAGTTATGGTAATTTTACTAAATTCAAGATGCAGCTATTTTCATTAAACCCATATTAATCTCTTATTTATTAAAAATAACACAAGTGAAGATCATTCTGTTTTGGGCTAGGTTTATAGTTTTGTAACCCCTATGCCAAATTTTGACACTTGCATGAATAAGTATGAAATTGCTTGATTGAGAAACGCAAACAAAGGCCGGGCTCGGTGGCTCACGCCTGTAATCCCAGCACGTTGGGAGGCCGAGGTGGGCGGATCATGAGGTCAGGAGATCAAGACCAGCCTGGCCAACATGGTGAAACCCTACCTCTACTAAAAATACAAAAATTAGCTGGGTGTGTGGTGCTTGCCTGTAATCCCAGCTACTCAGGAGGCTGAGGCAGGAGAATCGCTTGAATCCAGGGGACAGAGGTTGCAGTGAGCTGAGATGATGCCACTGCACTCCAGCCTGGGTGACTGAGTGAGACTCAGTCTCAAAAAAAAAAAAAAAGAAATGCAAGCAAAAATGTGTGCTGGCAATTCTTAAGATATTTTATAATATTACGTCACCAATAATTTTAAAGCTAGCTTATGTATTAAGATTTTACTTAAGTTACATAAACTTGAAAAAGTATTTGATTAGTCATTTCCTTTTTAGTATCTTATTTAAGTGCTTTTATTTTTCTTTAAGCCAATTAATTAGAGCTCTTTTATATATTTTTAGTAGTGAGGCATTGTGTACACAACAGTTAAATATATATAAGGAGGTATTAGTAATGCCAATAAAAGTACAATTTATAGATTTATAAAGATGTCCCCTCAATTCTTTTTTCCCTTAGACTCAGATTCTTGATTGATAACCTGTAACCTGTTTTATAACCCTAGGCAGTTGTCAGCTAAACAGCCTTAAATTTGCACATTAAAGGAAACAATTCAGGTGAAAATCAAATAGCAAAATTTACATCATAAGGTACAGAGGAAAAAAAGTCTGGTGGTGCTAGAGGGAAATGCTTTTATTTTTCTTTGAGCCAAATTAAACATAAAATTAAACTACACTCTTCCTTAAAAACCCAAGAGTAGCCTCTGTTGCAATAGCTATTTCAGTAAAAAAATCAGGTGAAAACAGAATTCAGTCAACTGAGAAGAAAAAGAAAAAAAAAAACTTTTGCTCAAGAAAGACAAGATCTTAGGAGAGAAAAACAAACAACAAGAAGAAGAATAAAAACATGAAGAAGGCCTTTCAAATACAAACATGCACACATGCATACGTACACACACATCTTGGATGTTAGCCTTTTAGTTAAGCTAACTTTTAACCATTGAGCTTCTTAAAAGATTTTTTTTAAATCTTATTACCATATTTCAGCTAGGACAAAATGCCATTTTAGACGTATAGCCATTGTTTTTTCAGTTTGATCTGGCTGGCAAAAAGGTGGCCTTGTTATGTAAATAAAGCCCCTTTTGTAGTTAAAATTAAAAATCCTTTATTTTTTCCCCGTTTGCTGGTCAATTTCTTCCCACTTCAAAGGCCTTGTTCCCGCATAATTTCGGGTTCCCCTTCAGATAGTTTTCTTTCACAGAGCCATACAATTACATGGAAATTTAAAAACCTGCTCCAGAATGACTTTTGGGTAAACAATGAAATTAAGGCAGAAATCAAGAAATCCTTTGAATCTGATGAGACCAAAGATACAACATACCAGAATCTCTGGGACACAGCTAAGGGAGTGTTAAGAAGGAAGTTTATAGCACTAAACACCCTTGTCAAAAAGTTAGAAAGATCTCAAATTAACAAACTAACATCACAAATAGAAGAATTAGGGAAGCAAGAGCAAACCAACCCCAAAGCTAGCAGAAGAAAAGAAATAGCTAAAATCAGAACTGAATAGAAGGAAGTTGAGGCAAAAAAAATATGCAAAAGATCAATGAATTCAGGAGTTTGTTCTTTGAAAAAATAATAAGACAGATAGATGGCTAGCTAGACTAACAAATAAAAAAGAGAGAAGATCCAAATAAAAACAATTAGAAATGACAAAGGGGACGTTACCACTTATCCCACAGAAATACAAAAAATCCATCAGAGACTACTATGAATACTTCTATGGACAAAAAATAGAAAATTTGGAAGAAATGGATAAATTTCTGGACAAAAACAGCCTCCCAAGATGGAACCAGGAAGAAATAACATCCTTGAACAGAGCAATAACAAGTTCTGAAATTGAATCAGTAATGAAAAGCATACAAAAAAAAAAAAAAAAAGAGCCCAGGACCAGAAAGATTCACAGCCAAATTCTACCAGATGTATAAAGAAGAGCTGATGCCATTCCTACTGAAATGTGATTTATTACATAAACAAAATTAAAGACTGAAACCACATGATTATCTCAAAGATACAGAAAAGGCTTTCAATAAAATTCAACATCCCTTCAGGTTTCAAACCCTCAATAAACTAGGCTTTGAAAGAACATAGTTTAAAATAATAAAACTATCTATGACAAACCCATAGCCACATCATTCCAAATGGGCAAAAGCTAGAAACATTCCCCTTGAAAACTGGCACAAGACATAGTATTGAATAAAAGTATTCCAAATGAAGACAGAAAATCAAGCTATCCCTGTTTGCAGATGACATGATTCTATATCTAGAAAACTCCATGATCTCTGCCCAAAAGCTTCTAAGTCTAATAAAAAATTTCAGCAGTTTCAGGATAAAACATCGAGATATGAAAATCGGTAGCATTTCCATACACAAACAACATCCAAGCCAAGAGCCAAATCAGGAAGCCAACCCCATTCACAATTGCCACAGAAAAAATAAAATAGCTAGAAATACAGCTAACCAGGGAGGTGAAAGATCTGTACAATCAGAATTGTAAAACACTGCTCAAAGAAATCAGAGATGACACAAACAAATGGATAAACAGTCTATGATCATGAATAGGAAGAATAAATATTATTAAAATGACCATACTGCCCAAAGTAATTTACAGACTCAATGCTATTCCTATCAAATAGCAATAACATTCCTCACAGAATTAGAAAAAACTATTTTAAAATCCATGTGGGACCAAAAAAGAGCCCAAATAGTCAAGGCAATCCTAAGCAAAAAGAACAGAGCTGTAGGCATCATGTTACCTGACTTCAAGCTATACTGTAGGGCTACAGTAACCAAAACAGCATGGTACTGGTACATTAGACACATAAACCAACAGAATAGAATACAGAGCCTGGAAATAATGCCTGACTCTAACAACCATCTGATTTTCAATGAATTTGACAAAACAACCAATGGAAAAAGGATGCCTTATTCAATAAATGGTGCTGGAATAATTGGTTAGCCATATGAAGAAGATTGAATCTAGACCCCTAACTTACATTGCGTTCAAAAATCAACTCAAGATGGATTAAAGACTTTAATGTAAAACATAAAACTATAAAAGTCTGGAATTTAACCTAGGAAATATCATTCTGGACATAGGACTTTGTAAATATTTCATGACAAAGATGCTAAAAGGAATTGCGACATAACCAAAAATTGACAAGTGGGATCTAAGTAAACTAAAGACTTTCTGCACTGCAAGCAAGGGAAACTATCAGCAGAACAGACAACCTACAGAATAGGAGAAAATATATGCAAACTATGCATCTGAGAAAGCTCTAATATCCAGAATCTATAAGGAACTTAAACACATTTACAAGAAAAAAAACAACGCCCTTAAAAAGTGGGCAAAGGACATGAATTGACACTTAGAAAGAAGACATACATGCAGCCAACAAGCATAGTAAAAAATATCAGCATCACTAATCATTAAAGAAATGCAAGTGAAAACCACAATGAGACACCATCTCACACCAGTCAGAATGGCTAATACTAAAATGTCAAAAAATAACAGATGCTGGCATGGTTGTGGAGAGAAGGGAATGCTTATACATTGTTGGTGAATGTAAATTAGGTAAGCCATTGTGGAAAGCAGTGTGGCAATTCCTCAAAAAGCATAAAGCAGAACTACTATTCAACCCAGCAATCCCATTATTGGGTATATAACCAAAGGAATATAATTGTTCTACCATAAAGGCACATGCATGCTTATGTTCATTGTACCACTAATCACAATGGCAAAGACATGGAATCAACTTAAATGCCCATCAATGGTAGACTGGATAAAGAAAATGTTGTACGTGTACACCATGGAATTCTATGCAGCCATAAAAAAGAGCGTGATTATGTTTTTTGCTGCAACATGGATGGAGCCAGAGGCCATTATCCTAAGCAAGTTAACAGACAAACAGAAACCTAAACACCATCTATTCTCACTTATAAATGGGAGATAAACCAGGAGAATACATGGAGACTAGAAGAACAACAGACACTGGGGCCTTGTAGGTACAATACTTATTACCCAGGTGATGAAATTTTATGTTTACCAAATTCCTGTGACACACCATTTACCTATATAACAAACATGCACACGTATCCCTGAACCTAGAAGAAAAGTTTAAAAAAGAAATGTGATACATATATAAATGACTGGATACTTTGCTAATAATTAAATCTAAATTGTGGTGAGTAATAAAAATATAGTATGGAAGTTATATGGTTTGTAGTTTGTTCACTCCAAATCTCATGTTGAAATGTGATTCTCAATGTTGGAGGTGAGATCTAGTGGGGATGATTGGATCATGGGGATGGATCCCTCATGAATGGCTTAGCAGCACCCCTTGGTGATAATCGAGTTCTCGCTTTGAGTTCATATGAGATCTGGTTGTTTAAACATTGTGTCGTGGGAGGGACCTGGTGGGAGGTAATTGAATCATGGGGATGGGGTTTTCCCATGCTGTTCTCATGACAGTGAATAAGTCTCACAAGATCTGACGGTTTTATAAAGGGCATTTCCCCTGCACATGCTCTTTTTGCCTGCCACCATGTAAAACAGGCCTTTGCTCCTCCTTTGCCTTCTGCCATGATCGTGAGGCCTCCCCAGCCATGTGGAACTGTGAGTTTATTAAATTCTTTTTCTTTATAAATTACCCAGTCTCATGTATGTCTTGATTAGCAGTATGAGAATGGACCAATACAGTAAGTTGATACCGGGTAGCAGGTGCTGCCGGGGATTATGGGAGCTACAATTCAAAATGAGATTTGGGGCATGGTGGCTCACACCTGTAATCCTAGCACTAAGGGAGACTGAGATGGACCAATGACTTGAGGTCAGGAGTTTGAGACCAGCCTGAAAAACATGATGAAACCCCGTCTCTGCTAAAAATACAAAAATTAGCCAGGGATGGTGGTGGGCACCTGTAATCCCAGCTCCTAGGGAGGCTGAGGCTGGAGAATCACTTGAACTCAGGAGGCAGAGGTTGCAGTAAGCTGAGATTATCCCGCTGCACTCCAGCCTGGGCAACAGAGCAAGACTCTGTCTCAAAAAAAAAAAAAAAAAAAAAAAAAGAAAAGAAAAGAAAAGAAATATGAGATTTGGGTGAGGACACAGCCAAACCATATCATTCTGCCCTGGGCCCTTCTCAAATCTTATGTCCTCACGTTTCAAAACCAATCATGCCTCCCAACAGTCTCCCAAAGTCTTAACTCATTTCAACATTAACTCAAAAGTCCACAGTCAAAAGTCTCATCTGAGACAAGGCAAGTCCCTTCCACCTATGAGCCTGTAAAATCAAAAGCAAGTTAGTTACTTCCTAGACACAATGGAAGTACAGGCATCAGGTAAATACACCCATTCCAATTGGGAGAAATTGGCCAAAACAAAGGGGCTACAGGCCCCATACAAGTCCAAAATCCAGCAGGGCAGTCAAATATTATTATTATTATTATTATTATTATTATTATTATTATTGTTAATATTATACTTTAAGTTCTAGGGTACATGTGCACAACGTGCAGGTTTGTTACATATGTATACATGTGCCATGTTGGTGTGCTGCACCTATTAACTCATCATTTACATTAGGTATTTCTCCTAATGCTATCCCTCCCCCCTACCCCCACCCCATGACAGGCCCCAGTGTGTGATGTTCCCCACCCTGTGTCCAAGTGTTCTTATTGTTCAATTCCCACCTATGAGTGAGAACATGCGGTGTTTGGTTTTCTGTCCTTGTGATACTTTGCTCAGAATGATAGTTTCTAACTTCATCCATGTCCCTACAAAGGACATGAACTCATCCTTTTGTATGGCTGCATAGTATTCCATGGTGTATATGTGCCACCTTTTCTTAATCCAGTCTATCATTGATGGACATTTGGGTTGGTTCCAGGTATTTGCTATTGCGAATAGTGCCACAATAAACATATGTGTGCATGTGTCTTTATAGCAGCATGATTTATAATCCTTTGGGTGTATGCCCAGTAATGGGATGGCTGGGTCAAATGGTATTTCTAGTTCTAGATCCTTGAGGAATCACCACACTGTCTTCCACAATGGTTGAACTAGTTTACAGTCCCACCAACAGTGTAAAAGTGTTCCTATTTCTCCACATCCTCTCCAGCACCTGTTGTTTCCTGACTTTTTAATGATCGCCATTCTAATTGGTGTGAGATGGTATCTCATTACAGTTTTGATTTGCATTTCTCTGATGGCCAGTGATGATGAGCATTTTTTCATGTGTCTGTTAGCTGCATAAATGTCTTCTTTTGAGAAGTGTCTGTTCATATCCTTTGCCCACTTTTTGATGGGGTTGTTTGTTTTTTTCTTGTAAATTTGTTTAAGTTCTTTGTAGATTCTGGATATTAGCCCTTTGTCAGATGGGTAGATTGTAAAAATTTTCTCCCATTCTGTAGGTTGCCTGTTCACTCTGATGGTAGTTTCTTTTGCTGTGCAGAAGCTCTTTAGTTTAATTAGATCCCATTTGTCAATTTTGGCTTTTGTTGCCATTGCTTTTGTTGTTTTAGACATGAAGTCCTAGCCCATGCCTATGTCCTGAATGGTATTGCCTAGGTTTTCTTCTAGGGTTTTTATGGTTTTAGGTCTGACATTTAAGTCTTTAATCCATCTTGAATTACTTTTTGTATAAGGTGTAAGGAAGGGATCCAGTTTCAGCTTTCTACACATGGATAGCCAGTTTTCTCAGCACCATTTATTAAATAGGGAATCCTTACCCCATTTCTTGTTTTTGTCAGGTTTGTCAAAGATCAGATTGTTGTAGATGTGTGGTATTATTTCTGAGGGCTCTATTCTGTTCCATTGGTCTATAGCTCTGTTTTGGTACCAGTACCATGCTGCTTTGGTTACTGTAGGCTTGTAGTATAGTTTGAAGTCAGGTAGCACAATGCCTCTCACTTTGTTCTTTTAGCTTAGGATTGTCTTGGCAATGCGGGCTCTTTTTTGGTTCCATATGAACTTTAAAGTAGTTTTTTCCAATTTTGTGAAGAAAGTTATTGGTAGCTTGATGGGGATGGCATTGAATCTATAAATTACCTTGGGCAGTATGGCCATTTTCACAATATTGATTCTTCCTATCCATGAGCATGGAATGTTCTTCCATTTGTTTGTGTCCTCTTTTATTTCGTTGAGCAGTGGTTTGTAGTTCTCCTTTATGAGGTCCTTCACATCCGTTGTAAGTTGGATTCCTAGGTGTTTTACTCTCTTTGAAGCAATTGTGAATGGGAGTTCACTCATGATTTGGCTCTGTGTTTGTCTGTTATTGGTGTATAGGAATGCTTGTGATTTTTGCACATTGATTTTGTATCCTGAGACTTTGCTGAAGTTGCTTATCAGCTTAAAGAGATTTGGGGCTGAGATGATGGGGTTTTGTAAATATACAATCTTGTCATCTGCAAACAGGGACAATTTGACTTCCTCTTTTCCTAATTGAATATCCTTTATTTCTTTCTCTTGCCTGATTGCCCTGGCCAGAACTTCCAATACTATGTTGAATAGGAGTGGTGTGAGAGGGCATCCCTGTCTTGAGGACAGTCAGATCCTAAAGCTCCAAAACGATCTCCTTTGACTCCATGTCTCACATCCAGTTCATGCTGATGCAACAGATCGGTTCCTATTGTCTTGGGCAGCTCCACCCCTGTGGCTTTGCCAGGTACAGCCCCCCTCCTGGCTCCTTTCACAGGATGACACTGAGTGTCTGTAGCTTTTCCAGGTGCACATTTTCCAGGTGCACAGTGCAAGCTGTCAGTGGATCTACCATTCTGGGGTCTGAAAGATGGCGGCCCTCTTATTACAGTGCCCCAGTAGGGACTCTGTTTGGGGGCTCCCACCTCACATTTTCCTTCCTCACTGCCTTAGCAGAGGTTATCCATGAGGGCTTTGTCCTTGCAGCACCACTCTGCCTGGACATTCAGGCATTTCTTACATCCTCTGAAATCTAGATGGAGGTTGCCAAACCTCAATTCTTGATTTCTGTGCACCTGCAGGCCCAGTACAATATGTAAGCTGCCAAGGCTTGGGACTTGCACCTTCTGAAACAATGGCCCGAGCTATATGTTGGCCCCTTTTAGCCACAGCTGGGATACAGAGCATCAAGTCCCTAGACTGCACAAAGCAGCAAGGCTCTGGGCCCATGAAACCATTTTTCCTCCTGGGCCTCTGGGCCTGTGATGGGAGGGGCTGCTGTAAAGGTCTCTGACGTGCCCTGAAGACATTTTCCCCTTTGTCTTGGTGATTAACATTGGCTTTCTCATTACTTATGCAAATTTCTGAAGCCGGCTTGAGTTTCTTCTCAGAAAATGAGTTTTTCTTTTTTATTGCATTGTCAGGCTGCCGTTTCTGAACTTTCATGATCTGCTTCCCTTTTAAACATAAGTTCCAATTCCAAATCATGTCTTTGTGAATGAATAAAGCTAAATGCTTTGTAGAGCACCCAAATCATCTCTTGAATGCTTTGCTGCTTGGAGGATTTCTTCCACCAGATACCCTAAATAACCTCTCTCAGGTTCAAAGTTCCACAGATCTGTAGGGAAGGGGCAAAATGCCACCTGTCTCTTTGCTAAAACATAGCAAGAATTACCTTTGCTCCAGTTCCCAATAAGTTCCTCATCTCCATCTAAGACCACCTCAGCCTGGACTTCCTTGTCCATATCACTATTAGCATTTTGGTCAAAACCATTCAACAAGAATCTCCAAACTTTCCCACATTTTCCTGTTTTCTTCTGAGCCCTCTGAAGTGTTCCAACCTCTGCCTGTTACCCAGTTCCAAAGTCACTTCCACATTTTTGGATATCTTCATAGCAGTACCCCACTTGTGTTACCAGTGCCCCACTTCTGTTACCAATTTACTATATTAGTCCATTTTCATACTTCATTTATTTATATGAAGAAATACCACAGACTGGGTAATTGATAAAGAAGGAGAGGTTTGATGGACTCATAGTTCCACATGGCTGGGGAGGCCTCACAATCATGGAGGAAGGTGAAGGAGCAAAGGCACATCCTGCATAGCAGCAGTCAAGAGAGTGTGTACAGGGGAGCTTCCCTTTATAAAACCATCGGATCTCATGAGACTCATTCTGCATCATGAGAACAGCGAAGAAAAAACCCGTCCCCATGATTCAATTACCTCCCACTGGGTCCCTCTCATGGCATGTGGAGATTATGTGAGCTACAGTTCAAGATGATATTTGGGTGGAGACACAGCAAAACCATATCAGATGGTTAAAGAATATAAAATCTCAGTTAGACAGGCAGAATACTTTTTTTCAGTTCTATTACACAGATTACACAGCGTGGTAAATATAGTTAACAATAGCATATTATACATTTCAAAATTGCTAAGAGTAAATTTCAAGCGTTCTCACCACAAAAATAAGTATTTGAGGTGATTAATATGTTAATTTGCTTGAGCTAATTATTCCATATTTTATTCATAAATCATAGCATCACTTTGTACCCCATAAATGTATATCATTATAAATAGTTTACAATACAATTTTAAACATAATTTCATTACAATGAAAGTTTCAATATTTAGGACACATGGAAAAAGCCTCTTTTTATATTATGCCAAAAAGACAAATGAATTAAAGATGTGGTTACAAACATGGACATTTGGTGTATTTGGGTAAGTTAAATGAACTATCTTTATTTCTAAAATAACTGTTATTTAATAGAAATTCAGGAGATTCAGATTATCATCCTACTTCTGGAAAAAAAAACTAGACCTATAATTCTGAGAGGGGCGGGAGGAAAGGAGTCATTTTAAAAATGACTCTCCTGAGCCAAGGGCTCTGCATATATTCTCTTCAGCTACCTAGCTTATGCTATTTTGAATCAGTTAACTTCTCTGTGTCTGATTCCCTCACCTTCAAATTATGTTGTTGGATCTGGCAAGGGTTTCTTAATTGAGTCCAGTGCATGGGATTCAGGGTGGTCTGTATTCTCTAAAATTGCATGGAACATTTTGAGTACATGTTTGTGCAATTTCTGTGGGAGATGGTCCAGAGCTTCCATCCATTTCTCAAAGGGATTTATTTGGATTCTGAAAAATAAAGAACGAATTCACTTAGAACAAACTGGGGTATGTGTGCCCCTGGGGATTATGCACACATACATTATGTAGCATATACTGTGCACATATGATTATGCACAGTTTCCAGGGGGTATGAAGGTATGGAAAGGCCTAAGAACATCTATTTTTGTTCCTTCACTTTCTTGTGCATTGTGTGCTAAAATGGATCTTTCTGAGAAAAGACAAGTAAGAAAGCCCCTTTGATGGAAGGCTGATTCTCCTCTCCTACCTGAATATAAAATTTTACATTTTCTGCCAGCATCCATGAAACAATGACAGGCTTACTTGTTAGCTCGCAAGCAGGGTAACAATCTCAAACTCGTCACAGTTCTCAATAGTTACTATCTAAATTTTATTTTTATTTGCTTACTTATATATGTTCTGTCTCCTTCTCTAGAAATTAAGTTCTATTAGGGCAGAGACTTCGTCTTTTCACCTTGTATCTTAAGCAAGTAAAACAGTTCTTGGTACATAGAAGATATTCAATAAAAATTTTCTGACTTAGTAAATAAATCAATAAAAATATTTTCTTTCACAGTTTCCTAGCACAACTTTTCAAAACCTATAGGGCCATTTTCCTCATCATATTCTAAAACTAAACAAACTCCTATTTTTCTAAGAGTTACATGCTATTTTTCTGGCAATTGTCCATTGTTGGTGTGCCCAGCAGGCATCACATCCTAAAACCAAACAAAGTCTTATTTTCCCTAAATTTATGTTGCCTAGATTGTTTTTCTTCCTAACTAGGATATTACTTAAAGTCTTTTCTCAGCATATTCATGTTATTTATTATTTCTTCTACAGCACATTACATTTGTTCCTATTATAGTGGGTAATACATAAAATTACAGATGGTAGTACTATGGACTGTATAGAGCCAAGTTGCGTCTTTGCCTAATGCTGGCCTACCCCTTACTAGCAGTTTATCTTTGAGCAATTTACTTAAGCCTTCTAAATTTCAATTTCTTCATCTTTAAAATAGGGATAACAATAATGCTCAATTCATAGGATTGAGTCTATAGTCCAAGATAACTTATATAAATTTCTTAGCAGAGCACTGGGTCTATAATAGGCATTCAATAAGTGTGAGCAGAGTTGTCTAAGGAATTTGGTTACGATTATTCTTTCCTATGAGTCTGACAATGCGTTAGAGTTAGAACTCTGCCAACTTTGTGTATATGTTCTTTCTTCCCCACCAAAGGAAATTAGAAAGCCAGTGAACAATAATAAGCACAGAAAAATAAACCTCTGGAATGTGTCACTAAACTTTCACCTAGCTTTTTATTTGCTGTAGATGATCTGAGAATCCTTCTCCAAGGTGAAAGAAGAGAAAAAGACATGGTCAAATCTTTTGAGAAATTCCAGGAAGTGAAAAAAAGGAATTTTGGTTTTGATCTGCATGTCTATGTTTATGGAAGTTGAAATTTTAATCCATTTCCTTGATCAGAATTGCCCCACAAATGATTGTCTCAGTGCTCTGCTTCATTAAAATTAAAGAATAATAATATGGTTCAAGTCTTATTTTACAAGACTGGAAACTGATGCAATGTGGTAATGGGACAAAAATGCTGAAATGGAGATGCAAATTCTGGCTGAGTAGATTTTAATAAATCTAGAACCGAAGTTTAAGTATAAAAACCTGAGGTGCATAATCACTATGTTGCTAGATAGTAACGTAACCACATAATTCTGGTGTTATGTTTTATTTATTTTTAACTGCAAAGACTATCTGAGAAAAGTTTCTTACCAAACAGAAATATTGAAGATGGAGATGCTTCCTTTGTGAGGTAGCACAAAGGCTCAGCAAAGACTCAGATTCATCTTTCCTGGATGTCGGCAGTCCCCAGTCATGTGCAACTGAAAACTCAAATGAAGCCACCATTCATCATAAACTCCATATCGACAGCAGCGCAAGTGGCTGCTAAAAAATAGACTGAAATGCTGGTGGTTATAGATAGATTTCTAGAAATAGATGAATTCCAGAAAACAGAAACAGAAAAGCCTTGACATTCTCAGATGGTGTTATATTTACAAGTTGCTCCAGCAAGTGAAATTGAAAGCTGGTGACAAAGCATTCACCAGAAAATTAGTAACAGAAACAGCCCCTTGGGGCTGTTGATTGAGGATGACACTTTGTTACATCAGGCAGAAAATGTTTCTTAACTAAAGCTAAACTAAAGGAGTGTCAGACAGGAGTAACATAAACAGCAGCTCCACAGTCACAGGATCAATAACAAATGTAAAATGCAGAAATACACTGGGCACATATTCTTATGAGAGCATGATTATCATCATCATTATTAGCAGCAACACTATGTTCATGCTCGGGTGATCACACACCATGAACTCTGCTTTGTTTGGACAGTATGGTTTACTCCTGTCCTGGCCACCCTGCCTGTTAGGGTTCCTTTTCACTCTTAAGTATGTCCTGGTTTGGACTATAATTAGATGCTCACCCTGTGCATGGCATATTAGTAGGCATTTGCAGGGTATTCCAAGAAATGCTGTGGCCCTTAGACTTAATGGTACTTATTTTTCTCTTTTGTGGGCACTAAGTGCACTCTGCAAGAGAAGGGGGCAAGCGGAAGGAGTGGGGGGCAGGTGGACAAGGCCATACAGCATCATAGCGCCTGTAAGGCTTAATAGGTGGGTAAATTTTTTAATTAAATACTTAACTACCCCAGAGCCTCCTGGGTTGAGGTATATACTATCCCCCTTCTGAAGATTCTGAGGAGTTTAAAGCATATTGTTGCCTGGACAAAAAGAAGTGATATTTAATCTTACGATGTCAGAAAGTAATCATGACATAGTATTGGGCCAATGGTTCTCACAGCATCAATATATGACCCATCCTTCTCTTCATGCTGATAAGTTTAAATTAAGTTCATCATTGTTACTAAAAAGTCCCGAGTATGAGAAAAATTCCCAGGCACATGCTTCCTATAGTTAACAAGCTTGTAAACTTACTACCTAAACCTGTTTGTAAACTTAGCATATCTTTACTATTTATCAGGGAAAGTAACCAATCAGTTGGGTCCTGAATAGTCTGTCGTTTGGGAATATTCAAGTTCCCTAAATATCACACTGAAAATTAAGTTTGTATTATTTTTTAAATGAATAATTCATCCTTTATAGACATTACAGATAAAAAATGATTTAAAATCTAAGCAGGATCTTGGGCTTTTTAATAGTACGTGGCACCAAGACGTTCAAAGACATATGTAGATTTATTTCTTAAAATTAATTCTCATAGCTCTATGAAGAAAGGAAGCGATATTACCATCTCTGATCTCTTGAAGTAATAAACAGATCTTACCATCTCTGAGTAGTTAAAAGAGGGAAAAAGGACTGAAGTTTTACTGAAGTTTCAGTTTACCATATATATATAGCTATATATATAAAAAGACTGAAGTTTTACTGAGCTTTAAGTTAAGAAAAAAATGGATAAAATAAAATTAAATTAAGAAAAAGAATGGATAAAATAATTAAAACTTTCCCTTTGGTGATGATGAGAAGAATAGAATATACAATGAGATTATGGCCACAGATCTAAAGCTAACACAGAAGATTAAAGAATTTCCTGGCTAATTTATTTTGAACTTCACTTTTACTTGAATTAGCTTGGATATTTTTCAACTTAAAATAATTAACCCTAGGTTATTTGTCTGTAAGAATCTGAAAAAAAAAAAAAAAGCACAGCAGTTCTAAAGATTGATTAACTCATCCGGCAAATATCTATTTACTATTTATTATGTGCCAGTCACTTCTGAGTTCAAGGAGTTCTGAGGTGAACAAGACAGACAGGGACTTTACTGAACTTATATGACAATGGAGAGGCAGATGTAAACATGAAGAAACAGGGTAAAATAATTAAGATGGTAAATTTGATTTTGTGTGTATTTAAAAAACACAATAAAAAACTAGTCTGGTTTGCCATAAGATCTATACAATGATTTATTATTAATTTAAGTAAAAATGATATTTAATTAAAAAAGAAACAGGTAATTTCAGACTGGGACAAGTGCTATGGATGGTGATCTAAAGACTGTCATAACCTTTTGGAGTTTCAGACCAAACATTTCGGGATGGTGAAATTTAAGGCCAAGGACAGAAAAAGTGGTGAGAGAAATAGTCACCAGAATCAAATCAGGTATTAGCAATTGTTTTTCTTTTGATAGCTGCCTTCCTTTAATGCTGAATAAGTCCTAGTATTCCTCAATTAGTCTGGTTCCTACTCTCTTTCCATTTAAGTTGAGATCCTCTGTGACTCAGGAATGCCTTCCCCATGAATCTTTGACACAGTACAGAATCACTTTGCAATCTAAAACCACCTTTAACACACTCTTCTTTGAGGCTATAAACCTCGTTGGAATATGTTTCTCTGCTTAGTCCTCTTAATTATGTGACATTATGTTGGTTTGGCTCCTTCATGTGAGTTAGTCAGATGCACAGAGAATAATGTGGCTCCAAGACAGGCAGTGCCAAGCAGCCAGAGAAGTTTGGCTGTGGCAGGGTGCTTTTTAAAAATTATTATTATTATACTTTAAGTTCTGGGATACATGTGCAGAACATGCAGGTTTGTTACATGGGTATACATGTACCATGGTGGTTTGCTGCTGCACCCATTAACCCGTCATCTACATTAGGTATTTTTCCTATTGCTATTCCTCCCCTAGCTCCCCACCTCCCAACAGGCCCCGGAGTGTGATGTTCCCCTCCCTGTGTCCATGTGTTTTCATTGTTCAGCTCCCACTTATGAGTGAGAACATGTGGTGTTTGGTTTTCTGTTCTTGTGTTAGTTTGGTGAGAATGATGGTTTCAAGCTTCATCGCTGTCACTGCAAAGGATATGAACTCATCCTTTTTTTATGGCTGCATACTATTCCGTGGTATATATGTGCCACATTTTTTTAATCCAATCTAACCTTGATGGACATTTGGGTTGGTTCCAAGTCTTTGCTATTGTGAACAGTGCTGCAATAAACATACGTGTACATGTGTCTTTATAGTAGAATGATTTATAATCCTTTGGGTATATACCCAGTAATGGGTTTGCTGGGTCAAATGGTATTTCTGGTTCTTGATCCTTGAGGAATCGCCACACTGTCTTCCACAATGGTTGAACTAATTTACACTCCCAGCAACAGTGTAAAAGCTTTCCTATTTCTCCACATCCTCTCCAGCATCTGTTATTTCCTGGCTTTTTAATGATTGTCATTCTAACTGGTTTGAGATGATATCTCATTGTGGTTTTGATTTGCATTTCTCTAATGACCAGTGATGATGAGCTGTTTTTCATGTTTGCTGGCTGCATAAATGTCTTCTTTTGAGAAGTGTCTGTTCATATCCTTTGCCCACCTTTTGATGGGGTTGTCTGTTTTTTTCTTGTAAATTTGTTTAAGTTCTTTGTAGATTCTGGATATTAGCCCTTTGTCAGATGGATAGATTGCAAAAACTTTCTCCCATTCTGTAGGTTGCCGTTCACTCTGATGATAGTTTATTTTGCTGTGCAGAAACTCTTTAGTTTAATTAGATCCCATTTGTCAATTTTGGCTTTTGTTGCCATTGCTTTTGGTGTTTTAGATATGAAATCTTTCCCCATGCCTATGTCCTGAATGGTATTACCTAGGTTATCTTCTAGGGTTTTTATGGTTTTAGGTCTTACATTTAAGTCTTTAATCCATCTTGAGTTAGTTTTTGTATAAGGTGTAAGGAAGGGGTCCAGTTTCAGTTTTCTGCATATGGGTAGCCAATTTTCCCAACACTATTTATTAAATAGGGAATCCTTTCCCCATTGTTTGTGTGTGTCAGGTTTGTCAAAGATCAGATGGTTGTAGATGTGTGGTGTTATTTTTGAGGCCTCTGTTCTGTTCCATTGGTCTAGATCTCTGTTTTGGTACCAGTACCATGCTGTTTTTTTTTACTGTAGCCTTGTAGTATAGTTTGAAGTCAGGTAGTGTGATGCCGCCAGCTTTGTTCTTTTTGCTTAGGATTGTCTTGGCTATACAGGCTCTTTTTTTGGTTCCATATGAAATTTAAAGTAGTTTTTTCTAATTTGGTGAAGAAAGTGAATGGTAGCCTGATGGGGATAGCATTCAATCTATAAATTACTTTGGGCAGTCTGGCCATTTTCACGATATTGATTCTTCCTATCCATGAGCATGAATGTTTTTCCATTTGTTTGTGTCCTCTCTTATTTCCTTGAGCAGTGGTTTATAGTTCTCCTTGAAGAAGTCCTGCACATCCCTTGTAAGTTGTATGCCTAGGTATTTTATTCTTTTTGAAGTGATTGTGAATGGAAGTTCACTCATGATTTGGCTCTCTGTTTGTCTATTATTTGTGTATAGTAATGCTTGTGATTTTTGCACATTGATTTTGTATCCTGAGACTTTGCTGAATTCGCTTATCAGCTTAAGTAGATTTTGGGCTGAGACGATAGGGTTTTCTAAATATACAATCATGTCATCTGCAAACAGAGACAATTTGAACTTCCTGTCTTCTTATTTGAATAGACTTTATTTCTTTCTTTTGCCTGATTGCCCTGGCCAGAACTTGCAATACTATGTTGAATAGGAGTGGTGAGAGAGGGCATCCTTGTCTTGTGCTGGTTTTCAAAGGGAATGCTTCCAGCTTTTGCCCATTCAGTATGATATTTGCTGTGGGTTTGTCATAAATAGCTCTTATTATTTTGAGATACGTCCCATCAATACCTAGTTTATTGAGGGTTTTTAGCATGAAAGGCTGTTGTGTTTTGTCAAAGCCGCTCTGCATCTATTGAGATAAATCATGTGTTTTTTGTCATTGGTTCTGTTTATGTGATGGATTACGTTTATTGATTTGCATATGTTGAACCAGCCTTGCATCTATGGGCGATAGTGCTTTAACGATTATTTAGTTCCTGTTAAATACCACTTTAAAACAAATATTTTTCTTGGTCTCTCTGTTTTTTTTAATCAAACATAATTTAGATTTCCTTTAAGAGTATTCTGCTATCTAAAATTCCTGGTGTGTAAGTAATTTCTCTCCCACCCCTGTTTTTAATGTACTAACTCTTTTCCAAGGATAGTTTTCACACATACTTTGGAATATTTACTCTAGTTCATATACAGATGGAACTATTTTCTGTAAAAATGTCATGAGTCTTGAGTTGTGGAGGCACTTCTATGGGGCAGTAAGGTATTCACCTCTGATAGTATACCATAATGCATGCTTCTTTAGTCTCCTCAGGCCTCTGACAATTTCTCATTATTTTCTTATCTTTTATGACCTTGAAAATTTGAAAGAGCATTGGTCACTTATTTTATAGAATTCCCCACTTTTGGTTTGTCAGATGTTTTACTCATAACTAGGTTGAAGTTGTAAATTTCTAGGAAGAATATCACAGAAGTGGAGTGCCATTTCTCATTCCATCATATCAGGGGGGTGTGGTATCAAATGATTTCTCACTGGTGATGCTAATATTCATCACTTGGCTAATTAAGGTCTTGCTTGCCACTGTAAATTTACTGTGTTTTCCTTTCCATCTTTCTTCTTTGGATGCAAATCACTCCATCCACTTCACCTAGACGGAGGTGGTGGTATTAAGCTCCACCTCTGGAGGGGGGAGTATCTACATACATATATTATTTAAAGTCTTCTGTAAAAAAAAAAAACTCTTCTTTCCTATTCATTTATCTATTCAATCATTTATTTACATTACTATGAACATGTATAATCATTTATACTTTGGCTTATAATCCAATATTATGTTATTTATATTTTTGCTCCAATTGTTCCAGATTTGGCCATTGGGAGCTCTTTCAGGTTGGTCCCTATGTCCCTTTGACGTGCCTGTATCCTTTTGTTTTTCAAATATTTCTTTATTTTCTGGTACTACTAGATGCTCTAGACTCATCTTGTATTTTCTGTATTCCAGTTCCAGAAACAGCCATTTCTTTATGGATCTCTGGCTCTTTTTATTAGAGAATGGTGTTCAGAAAGCAAGACTAGGTGTTAAGTGTGCTCCTTGCTGTTGGGCAATACCTCTCAATGGGCACAGGTAGGAAATATATGTATGTATATAACTCATGTCTATACTGATTTTTAATTTCTAAATTAGTGGTCTAATTACATGTAGGTGATGAAAAATTGAACCCAATACCAATGCATGGCTTGCAGTTTCAGTTTCTTGATGGTGACTGTTTTCCCATTCATCACTCAGTGCTGTCACCCTTCTTTCCATGATGTGTTCTTGGGCCAGTGAGCAGAGTTTTTCTGTTACATGGACTGGATTCCTTTTTCTGGCTCCAATCTTTAGGCAGGGAACTAAGATCCAGGGTCCCACAAAGCACAGGGTATGCAGCCTGAGCCACAATTCTCTTTCAGGCCTTAGATCCAGCCCACTTAACTTATGACTGTCTCTGATTCTCCTCAGAACTATTTAGCTGTTCTCACCCCTTCGATTTTAAGTTTATTTGTAGTTTCTGGTACTTATGGACATCTTTTTCTTGCTTTGGAGCTCTAGCATATATAAGAAGAACTATTTGATGTTACATTTTATCTAGCATTTCTATGTGTCACTTGTGTGTATGTGTGTATCTTCACACTCAATAATCTGCTGTATTGAATAGAAACTATCTATTTACAGCTAAGGAATTAAGCACCAGAACATTTGCATGACCCAAGGTTGCACAGTGAGTTAATGACAGAACTGTCTGCACTCCCATTTCTGGTGTTTCCACTTTACTTTCCTGATCGTGTGGTAAATGCAATAGTTAAAATTTTAAGCCTTTTCCTAGCTGGGCGAGGTGGCTCATGCCTGTAATCCCACCACTTTGGGAGGTTGAGGTGGGTGAATCACCTGAGGTTGGGAGTTCTAGACCAGCCTGATCAACATGGAGAAACCCTGTCTCTACTAAAAATACAAAATTAGCTGGGCATGGTGGCACATGCCTGTAATCTCAGCTACTCGGGAGGCTGAGGCAGGAGAATCGCTTGAACCTGGGAGGCAGAGTTTGCGGTGAGCCGAGATCGCGCCATTGCACTCCAGCCTGGACAACAAGAGCGAAACTCCATCTCAGAAAAAAAAAAAAAAAAAAAAAAAGAACTGATAGGGGTGGGCAGAAGGTCGTGATACCCTCACAATGGATTCCCCTTTGTTTTAGAACAATTTGAAGTATATTTAATTTGCAAGCCTGCTGGAACAGAACAGTGCTTGGCAAACAAATACTGCCAAAGTTTCAGAATTCATATATAACTCAAATATTAGCCCTATGCAAATATGTTTGTTTATTGCAATTATATAGACAATATTTATAGCTCAATCCTTCATTTTAAATATATTTGTCTAGATTTAGAGATGCAGGTCAAATTCTGGACTTTCTCTTCCTAAGGAAGAGGCTGATATGGGATATATCAAAGTGAAAGTCAACGTTTGCTTTATGGCTCAGAGACTGAAAAAAAATTGTTATTAAAATATTCTCATTTTGTTGGGCTTAATCTATTTTTCCTTATTACATAGTATTTGAAGCAGTCAGTTGTCCTATTTGTGGTTGTTGATTACATTTTAAAAGTAATAATACTGAGAAAATTTCTATATGACCAAATACTCTCAAAATTAAAGCACTTTATTGATAGGATAAATTGTATAAAATAAGTAATCAAACATTGTAAGTTTATAGTTTTTGCTGAGACACTAGTAAAGACAAAACAAACAAATAAGCAAACAAAATAATATGAGTATAATATGCTGACCTCTCAGCAAACTTCTCCACTGATGTCAGATGGATATGAGACATAAAACGTGACTGAACCTTTATTACTCGTATTATTTTAAAGCAGAAGAAATGACCCCATCAAAAATGCATTCTAGGTTGGGTGTGGTGACTCAGGTCTGTAATCTCAGCACTTTGGGAGGCTGAGGTGGGTGGATGGCTTGAGCCCAGGAGTTCAAGACCAGCTTGGGAAACATGATGAAACCCTGTCTCTACAAAAAAATACAAAATTTAGCCAGGTGGGGTGGCATGTACCTGTAGTCCGAGCTACTCAAGAGGTTGAGGTGAAAGGATTGCTTGGGCCCAGAAGGTTAAGGCTGCAGTGAGCCATGATTGCACCACTGTACTCCAGCCTGGGTGACAGAGTGAAAAATAAAAAAAATACATTCTAAATAATTCACCACTGGGATGTAAGAATCACTTAACCAGAATTCCTTCTTTAATTTTGACATCCACATTAATAATGGCTAATGCTGATTAAAACTTGAGGATTAATTATGCTTCAATAAATGATAAAAGCTACCTTTTAAGCCCAAATTCTGCAAATTTTTATAGCAAATATCAGATGTAATAAATATTTAGTAATTTCTGTGGACTTCTCAAAAGCAAATATCTTAAGAGCACGCTTGTATATTTTGTGGGGCATTACTAATCCTTTTAAAAATATTTATTAAAAGGTAGTCACTGAAACTATATTTCATTTGACTTATCCTAAGAACCAAAATGCAATATACAGCCAAGAGATTTTCTATTCATGGTCATTAGTTATGAGTAGCCATCAAAGTCTGATTAATGTTACCTGGAGATGAAAGTGTCCATTGAGTGTCAATATTTATACAATTTAAAATTTTTTATTCATCTACATAATCTAGAAAATGTTAATAGAAGTTACAATTGGGTATGATATAATTGTTCTCATTCTAGAAAATACTTAAGTATTATGGGAGATAGGGACCCCAAATTCAAAATCACTGGCTGTCATTGTTTTTTGTTTTTTGAAACACAGTCTCTGTCACCCAGGCTGGAGTGCAGTGGCACAATCTTGACTCACTTCAGCCTCAATATCCTGGGCTCAAATGATCCTCCCACCTCAGCTTTCCAAGCAGCTGAAACTACAGGTGCATACCATGAAACCTGGTTAATTTTACATTTTTTTGTAGAGACAGGCTCTCACTATGTTGCCCAGGCTGCTCTCAAACTCCTGGGCTCGAGGGATTCTCCTGCCTCAGACTTCTAAGTGTTGGGATTACAGGCATGAGTCACCATGCCCAGCCAACTATAGACTTTTTAATCTTTCCTATTAAAAGAGAAAAGGATGTAAATTAAATGAACCATTAATTTATGTAAGTCTGGTAATCACTGAGAAATAATTTGGAAGCCCAAGAATTATGTGAGCACTTGATGAATTAATGTCTTCAGTTCTCTCTCTGAAGCATCAGGGAATCCCAGTGGTTCTGGTTATTCCCTTTCCTTACCCAGAGATCCAGGCAGTTTAGGGCCATGAGCCTAATGTTGAATAGAATGAGCCTTCCTCCCTGCGTTCATGCCTGCAGGAATTTATTAGCTCTGTATGTCCACATCTTTACTAGAAAGATTAAATCCTCATACTGTACAACCACACTCTGTTCTATAGGTATACTCTTTCCCATTTTGATCCTCTCTCTCCTGCTTTCAGGAACTTTTATAGCAGTTTATTAGCAAATAGCAGCCATATCCACAGTGACTACTGTTGTGAACAGATCGCTTACCCCAGTTGTTTTCTCCTTAAGTGACTCCATGTGGGTACATGAAGTAATGTGCCATCAGTAGCATCTTGGCTCATGGACCAACGTGTACATCTCGGCACACGCACCTGCTTTAATGTTATACTGAAGATGCAAACTGTGTCATTCTTTAAAATAAAAGAGCAAAGTATTTTTATTGTTCTTTTTCATCCTTTGCCTTTCCCTTCTTTTGATTCTCCCACATACACGTGTTTTCTCTAAGAAAAGAGGTCACCCACTGACCCTTTGATTTATCTTATAATTCCTGACTGTGCTTCAAGGAATAATAAGCTTTTTCAAGAGGATAGTGGGAACATTTTTATCTTAGCAATTCATTACTATTTCTGAAGGAAAAAAAAACATAATGGGGTGATGGTTATATAGCATTACAGGTCTATCTGTCTCTTTTACTCATTTCTTTCTGGAAGTTCTAAAAGCAAAATTTTCTACTGCTGGTAGAGAGAAAAAGATTGTGTGTGTAGTATAAAATAAGATGAAACAGTTAAGTAATTAAGAAAAACAACTACTTTTCATTTTCTTTTCACCTTCCCCACCCTTCACTAAGCATGTCCACACTAACCAACTCTGCTGAACACTCAAGAACATTTCCATAATGACCTCATTAGGCAGCAGTGCCAACACCTGATTATGCTCTTTTATCTTGTCAACTAAGAGACATTTAGTTCTCGTGGAAAAAAAAACATTTGAAAAGATTTGACTTTTCCCTCTTAAAAATACCTCAATTATTTTAAAAATGGTGACACATTAGCAATTACAATCACTCTTCATGAATGGGATCCTGCCTGGCTTCTCTTTAGGAACATTAGCTGCCTCCACACTTCACTTGGCTGCTCCAACTGAGGTGGTTCTCCCACTGTCACATAGTCTGGTGATTTGTCTCTTTTCTAGGTGGTCTTGACAATTCAACAATGGTGACATGGGAAGGGGCTTGATGCTTTGAGAAGATGATCACACTCTTTGATACTGGTGAAATCCCACAGGGAAGAAAGTATATTTTATAGAAGCCTTTTTGTGAAGTAGGTGGTGTCTAAGAGTGAGATATTTGAAATAGTTTGATGCCCAGTTATCAGTATTTACTGGATGGTAATACGGATGCTAGCCACCCTGTAGAGTGTGGGACAACTTTATAAAAGGAATAATGGTCCCATCAAAACGCCAAAAGTGCCCCTAATGAAACACCCTGAGTCTAGTGTATTTTGAGAAAGGAAGAATGTTGTTGTCTTAAATCCTCCCTGAGTTCCCTATCTGACAATTGCTCCTCTCTTTCATATGCAGCCCCTGTAGCTGCCAGTTCCCCCATGAGCAATAAGTCACTTAGCTTTTAGTTAGTTTCTTACACCCCTGACACAATCTCTTTTGGAGAATATTGCTCTCTCTCCATGGAAACCAACATGAGGACCAACTCCACCAAGTCTTTGTACTTTCCACATTCCACCATTCATGTCTTTATCTGATTCTGTGAAGATTTTGGCATAACCAAAGGGAATAGCATTGTAAATAGGAAAATAGTGAAAACTTTACATTAAATATAGCTTTCTCCATAGTTCAAGGGAAAAGAAAAAGTTCATGACCTTGCTAACCTGTTCTTAAGTCTGAAATGCTCCACTAGAATGTCCTCTTCTTTTAATCTTTTCCATGTGAGTCCATTTTTCAGAAACTTTGTGCTATATTCAAGCATTTATCTTGCCCCAGGATCCATCACTGTTCTCAGTAGCACATTTTTTGAAGTCTGGGTAAGTCTGTGCAGAATATTATGTGTGTGTGTGTGTGTGTGTGTGTGTGCATGTAACACTATATATGTGTAACATATATGTGTGCCTGTAACACTAGGTGGTTTACACACACACATTTACATCCACACACATAATGTTTCTCTAAGCAGCAGACAGAATTGTTTCCCAAATTATAAATTTAATCGTGTTGCTCAAACTCTCCAAAGATCACCTGTAGCATTTAGTTTAAAATGTGAAATCTTTTTGGCCACAAACTCTGAATCATCCACTTCGCTGTCCTCGTCTGTTGCTTCTCTGCCTGTGTAATCCTCTCCAGCCACTCTGGCCTCTTTGCTCTCTTGTTTCCATTTCAAGCCCTTTGCACTTGTTGTTTCTGCCTGGGATTCCCTTCTTTCTGATTTACATATCTAGTTCCCTTGCTTCTTTCAGGTCTCAAATGACGCACCTTCGAAAAGTGCTTCTTTGACCACCCATGGAACATAGCAGCAGCTCCTCTTCATATTTCCTTATCCTCTTACTCTGATAGAATATTCTTCATTGGTCTTATTTTAACTGACATTACATTAAATATTGATTAGAATGTAAACTCTGCAAGGGCGGGTATTTTGACTTTCCTGTTTACTGTCATACTCCTAAGGCCTAGTACAGTCTTTGGCACATACTAGGGGTTTAACTAAGACTCACTGAATGGATGAATAAGTAAATGCAATAATGCATGAAAAAGCTCCGCTCCCCTTCTTTCCTTGCAGTAAATCCTTTTTTTTATAAGATAGTTGGATTTGGTTTCTCTTGTTTGAAGTTAATAATCCTGACTAATACAGAATTGAATTTTTTTTTTTTTTTTTTTTACAAAATCCTTAACTTCTGAAGAAGAATCCAATGCAAGTCTAGTATTTGCCAATAGACCGAATTTGTCAGTTACTCTTGGCTGAACTCTCACTGTTTTTGGGCACTAGTTAAAAACCCTTCTCAGAAATACAGTTGAATAATAGTGGATTCATAATTCCATTTTAGGTGTTTAGTAGACTTTCTCCTAATGTGGTTCTATGAACTGAAATGAGATCTTTCCCTAACTCTGCTCACTGACTTTCTGATACCTGAGTAAATGACATACACAACAACTTCAATCTATGAATGTTGTTATCACCTGTTCCTGACACCTTCACATAAATACTTTATGAGGACCAAGCAACCAAATATATCACCATAAATCATTTCACTCCTTCTCTCTTCCTGCCCCTTTATTTCTGGGTGTAGCCTCTGCGTGACAGTAGAAACAGAGGTTCTGAGGAAGAGAGAGGTGGAGGAGGGACTCTGGCATCCCAAGAAGCATCATTCACATGGCAGATGGTAACTTGCCCAGTTTTCTGATTGGTGTTGTTTGTGTGACCTAGTAATTAAACAGTGGGGGGTAGTGAAGTTGTCTCACTCCCAGTTATCTTGTGGGTATTGCATGGGACCTCCATGTAGTTAGTTTTATCTGTAGTACACTTAGAGGAAATTCCTCTCAAATTCTGCAGATCAACTGAATGCCATTTTTAGGTTGTAGTCTCAGAAATGTATACCAAATTCTTTTTGGGTCTTTACAAATATTCCAGTGGATGTTTAGAGAGATCATGTCAGAACTTTAAACCAAAAACCCTAATAATTATCTCTATGCATTAGATTTCTTTTTTCTTTTGTTGATATATAATATTTTATGTATTTATGGGGTACATATGAGTATTTTTTACATGCATAGGATATGTACTGATCAGTTAGGGTATTTGAGTACTTATCATTCTATCCAGTATTTGCCAATAGACAGAGTATGTCAGTTATTCTTGGCTAAGCTTTCTTTACCCATGCTGGATGCTTCCTGCCCTGGAACAGGCCTGTGATGGAAAGGGCTGCTGTGAAGGTCTCTGACATACCCTGAAGATATTTTCCCCATTGTCTTGGTGATTAACATTTGGCTCCTTGTTACTTACCTAAATTTCTGCAGCTGGCTTGAATTTCTCCCCCCAAAAATGAGGGGTTTTTTTCTATCACATTGTCAGGCTGCAAATTTTTCAAACATTTATGCTCTGCTTCCTCTTGAAAACTTTGCTGCTTAGAAATCTCTTTCCCCAGATACCCTGAATCATCTCTTTCAAGTTGAAAGTTCCACAGATCTCTAGGGCAGGAGCAAAATGCCACCAGTGTCTTTGCATAGCAGCAGTGACCTTTACTCTAGTTCCCAACAAGCTCCTCATCTCCATCTGAGACCACCTTGCCTGGACCTTATTGTCCATTATCAGCATTTTTTTTTTTTTTGAGACAGAGGCTCACTCTGTTGCCCAGGCTGGAGTGCAGTGGCACAATCTCAGCTCACTGCAACCTCTGCCTCCTGGGTTCAAGCGATTCTTGTGCCTCAGCCTCCCGAGTAGCTGGGATTACAGACAAGTACCACTATGCCTGGCTAATTTTAGTATTTTTAGTAGGGGTTTCACCATGTTGGCAAGGCTGGTCTCAAACTCCTGACCTCAGGTGATCCACCTGCCTTGACCTCCCAAATTGCTGGGATTACAGGTGTGAGCCACCATGCCCAGCCCATATCAGCATTTTGGTCGAAGCCATTCAACAAGTCTCTAGGATGTTCCAAACTTTCCCACATCTTCCTGTCTTCTGAGCCCTCCAAGTCTCTAGGAAGTTCCAAACTCTCCCACATCTTCCTATCTTCTTCTGAGCCCTCCAAACAGTTCCATCCTATGCCTGTTACCCAGTTCCAAAGTCACTTCCACATTTTCTGGTATCTTTACAACAGCACCTCACTACCTGGTACCAATTTACTGTATTAGTCCATTCTCACACTGCTATAAAGAACTGCCTGAGACTGGGTAATTTATAAGGGAAAGAGGTTTAATTGACTCACAGTTCAGCATGGCTGGGAGCACCTCAGGAAACTTACAATCATGGTGGAAAGGGAAGCAAACACGTGCTTCTTCACATGGTGGCAGCAAGGAGAAGCGCTGAGCAAAAGCCGGAAAAGCCTCTTATAACTTGCTAAGTTTTCATCTATTATTTCATTAAATAGATTTTCTAACACTTTTGTTCTCTCTTCATCTTTATATAACACATTATATTTCAAATTGTTTTTTTCAGGGTCTTTATTAAAAAATGACATAAACATGCATATATAAACCAAACTAGCACTTGCACTTATACACTGCATTTATTAATTATGTGATTCTCTAATTTGAGGGCATGGTCTCAAGCTTTGAGCCCTCACCATTGCCGATATTGGAATTCTGGTCTCCCTACCTTCGTTCCAAAATTTTCTAGGAAGGTAATAAATTATAATACTCACCAGTAAGTTGTCAAATATTCCTGCTGCCTTGAGGCCTTCCATTCTCTGTTGGTCCATTTTTTTCCAAAGATGACAGTGACTTTACTGTGACTTTCAGCATTTATCTGGAGCCTCATTCATGGCAGCCACAAATTTCACTATTCTCACTAGTGAATGCCCTTGAAATACTTTTATTTTCACTTATATTTCAGTTCTTTGAATGTGGAGGTCATGCCTTATATTTTGTTAGAAGTCTGTGGGTCACTCACAGACTCTGGTGTCCTGAACAGAGGACTTGATTCCTGTTGGTTGATTGATCACTATTAAGGCTCAGGTTGTCACATGTCAAGTGGCACGCACAGATTGGGATACTGAATTTCAACTCTACAAGCCACTAGAAAACTGTAGTGTAATAGAGAAGGATTTCTACGTGTATTACATTTTGTTGGCATTTTCTGTTTGTACTAAGCACTTTCTATGTGCTATATCATTTAATTTAATATCATTCTATTTTTACTGACAGTAGAGTTCAGACTCAGAAGAAGTGATTACATGGCCACAAGAAATGCTTCTACATAAATTACATTCCAGAAGCTGAAAAAAATATTAGAGGATGTACATGTATGGGAAAAATTCTTTCTTTCTTCTTTTTTTTTTCCAGAGACAAGGTTTGACTCCATCACCCAGAATGGAGTGCAGTGGCTCAATCATAGCTCACTGTAACCTCAAACTCCTGGGCTCAAGAGAACTCTCTGCCTCAGCCCCCAAAGTAGTTAGGACTACAGGCATGTGCCACCACACCTGGCAATTTTTTTTTTTTTTTTTGTAGACATGGGGTCTTTCTATGTTGCCCAGGCTGGTTGAGAACTACTGGTCCCAAGTAATCCTCCCACCTTGGCCTCCCAAGGTGTTGGGATTACAGGCATCAGCCACTGCATCTGGCCTGAGAAATTCTTAAAGCATAATGAAGGCTAGGATAATCTGTCTGCTGGGGAGATAGCCTGGGCCTGAGACATAACTCAATAGAAACCTGGAGTTCTAGAACCATAGATTTCAATAGTAGGACCCTTAACTTAGAGGCATACTTTTGCAGCTTTTTTGTTATTTTCATTCTGAAGAAGCTATATCAGGGAATTTGAGCAATATCATAAGGGAATTTGAATTTTCTCCAATTACTTAGCATTTTACATTGTTCATTATTAATCATGCTCAAGTTGGACATCAAAAGCTCTTATCAGAATAATGACATCATTCCTGATTAAGGAAAACCATGTTTCCACTACTAATTGAGACATTGTCCTCTAATTGCCCTGGTAAATAAAATATAACTAATCCTGTATGTTTAATTTAATTTTAGGAGTTTTCTCCTTAAAGCCCTGTAGTTCAACAATGTGAAGTCTCAGCATCCTATTAGTCTAGTACAATGTTGTCCAATGGGGAGATGTCAATCAAGGTATGAAGTTTTAGCTACATAGGATAAATAAGTTTTGGAGACCTAATATACAGCATACTGACTATTGTTAATAATGCTGTATTGCATACTTGAAGTTTGCTAGAAGAGTAGATCTTAAATGTTCTTGCCATGCACATATGCAAACATCAGGTGATGTGATGTTAATCAGCTTCATAGTGGTAATCATTTTAAAATGTGTGCAAGTATCAAAACATCATGTTGTATACCTTAAATGTATACATGTCATATTTAATAACTATATCTCAATATAGCTGGAGGACATTTTCTGCAATAATGGATATATTCTATATGTGCTCTGTCCAATAGAGTAATAACTAGCCATATATTACTGTTGAGCACTTGAAATGTGGCTAATGAGACTGAGGAGTTGAAATTTAAGTTTAATTTTAATTAACTCAAATTTAATTTTAAATATCCTCATACGGCTACTAGCTAACATAATGGACAGTATAGCTCTAGTGTTTAGCTGAAAAAAAAAATCAATTTCTGGTTAACTCTCAGTCTGCTCTTTCTACTAAATTCTTGTCTTCAAACAGAGCATTTTCCTCTGTACCCTGATGTGATTCCTTTCTCCTCTCACCTTATTCAGCTAACTTTCTCTGACCACTTGTTTCCTAGCATTTTTCAGCCATTACATGCTTGCTTCTAGCAGAAATTTCAAAATTGCTTCATTTAAAACATTTAATCATTTTCCCTACTTCCTCACATATTTGGAAAACTAAAGATTGTGAAAGGTGTTTCTTTCATGTCCATTATTAATGCAAAGCAGTATTTCCCAAAGTATGGAGCATATGCTCCTGGTGGAATGAGAGACAATTTTAAGTGGCACAGTGCCAAGCATTTACATAATTATATTACTTATTTTTATTTTAATGGGTATTAGGAAAATGTGATTAGCATCTTAAAAGTGTAATTTCATGAATATTATTGCTTAACATGAAGCCAAAATAGGCATTTACATTTTAGAAAGTCATTTTAAACAATGTTAAGTAAGTAGTAGTACTATTGGTATACAGATAAAGCAAAATTTATTTCTTTATTTTATAGATAGCTAAACTCTAGGAAATGTAGTTGTTAAATAAACTTTTGTATCAGTTCTATCCCGTGCACTTCCCACACATTCCCTGAGCTCTATCCACCCTTGCAAACATAGTGTGCATTGCTTCTCCATCAGGCCTTTGTGGATTTGGTTACTCTTGTCAGGAGTGCCCTTCTGCTCTTAACCGCTCGTTCTCCACCAGGTGAAATTCTCCACAGTTATCAAGGTCAAATCAAACCCTTGAAGAAGTTTTCTCTGTAACCTCTTCTTCCTCAACTCTTTCACAAAGTGAGTCACACTTACCTTTCTATTTTCATTGTATGTTATTTATTCTTCCCTTGTAACACTTATCATATGATGATTTAGTTGGTTGTTATAGATGTTTTGCTCACCAAATTGAGAATTCCTTCAAAGCAGAGATAGTCTTTTTTTCCCTAAGATATGTCTTATTTTATCCTAAAGCACAGATCATAGGCTCCATTAATGATCTCTAACATCAACTTTATAAAGCAAACACATTATGAAAATATACATTTTTAATACATCTCAACCATAAGCTTTCATAAAGTAGTTGCTATGTATTGTGTATGGCAAAAGGCACTGAAGTCTAAATTATTTTAATAACTTTTACACCCACGAAAGTGGCTACTATTAAAAAAGGGCTAAAATAACAAGTGTTGCTGAAGATGTGGAGAAACTGGAACCCTTGAGCACTGCTGGTGGAAATGTAAAATGGTGCAGTTGGTATGTAAAACAGCATGGCAGTTCTGCAAAAAATTAAAAAGACAATTGCCACATGGCCCAGCAATCTCACTTCTGGGTATGTATCCAAAAGAACTAAAGGCAGAATGCCAAAGAGATATTTGCACACACATGTTTATAGCAGCATTATCCACAATAGCCAAGGGGTGGAAGGAGCTTAAATGTCCATGAATGGATGAATGAAGATAATGTGGTATATACATACAATGGAATAGTATCCAGCCTTAAAGAGGAAGGAAACTCAGATAAATGTTATAACATGGATTAACCTTAAGAACATTATGCTAAGTAAAATAAGCCAGTCACAAAAAGACTGCATGATTTTACCTATATGAGGCAGTCTTAGTCTGTTTTGTGTTGCTATAAAAGAATATCTGGGCTGGGTAATTTATTTTTTTTTAATGTTTATTTGGCTCACAATTCTGGTGGCTGGAAAGTTCAAGATTGGGCATCTGCCTCTGGTGAGGGCCTCAGGATTCTTCAGCTCATTGTGGAAGGTGAAAAGGAGTTGGCATGTGCAGAGGACACATGGCTAGAGAGGAAGCAAGAGAGAGAGCAAGACATTGTCTTAACCACTTTTATATCTTAGAATCAATTACAGTACCTGGTTCATAGTAAATGCTTAAGAAATATTTGTCAAGAAACAAACTCATGTTTTAATTTAAACTTAATTATGTAAAGTCAATTTTTAAGCACTCCCACTCCCCAACATTCATTACATTTGCAGACAGCCTTTGGCTGCACTATAGTAATAAATGCTCTGGGAAGCAAGTTACACTTAGTATTTACCAAAATAAAACAAATAAGGATGTTAAATATATGAAGAAAAATCACAAAACTTTCCAAAGCTAAAACACAATGAATTTTTGAAATTACTTTCACCTCTGCCACTAAAGAGTTAATTTATTCAAATAATGCAGTCTAAAATACCATGCTTTATTTAAAAATGAAGACTTTTTTTGGCTTGAATTATGAAGCCTATTTATGCTGATTTCCTTCACCAAGTAATTGGCTAACTCTCCTTTTCACTTTGTGTGGTTAGCTGCATTACAAATATCACATAGCTATTTACTATCAAGGTCAAACAATAAGAGAAATAGAAAGAACCTCTGAATACAATACATTTTCAATAAGCCTCTGTATATGAATGAGTCATTTACTTATGTCTAGAAAAACAGGCAAGACAGCAAAGAACAGTTTCTGTTTAAATAAAAAGTTAACTGCATTGCTTTCTAGAAATCTCTTGGCCTATTTTAAAAGTGTATTCTGGCTTGAATAGGCAATATATTTCTTCAGGAGACATTTCCTCTCCTTTTAGCTTTTTATTTCCAACCTTAAATGAAGTCTAGTATATAAGGCCTGGTTCCAACTTTTTTTTTTTTTTTTTTTTACATTATCTGATTTTGAAAATGTGTAGGACAATTCCCTAAGTCAGTTTCTTCATTGTCAGTCAGTTATTTGACAGATACTTATTGCATGCCATGTACCGTACTAAGTGCTGGGAAAGAAGCTGCATGAGACAAGGTACTTTAGCTAAAGGAGCTTATAGCCTTCAGATAAATACATAGAAAAATTGATGTTATGTTTGGTGCACTTAGAGAAGGCTGTGGTTACACTGCTAAGGGCATCTAATTAGGCTATGGTGTCAAGAAAAACTTCCTGGAGGAGGTGATTCCTGAGGTGGTTTTTTAAAAACAACTAATAGATGTCAGCTGAATCAGGAAAGGAGGGAGAGATATGTAGAATGAGCAACATGTGGGAATGCCCAAAGGCATGAAACAACACTACACAGTAGGGAAACTGAGCATTCTGAGCAAAGGAAGTGCACACTAGGGAATAGGAAAAATGAGGCTGAAAGGGGTTGGCAAGTGGCCAGATCATGAATGAGCTTCCATTTAGCTATGGAATTTGAACTTGGTCCTGTAAGCTGATGGAGCCATTGAAGGACTAACAGAAAGAAAGTGACAATGTAAGATTTGTGTTTCTGACAAAGCACTTTGGTGGGAGCCCAAATCAGAGGTCACTGCAGTGACCAGACTGAGACATGACAAGAACCTGGACAAGGCTTAGTGATGTGATAGGATAGGAGTGAATGAGAAGGGTTTTTTTAGGAGATAATACTTTAAGCCATGGTGACTGTGGGGTAACTGAGAAGGCACAGTTTGGGCATCTCCCAGCACTCTGTTTGAGCAACTGATTTGGGATTAATGTTATTCACTATGCCAGGTGCCACAGCAGGAGGAGGAGGTGAGTGGGAGGAGTTTGGGACATAGTGTTTCTGATATGTGTTTGGAAGTGTAGGGATTAGAATTATCAGACAGTTCAGAAAAAGAAATAGATTTTTAAAAATTTAAAAAGTTGATTAGAGAGAGCCATTGGAAGTAGCGAGTGACAGCTGAAGTCATATAGGTGGATAAGATCACCTAGAGACCATGCATTGAAAGTAGAGGACCAAGTTTGAGGCTCTGGATAAAACCAACAGTTAAGGGGCATTTGAAAGAGAAGAAAGCCTGTAGATGAGACAGACAACCAAGGAGATAGGAGAAAACAAAGGAGATGTTCTTCCAGAAGCAGAAAGAATAGAGCAATCAGGAGAAGAATGTCAACATTATCAAATATTCCCTGGAATATTCAGGTAAAATAAGAACAGAAAAAAAGTTAATTGGTGTGATGGCTAATTTTGTGAGTTGACTTTACTGGGCTAAGGGATGCTCACATAGCTGGTAAAACGTGATTTATGGGTGTGTCTGTGAGAGATTTCTGTAAGAGGTTAATATTTATATCAGTAGACTCTGTAAAGAAGATCCATCCTCACCAAAGTGGATGGGCATCATCCAATCTGTTGAAGGACTGAATGAAACAAAATGGTGAGAACATACAAGGTCCTGATTCTCAGGCCTTCAGCCTCAAACTGGGAGTTCCATCATCTGCTCTCCTGATTCTCATGCCATTGGACTCAGACTAAACTATACCACCAGCTTTCCTGGGTATCCAGCTTGTAGATGGCAGATCATGAAACTTCTTTGCCTCCATAATCAAGTAAATAACTTTATAAATGTAATTATAAATCAAATTATAAAGCCAATAATAAATCTCTTCTTATATTCTTCTGTATGTATTCTATTGGATCTGTTTCTCTGGAGAATTCTAATATAATTGGCTTTGGAAAATGCAAGAGATATGAAAGTTTTTGGTGACCTTAATGAAATCCATTTCAGTGATGTATTGGGGCAAAAGCTGTCCTTCAGCAGATTACAGAGTGAATAGAGCAAAATGGAAATATAGGCTTGGTGCTGTGACTCATACCTGTATCCGAAGACTTTGGCAGGCCAAGGCAGGAGGATTTCTTGAACCCAAAAGTTTGAGACCAGCCTAGGCAACACAAGGGAACCTCATCTCCATAAAAAATATTTAAAAATTAGCCAGGTGTGGAGATGTGTGCCTATAGTCCCAGCTACTTGGGAGGCTGAGTTGGGAGGATCACTTGAGCCCGCAGGTCAAGGCTGCAGTGAGCTGTGATCATGTCGCTGCACTCTAGCCTTGGTGACAGAGTGAGACCCTGTCTCAAAACACACACACACACACACACACACACACACACACACACACACACACAGAGAGAGAGAGAGAGTGAGAGAGAAAATATAGACAGAATATAAAACACTCCTTGATCAAGCATTTAGATGGAACACGGAATTGAGAGAGGTATTGGTTTTGTTTTGTTTTGCTTTACTTTTAAAGATGGAAGTTATTTCAACATGTTCATATGTTGAGGAGACAATCCAGTGGAGATGGAATTCAAACACTGGGTGATAAATTAGCCTTGGAGGGATTGGAGGGAGATGAGGGGGACATGGCATGTACTATGCAGAATAGAAAATTGTATTTAAAGAAAGATATTTGTAGAGTGGAATTTGAGGAAATTTTCTCCTGATGATGTTCATTTTGTTCCTGGAGAACCAGAAAGGAGAAAGTGGCAAGAGAAGGGATTTGACGAGAGGCAAAGTTTTGTGGTTTTGCAGCAGCTTGTAGGATTCTTCTTTCCCCCTAATTTCACTGTGGCCTGAAAGAAGGAAAAGAAAATTTGAAGGCTTGAATTTATTGATGCTAGGGACTTTTGGAATATGTGTAACTGGAGGACAAAGGAGATTAAGAAAAAATGTAAGCAAGTGACTGAAATGATAATCCACAGGGTTTAGGCTATTTGGCAAAACTTAAAATGCTGCAATAGATGGTAAGATACATAGAGTTTTCTCAAACTTTATTTCAAGATAATTAACTGTTAGCTAAGCAAAGGAGCGTGAAGGGGGTTTAATGCAAAAATCCATGAGGTGAAAGAGAGTGTATCCTATTCAAGGAAATGAAAATAATTTATCATACCTGGAACATAAAACATGATAGTGCAAAATTTGAAGACAGAAAAAATAAATAGGAGTCAGATTATAAAAGGTGTGATAAGCAAAGGGCAGAATTTGGACTTTCTTTTGTGAAATACTGGAAACTATTGAAGGGTTTCAAGCAAAGTAGCCAACTAGTCATATTTGTACCTTGTATAATCAATACGGAGCATGAATTAGAGGGGAGCAGGAAGGGCCAGACAGAATAGGATGTAGTATGAAGGAGGCATTGGGAGAAGGAAAGAGCGGACTCAGGAGACATTTGGGTGTTTGATGAGAGGCTGGAGATGACAGGGAAATGGTACATTCAATGAGTTAGTGAACAGAGGAAGAAGTTTCAGGAGAAAGTTATTGAGTTGAGGTTTTGCATTTTGAGTTTGAGATGCTTGGGAATAAATAAGTGAGATATTCAGTCAGTAGTAATTTATTCTAGTCAGAACCTCTGGAAAACAAGCTTGTCCTACACACAGATTTTAAAGTCACTGGCATGTAGATGGTAATTAAAGCCATAGGAATAGATGAGACTCTGTAAGGAGAGATTGTGGAGTGAAAGAGAAGAGAACACATTTAAGAAGCATGCTGAGGAACACATTTAAGAAGCATGCTGAGGAAAAGATTATTGCAAAATAATAGAGAAGGAACAGTCAGAAGAAGAAAAGTAAGAGAACAGAAACCAAGGGAAGAAAATTTCAAGAGGGTCAGCTGTGTCATATGTTTTATACATTACAGAAAATGCAGCAAAGTGTCTATAGATTCAGGTCATCAGTAACTTTAGAAAAAACAATATCTAAGGTGTGGTGTGTGGGAGCAGCGTGGGTAGAAGTATGGCAGCATAGCAGTGAGGTTGGGAAAAGGAGCAAGGAAATGTAGACAACATCGTCAGGGAGTTTCATTGTTGAGAAGAGAAAATACCCTTAAGTAAAAGGCATTCCTCTGACATAAACTCAGAGGAAGCATTGTTGAATTTTTAAGAAAGTGGAGATTTGAACATGTCTAAATGTGTATGGTTAGGAGACTGTACAGTGGAGAAGTTAAAATTATAGTACAGGCAGGGGTGCTTGATTGACCAAGGTCTCTGAGAAGGCAGGAGAACATAGGGTCCAGAGCATGGGTGAGGAGAGTAGCCTCAGGAAGGCTGAGGGACACTTCATCCACTATAAAAAATGAGCAGCTACAAAAGAGGTAAAATTGTAGGTTTGGTTGTAGGAAGCTGAGGGAATTCTCTTCAATGGCTTCTATTTTCCCCGTGGAGTAGGAGGCAAGTACCTGCTGAGTAGAGGGAGGAGGTGGTGGGATGGTGGAGGTGACGGAGGTGGTGGTCACAGTCATGGAATGGAGATATACTGCCAGAGATCATGAGGGTGGAAAGGTTTAAAATAGCTGCCAGTGAAACACAAGAAGATAAATGGACTACATTGAGGCCACCCTTAGGGCTGGAGGCCATTTCAGACAAGGAACAATTCTGCGTTATAATAAGGTCCAGGGTTTGGCCATGGGAGTGAGTTTTTAAATTGGAGGTGAAAATCCCATCAGATATAAAAGTAAAGCACCTGGGTGCTGATGAGTAATCTACATGAACCTGGAAATAGTGTAGGATAATCGCAAGTCCAAGGTGAAAGGCAAAAGGAAATCAAGTGAAGCAGAGTGATGAGAAGGTCAGTTAATGCCTATGAAGATGAGCAGATAAGGGCGAGTCAGTTAGATAGCATGTAAAAAAAATGTAAAAAAAGTTTGGAAGCAGCACTGGGAAGTAACAAAGCTGACTTCTTACTCCCCATACCTGTGAGGAAGTATTAAATAAGCAAACCCAAGTTGAGGAAGATTCAGGAGAAGTTGGGATGTTTGGGGAGGGCCAGATCTTAGTGAGAAGGTCGTGAGGAAGGGCATGTTCACAGTAGAGTTTGAATGAATAGTGGAGTCCATTCCTCCATAATTTATTCATGTATTTAATGAAAGTTTACTGTGAAACTACTATGTGCCAGGCACTTGATAGTGCTGGACATACAATGTGAGCAAACCCGTTCCCTACTCTTACGGAGCTTACTGTTTAGTGGGGAAAGCAGTCACTACTCAAATAATCATACAAATTTAAAACTGAATGGGCAGTAAAATGGTGATGAAGAAAATGAACTTATTTCTCTATAACAAAGGAACATAATCTATTCTGAATGAGGATCAGAGACAGCTTGAGGAAATAAAATCTGAGCTTAAATATGAATGAAAGATAAAAAATTTCTAAGCATAGCTGGGGGATGGTTGGAATGAGTGGAAGAAATGACAAATATTCCAGGCAGTGGGGCAGCATATACAAAGACTGTGAGATAAGAGACAGCCCTCCAATTTCGAGGAACTGACAGAAAGCCAATGTGGCTGACGCAAAGGAAAAAGTAGGAAACTGGAATGGGATGAAACCAGGTAGGGGAGAGACAAGAAGGAACTGAAGATAGCCTTGTAAGATTTGAGAAGGATATGAAAAATACAGAAGAGTTTTAAGCAGGAGGGTGGCATGATAACATTGTCACTTTGAAAAGATTATTTTGATTGCAGGATGGAGAGAATTTTGGGACTGGGCCAGAATGGATACAAGGGGAACGATTTAGGGACTACTGCAGTGGCCCAAACAAGAGATGATGTAGCTTGGACTAAAGCAGTGGCAGTGATGATAGAGAAATGATTGGATTCTGGAAATATGTAGAAGGCCAAATGGACAGGACTCACTGGTGGATTAAATTTGGAAAAGAGTGAAAAAAGTGTATAAGGGATAATAGTTAAATTTCAAGTTTGTGCATTTGGGGGGAAGGTTGGTGAGCATCAGTTTGGATTGAGAATAAAATTATAAATTTTGTCTTGGACATATTCAGTGGAAGATTTAAAACATCTAAGTGAAGACTCTGAGTTCACTGTATATATCTAGAAGCCAGAGTAAAATACCAGGCTGAAGACAATTTGAGAGTTATTCATTCAATTCATTAAAGCAAACTTTCTGAGCAAGGGCCATGTGCAAAGCATGTTTTATGCACTGGATAAGGAGGTGTTAAGTTTTAGAGGCAGTGCCTATAGTACTTGAGGATAGATTGGATGCTGGGGCAATGAAAAGAGGGATGAAAGGTCACTACTACATATTTTTGTTTGTTTGTTAGAGAACTGAATAGATGTTAGTGCCATTTGCTGAGATGGGGACGATGAATCGAGATTCATATTAGAAATTCAAGGGGAAATTTCAAGGTGGTAGTTAGATACATGAGCCTGGAGGTCAGGAAAGGAAGTGGAGCAGGAGGTATAAATTTTGGAGTTACTGGCTTACGTATGGTAATGGGACTGGAGGGATCACCCAGTAGGCATGTATATGGTTTGGATGTGTGTCCCCTTCAAATCTCACGTTAAAAGGTGACCTCCAATGTTGGAGGTGGGCCTACTGGGAGGTATTTGGGTCATGAGGGCATTTCCTTCATCAATGTCTTGATGCCGTCCTCACAGTAGTGAGTGAATTCTCACTCTATTAGTTCATATAAGAGCTGGTTGTTAAAAAGATCCTGGAACTCCTCCCCTCCCTCTCCCTGCTATCCCTCCATGTGACATACCTGCTCTCCCTCTGCCTTCTGCCATGAATAAAAGCTTCCTGAGGCCTCAGCAGAAGCTGAGCGGATGCAGTTGCCATGCTTATAAAGCCTGCAGGACAGAGCCAAATAAACCCCTTTTCTTTATACATTACCCAGCCTCAGGTATTCCCTTATAGCAATGCAAAATGGACTAATACAGCATGTATACATTAAAAAGAACAGGGATCCTAGGAAAGAGCCCCAAAGTTCTCCAACCATTGGAGGAAGAACAGAGAAAGCAGAGCTGGACAAGAGACTCAAAAAAGAGAGGCCAGTGAATTGGGAGGAAAGCTGGATAAATGTGTCCTGAAACCAAGAGAAGAAGAAATTTCAAAAAGAAAGAAACGATTCCTGGGTTGAATACACTGATAAATTGAATTATACAGAGGATTAAGTATTAAAACCAGAAACAAAGAAGTCACTCACACACTCGTGACCTTCACAAGTGTTGAATGGAATGATGGTGTAAACCAAAAGGTATCTGAAGACAGGTCTCCATCAATTTAGGAAGTTCATTTTGCCAAGATTTAGGATGTGCCCATGACACAGACTCAGGAGGTCCTGAAGACATGTGCCCAAGTTGGTTGGGGCACAGCTTGGTTTTACACATTTTAGGGAGACATGAGACATCAATCAATACATGTAGATGTACATTGGTTCAGTCTGGAAAGGTAAGACGAATCTAAGCAGGGAGGAGGCTGCCAGGTGATAGGTAGATAATAGACAAATGGTTGCATTATTTTGAGTTTCTGATTGGCCTTTCATTGAATACACAATTAACAGGAATAGTCTCTTATGCCTTAGTCTGGCTTAGTGAAACAATAGGGCAAAGAAATCAATCAGATATGCATTTGTCTCATGTGAGCAAAGAGATGACTTTGTGTTCTGTCTGTCGTTTGTTCATAAGGAATTTTCTTATGGGAAAATTCTAAGCAAGGTATGTAGCTTAAAAAAAATCTTTGTGGCTATCTTATTTAGGACTTGAATGGGAGGGAGTTTTGCCCAATGCAGTTCCCTGCTTGACTTTTCCCTTTGGCTTAGTGATTCTGGCGTCCTGAGATTTATTTCCCTTTCACAATGGAGACCAGAGCAGTAGTGGAACATGTTAAAAAAAGAGAGGTGAAAAAGTGACTATAGACAAGCTAACAGACTGGATGGCATTTAGAAGAATGTGTGGAAAATGCAATCAGGAACCTAGGAAGTCTTATTTTCTGAGATGAGAGATATTAATGTTAGATATATAGGAGAGACTGGGAATAACTAAAGGGGCGAAGCCTTAGAGTAAGCAAGTAGAGGGTCAGTGAGACAGTTAATTTTTTGTGTCAACCTGGGTAGGCTACAGTGCCCAGGTATGTGGTAAATGTTATTTTGGATGTTTCTGTGAGGGTGTTTTTAGATGATACTAACATTTAAATGGGTGGACTTTGAGTAGAGAAGATTGCTCTCCACAATGTGGGTGAGCCTCCTTCAGTTAGTTGGTAGCCTGAACAGACAAAAGAGCAAAAGGGAGTTCTGCCAGCAGTTGGTCTTTGGACCTGAACTGCAACATCATCTCTTCCCTGATCTCCAGCCTGCTGGCCCACCTTGCAGATTTTGGATTTACCAACCTCCATGATTGGATGAGCTAATTCTTTAAAATACATCTTTTCCTCTCTCTTATATATCTTACTGGTTCTGTTTTTCCTTAGAACCCTGACTAATACAGTCAGCCTTTGAGAGATATTTCCCTCATTGTATCTGGAGGAAAGGTAAAGAGTATGACTACAGATGCAGGTAGTTTTAGTGGCAGGAAGACAAAGCAGCTTCTGTCTGATTGTTTCTATTTTCAACAAAGAATAAAAAAAAAATCCTAAAACTGATGGTGGAAAAGACTCTGAAGCAGCTTGGCAGAGAGAGGAGAACGTGTAGAGAGAGGGAGACCAAATATGTAAAGAAACATTAATATCATTTTTGGAAAGTAATGCATATGTATTTGAGTTTTGCGGGCCATGAAAATAAAGAGATCATTCAGTAGGCTTTTGTGTTCTCCTTTAGCAACATCCAGCTGCTAGGTACATGCATAGAATAGACAAATGGATAAGCAATTAAGCCAGGTAGCATTTTGTCATGTAGATCAGGGGTCCCCATCCACTGGAACTTGGACCTATACCAATCCATGGCCTGTTAGGAACTGGCCAAAAGGCAGGAGGTGAACAGTGGGCGAATGAGCATTACCGTGTGAGCTCCGCCTCCTGTCAGGTTAGGAGGTGAGCCCTATTGTGAACTGCATATGTGAGGGATCTAAGTTGCATGTGCCTTATGAGAATCTAACTAATGTCTGATGATCTGAGGTGGAACAGTTTCATCCCCAAGCCATCCCCCTACCCGCCCACCCCTGTCCATGGAGAAATTGTCTTCCATGAAACGCCAAAAAAGTTGGGGACCGCTGATGTAGATGAAAGAAATTAAGGTAATTTGAAAAAGGATGTTGGAATAGAGGCTCATTGAATCTAAATTTGGTAGGGATGGTGTTGAGAATTTGAGAGGAAGTATTGATGAGGTCAGTGGAATGCTAAGGTGAAGATACTAGACATAGTGGTTAGAGAATATGATGGTTTTTTTATCCATGTATCAGAGGGCATTCAGTTTTTGAGATAAGGACCCTGGAAGTGAAAGACGAGTTGAAAGAAAATCACTGGAGCCAAGGAAAACCTCAGTGCTAGGTGACACAAGTATTATTTTAGGACTGTATCAACACACAGGTGATTAGTAATCCTCACAGGGTCTTCTGACTTTGTTAAAGCTCAGCTCTAACTGAACTTGACATGGGAAAGATTGGCCTTCAGAAAGGTTTCTGGCTTCTATGAAGTTTATCATCAAGTAGAGAATATGGAATGTTTAAGTCTGAGTCCGAAAATAAGAAACTGGAGTTAGGCACAAAATTAGGAGCTCATTTGGGTTTCCAGGTAAACAAAAATAACACAAATATATTTTTGTATACTTACCAGGAAGAATCAGTATAAATGGTTTAAAAATAAAAAGAGTTTAGAAATGCATGAGAAATTATTACTGGGTTGGAGGTAGACTATTCAGCTTTTTAATGTTCTACAATATGATATTGAAAGATATCCAATATGTGATACTTTATTCCAATTGACTTTAAACAGCCTTGAATAAGCCTAAATGGAAAAGGAAAATCTACTACAACCAACTGAATGAATAAACTCAACCATGTTTAACTTTTGATTTGTAAAGTGAAAAAGAAGTTTACTATCTTTCTATCTTTCCCTACCTTGTTGATAAAGAATATTAGCTAGAAAATAATGGCTTCTTGTTTTTATAATATTCTATCATTTCATATCTACTTAAAAGACAAGAAAATATTTGTTGAATTGCAGCTAAATTAATCTATTGGGAAATCGAACATTTATCAACAAAGAAAAAGTAGACATCTCTACAGAATGAAAGAATAATTGGCAAATTAATGAACTTGTTTGCAGATTTTCTGTGAAACTTCTTTGTTAGCCTAAATAAGAAACTATTCCAGCTCTTGGCATCAACCTCCAATTTTCTCCCTTAGCTGCAAGCTCCTCAGGAAGGTGCCTTGATAACACCAAGAACTCAACAGAAACAAAAATATGTATCAAGGTTACACTTATGTATTTTCCTTTTTTGTAATTAAATTTTGTTTTCAAAGTTATATCTAGAAATGGCTTAAAGAGTCAGATAATTCTACAAGGTTTGTTATGTAAAACAGTAGTGCTCCTCCTCCTTTTCCACCATTTTCCCCATCACTGGAGGCAATCACTTTGCATTCTCTTAGTTGATTCTTCTAGTGTTTTCTCACTATGAAAGCTGTCAATTTAGCTTTCATTTTTCCTAACTCCAAATATACCTATGCATCATTTTGTCCTGTCATCAGTCAAATATAGTTATCTAGATCAAAATTCAGTGTCTATGTTGTTATAGCTCAGCAAACGCTATTTAAAGCTTTGACAATTAGTGAACTACTTTTCATCTCCTGCCCAAAAAACTCTTGGTTATCATTACAGTTAATTATTATCATTTTCTGAAATTTTTCGCTTGTCATTAAATTGCAAATTCTCTGCCAGATGTCTAAATATACTTCCAGTTTATCAGTTTCTGCAAAAAAACCTGCTGAGATTTTTATAGGGATTGTATGGGATCCGTAGATCAATGAGCAGTATTGTCATCTTAATAAAATTATGTTTTCTCATTCATGAACATGGGATGTCTTTCCATTTCATTAGATTCTTTCATTTATTGCAATAATACTTTGTGACTTTTTATGTAAAAGTCTGGCACTGCTTTTATTACATTTATTTCTAAGTATCTTATTCTTTTTGATGTTATTGTAAATATAATTATTTAATTTCATTTGCAGATTGTGCATTACTAGAAAAAAAATACAACTGATATTTGTATATTGATCTTATATCCTGAAACCTTGCTGCATTTGTCATTAATTCTAAATGGTGTTTTTGTGAATTTCTTAGTATATTATACATAAAAGATCTTTTTATCTGTGAAGAGAGATAGGTTTACCTTTTCCTTTTCTTTCTGAATCTCTTTTATTTATTTTTCTTGCTTATTGAACTGGCTATATCCTCCTATCCTTCTACTGTTGAGTAGAAGTGGTGGGAGTAGATATTTTTGACTTTTTTCTGATCTTGAAGGGCATTTAGTCTTTAAATATTAAATATAATTTTCATTGTAAGTTTTTTGTAAATGTTCTTTCAGATTCAAATAATTTTCATCTCTTACAAGTTTTTGAGATATTTTATCAAGCATGAATGTTAAATTTTGTGAAATGCTCATGAAGATTTTGTTCCTTATTCTATTAATGTGGTATATTACATTAGTTGATTTTCAGATGTTAAATTAACCTTTCATTCCTAGGATAAATCCTACTTGGTCATGGTATGTAATTTTTTTAATATGTTGTTGGAATTCATGCACTAATATTTTGTTAAGGATTTCTGCATCTATATTTATGAATATTGGTCTGCTTTTATATAACTCCCAAGTCTAAAATGGTTTTTACATTTTTAACTAGTTAAAAAATAAAAAAAAAATTCTTGAATTGTGAAAACTATATGAAACTCAAATTTCAGTGTTCATCTTATAGATTATTATTTATAATAAAGTTTTACTGAAACACAGCCACATTCATTTACCTATTGTCTATGGCTACATTCACATGCAACAGCAGAGAAGTTGCAACAGAATAATTATGAGAGAAACTAATGCCTCCAAAGCCAAGAATATTTATTACTTAGCCTTTTACAGAAAACATTTGTTAACCTGTACTATAGATTATCTGTAACCTTTTCCCTGCTTCTTTGCATCTGCAGTAATTTCTGATTAATTGCTTGATATTATCAATTTACAGTATAGAGATTTTGGATGATGGCATCTTTTTCAAGAGAGCATTAAGCTTTAATCTGGAAGGCAATCAATTTGTCAGTGGATCACCTTTATCAGGTTGAGATTTGGTTTTAGGCTCTGTTAGGGAAGGTCTATTGTTTTGTCTTTAGTCTTAGGGCATAGCCCTTATTACATGGTTCTTATACTTAGGGTATGGCCTTTTTAAGAGTTTCTACAAAAGTCTGGGGACTCACCAAGTATTCTCTACAATCACTGTGCCTGAATGCCAACCTATATTCCTTTCAGCACTATGCTGCCTCTGAAATCTCTTTTCAGCCCTCTAGCTTCTGAGCAGCTTTCTTTGCTTGATCTCCCAGACTCTTGTGCTGCACATATATAGCATAAAAGTTGGCTCTGAGGGGAATTTTCACACAGTGTTTTTAAGGTCCTTCTTTTAGGTCCCTCCTTTTTGGAACTCTGCCCACCAAATTCCAGTTGCCTTTGCAGCTCTGAATTCCCATCTCTGTCCCTTTTACCCAGTGAGACTGCCACTCTGATTGGGCACTGTTTCTCTACACTGTCATCTGGAAAATGCCCATAGGGTGAAAGCTGGGATGAACATGGGCTCATCTAATGTGCTTCATTTCTGATGTGTTTCTGTTCCCCAAAGAATCATAGTCTTATATTGACTCCTGTCCAATATTTTATCCAGCTTTTAGAATTGAATTGTTCACATGGGAAAGTTAATTCCAATAACAGCCACTCTATCATGACCAGGTCCAGATCAATTCGTTTTTAAAAATAGTTTTTATGCCAGATATTCTCTCTCTTGCTATATATATTAGAAATTATAAACATTAGAAATTATAAACATGATTTTATATAATACATATCATAAAAATATAACCATGTTTTATGTTTATAAAATTATAAACATTAGAAATTTTATATATGATTTTATATATTATAAAATCATAGATGTAATCATGTTTTATATATTTATAAAATTATAAATATTAGAAATTATATATATTTATATATTATAATATATAAAATCATAATTTCTAATGTTTATGTGTTTTGAAAGGTATATACCTTATCCCCATTTTTTTTTTTTTTTTTTTTTTGAGACGGAGTCTCGCTCTGTCGCCCAGGCTGGAGTGCAGTGGCGGGATCTCGGCTCACTGCAAGCTCCGCCTCCCGGGTTCACGCCATTCTCCTGCCTCAGCCTCCCAAGTAGCTGGGACTACAGGCACCCGCCACTACGCCCGGCTAATTTTTTTGTATTTTTAGTAGAGACGGGGTTTCACCGTTTTAGCCGGGATGGTCTCGATCTCCTGACCTTGTGATCCGCCCGCCTCGGCCTCCCAAAGTGCTGGGATTACAGGTGTGAGCCACCGCGCCCGGCCCTTATCCCCATTTTTAAAGATTAGGAAACTTATGCTCAGAAAATCTGAGATAATTGCCTAAAATTAACCCAGTTTGTTAATGGAGCTGGAATTGGAACTGAGATTACTTGGGCTCCAAGTTCCACCTACCTAGCCCTAATAACTCAGTGTATAAATTCCACACAAAAGTCATTACAATTTTACCCACAATTTTCCATCAGTATTTTTATGTATTAAAATATTTAGAAGGAGAGAATATTGAAGTCACTGGCTGAAATAATTGATGTTTGTATAAGGATCTTTCTCCCTTATTCAGATATTTGATAACTGATTGTATGTAAAATAGTAAGCGCTTCTGAGATATCATCATCTATAGAATTTTTTCCTAATATCTTAGGATATTAAGATAATCCTACTCATTTAGAGGAAATTGATACTACTGAATAATTCCTTCACTGAATGTGGCAAACTTCCTGTCAACAGAGACTTACCATGTCACCATGACAAAGACATACCAAACCAGGCTTTTGGACATGGAATACTCTGCAAATAATACTTAGAAATTTTAAACTCATCAAAATGTAGTCTGACTCTGCAAAATTAGCCCTTATCCACAACTAACAGCACTAATCTCTAATCCTCCATCTCTCTTAGCAAAAAGGTCAATTATAAACCTACACAGTATTCTGGGTTTACTCCAAAGGAATAAGTTTCCAAAATGCAAAACAAAAAAATTACATAAACAGAAACATCGTGTAGAATGTGTGAACAGTCTTTGATATCTGTTGCCTAGTGTCTGTTTCCCTGCTCTGTGCATATTTTCATATCCACTAATACCATTTATAGACTATCTTCATTGATGATGATTGTTCACTGAAGTTCTGTGCTTTAACATGCCAATTATTGTATCCATTTCTTGGATGTAAATTGATTTACCCATTCTACTCCTCTGCCATTTCCCCTCTCCACAAATTTTTCACCAGTTTTGCCTGGCTTTCTCTCCCATTCAAGTTCTATTATGTGAATCAAAACCACAAAGCTCTATCATTCTGGAGGCCATAGATTCAGTACTACATGTTGAGAAGATTCAATCTGACTTAGGAGATAAAGAAAAAGATTAAAAGAATGATACGGGGAAAGCATATGGCCACTGGTCATTTGCAGCAGCACAAGCAATTCCAGATAGTTGTTCAGCAATTTGGGGAGGATCATCAGTTACCTCTGGTGCATGACTGTGAAGCTTTTTTCTCAATAACGTGCACAGGTGCAGTCTATGCTAAACAGATTAGTCAGTGCCTGGTGACTCTGACATAGGCCAAACTTCACTCTTCCCCACATCAGTGGACATGTCTTCAAAATGAGAAACACTAAAGAAGGTATAGCTGATAGCCAACTTCTGCTTCCTTAAGGAATTCAACAGAACTAGTCTGTGCCTGAAGAGAAATTCGGGTGATATAATGGTAAGAGAGGCAGAATTTTTTGTGGCATGGAAATTCTGCAATAGCATCATACCACTAACCACAGCTGACAAAGAGGAGGTAAACTGAGAAGTAGGCATGTCCCTGGAACCCACATGCCACCACTGAAAACTACATACAGATCCTTAGCCCATTGCCTTCATCTCCCTTCCTTTTGGTCAGAGCTCGTGAACTGATTTTGAGGTCAGGGATGGACAAAAGTCTTGCAGCAGGAAAAAGGGAAGCAGCCCTTTTCTACATCTTTTATGTTTAATTTCATGTCAGACACACCATTATGACACTTGGACATTTGACTCCTGTTTACTTACTTCACAAATGTTATCTAGCTACTTAAATATTTTTTTCTTTTAGAGATGGTGTCTTGCTATGTTGCCCAAGCTGGCCTCTACCTCCTGGGCTCAAGCCATCCTCCTGTCTTAGCATTAAGAGTAGCTGGGACTACAGGCACACACCAACACACTTGGCGGTTAGCTACTTTCTAAGAAATGAGCATGGAGTACAGAATCAGAGGATAAGAAGGGATCTGATGCTGTATTCCCCCAGAAATGGAGTAACAAAAGCATAAGGCTTGAGTCTGCATTGAGGTCTTACCAACAAGATCGAAATTTTACATCTCTCATCTTGTTGTTCTTTCATCTTGGTTTTCTCCCTTCCTGACTCAGAGGAGATGTAGAGCATTTGGATTTAGTAGTCCCTCTAGAGAAATGACCAGATGCAAATGCAGACATTGAAGTGCAGACACAGCACTGAGTCGTGATGTGCCAAAAACATTCAAAGGGAGGCAAGCCAAATGTGAAGGAAGAGGGCACTGAAGCAACCAGTTATTCAAGGCAGACACCTGAAATTACCATAAATGTTGTTTTAATAGAGAGACTTCTACCACGATTTGCTGCCAGGTTCAGCTGAAGTGCATTTTATTCATGTCTGCTACATTCGGTGGGTCCACTAAGGGTAAATTTATTGCCACTATTGGAATTTTAATGCCCAAGAGGCTACAAGCCTTGGTCCTGTTTGTAATAATTCTTCAGAGTGTCCTGTGCAAATCTGAGGTGGAAAAATCAGAGAATGAAAGGTTGTTGAGAAAGAACAGGACGACATTTTAATTATAAAAGGGAAAATGTTCCAATTGGGGTTAATTTCTGTAGAAAGAAACCTCAGGGATATTTCAGGTAGCAAGTAGGTTTTACAGAATTGAAATATAGATTGAAGAGATTTTGCAAATACCCGTTTTCTCATATTTTTGATGATTAAAAAAAGACTCCGAATTTTGTTAAAGGAATTGGACCTTGTTAACTGAACAAAGAATCCCATCTTATTTATATCCTTCCATATTCCTTTTCTCCTCTGTTGAAAGGACATAGTCCATTCCTTTTTTGAGTGTTATTTTCTCCCCAATTCCCTCTCTCAGTGGCAAATCCTATCACTGGTATTTTTAATTTGCTGGTTTCAGAGCATTTGGATTCAGTAGTGGTATCAGCATGCCTTTGTGTGAACAAACTTACCTGTTAAACTTACTCAATTCCCTGCACTGAAGCGAAGAGTTTTTTAAAATGCATATCATTTTTCAAGGCAAGATCCCTATCTAAACAGTCTAAATAAAGGAAAATTTGAAAAATATCTCTCTTTCAAGAATCGATTATTAATTGGGATCCGGATCAATTGGTATAAGAATGCCCGGGACAGAGAGTCAGTTTCCATTGGTAGAAATATGGTCCAAGATTTCTGTGGCAGATACACAGGACTTTCCCTTTTGGAGTTGGGGGACTATTAAAGGAGCTGTTAGGCTCCCCTGCTGCGTGGTTTACCTCATTTAAGTCTTACAACTCCCCTGGGAGAAAGACATGAGTAGTCTCGCTGCACAGAGAAGAATGTCTCAGAATTTAATTGCTTAGAGTCTCTGCGGATAAGTTTCAGATGTGCCACTGAAACTCAAATCTGCCTACGTTCCTTTCACAGCACTACATTGCCTCAAATGGAGACGTTTTGAGTTGGTCTGATATGCTTTTTCCAGTTCCCAGAATTGATTCTTTGTGAGAAGTAGTTTTTTCTCCCATTTCCACCAGGCCAATTATGGCGAATGTAGTAGGAGCAACATCTAGGATTCTCCGTTTGGGTTTCTAATCCGGGGCCGGCACCTGTCTCGGCGTCCTGCCGCTGTCCCAGGCCGGTGGTGCTGGATTCCGCGGCGCTTGGGCAGAAACGAGGAATCCCCGCCAACTCCACAGGGAGGATCTATTCCCAGCCCCCTTATCCCCCTAAAAAACACCCAAACCAAAACAATCACCACAACCTAGACCGTGGGCCTCTGCGGACGGGGCAGTAGAGGGTCGGGGGCAACAAGGCACCTCGGCAGCGCCCTCTGGCGAGAGGAGAGCGCGCAGGTCCCCCGCCCGCGCCCCGCTCTGCCGCCGCCGCCGCCGCCGCCGCCGCCGCCGCCGGCGCCCCCGCCCGGCTCTCCGGGTTCACCCTCGGTCTCTCACTCCGTGAGACACAGACGGTAGCTTTCCGACCGAGCGGGGCACAGGCTGAGGCGGCGCCAGCACAACTGCCGCCGCGCGCCCCGAGGAGACCCGGGCACGAGGAAACAAGGAGAAATCAGGACTCCTTCCCCGGAACCGACCGGCAGCTCCGCGCCCCCGCGCGACACCCTTCGCAGCCACTTCGCGGGGCGGGCCAGGACTTGGGGACGCGGCTCGGGAAGAGCCGGGGCGGGCGGCGGCGGCGGCGGCACGGGCGCGAGGGTGCGCGCACTGGGACTGGAGAGGAGTGAGTGGCGGGCTGGGCGGCGGCGGCCGTAGCCGCGGGTGCCTCCCCGCCTCACCGCTTCGCAGGCAGCACCGCCTCCCGGGCCGCGGCCGCCCGGCCGGGTCCTCTGCGCGTTCCCGGGCCCGGAACCGGCACACGATGCACCCGGCTGCGTTCTGATCGCCGCCGCGCCTCAGCCTCTGCCGCGATGATCCCCCCTGAGCAGCCGCAGCAGCAGCTGCAGCCGCCGTCGCCAGCCCCGCCGAACCATGTGGTGACCACCATCGAGAACCTGCCGGCCGAGGGCAGCGGCGGCGGCGGGAGCCTGTCCGCCTCCTCCCGGGCTGGCGTGCGCCAGAGGATCCGCAAAGTGCTGAACAGGTGAGCGGCGGCGCCGGGCGAGGGCGCGGGGGGCGGGGGCTGCGGGCGCCCGGCTCCGGGTCCCCTCCGTCCCTGGGGCGGCCCACGGGTCCTTTGGGACGGGGTTGCGGCCGGAGGAGACTGAGGAGATCGGGCGACGACGCGCTCCGCGGGCGCAGAGAGGCCGCGGCAGCTTTGTCCCGGCGCAGGGAGCCCTGGAGTGGTGGAGCTGCAGCTGGTCCGAGGCGGGAGTTCGGGGAGAGGCGGGGTTTTTCGTACCTAGCCACCCTGTATGTGTGTCCGCACTCACACCCTCCATACGCGTGCCGCCTCACTTCCCTTTCCCTCTCGCACCCCGGCTTTGCGATCGGGGGTCGGGGGGACGCGGGGACCCGGCCAGGGCTGAGGAGGGAGGCGCGGGGCTGCAGAGATGGCGTGGAAGTCCTGGGCCTCGTGCTGTCCTCCGCCCCGCCCCGCCCGGGGGCTTCGACCCCTTGCCGGGGGAATGGGGTCGCAGCGACAGCCTAGCAGGCGGAGGGAACCCACTTCTCCAGCCTGACGCTCCAGTCGCCTCTCGGACTCTTCCTGGCTGGGAGCAGCGAAGAGAGGGCTAGAGGCCTGGAACAGACCCAGCAAAGTGCAAAACATTGCGGGCAGGGTGTGAGCCGGCGGCGCCCAGTTATTCCGAAGCGCCCATGCCGGAGGGGGCGGGTGCCGATCGCCGGCGCCTCCAGTGCTGGAATCTGCGTAGTGGATTCAGGACGTTGACGTTTTAGGATGAGGACCTGGGTTGACGTGAAAATGGGGGTACCTCTGGCACCTCTGACTCAACTGTGATGTGAAAGGGACTTTTTCTACTTAAGTAACTTGAAATGGTTGACGAGCTGACACCTTAAAAAATTGTATAGGGAATGGGTTTTGTGTTCTTTTTTGTTTGGATGCGTGGGTGCCTTTCGATGCATCTGTAGGGGTAACTGTTCCAGTCGCTCTGTTCATACAGGTTTCTGTGTGGCATTGTGTTGGGTAGCAGAGATTCCCAACGAATTCACACGGAACTGTCTGGGGCTCAAAGCTCTGGTGGGAGTACAAACTATGTACAGAAATAGAATCTTGAGAAATATCCTTATTTTGGGAGTATAGTTTAATTTAGTTATATCAAATCCCGAACCATTCAAGAATCCCTGGTGGGGAATTAATGCGTGCGTTAGTTTATTTGCGGGTACTTCTGTAGCTTTCCATTTATTATCAAACAGAAAGAAATTCACTCTGACGGGAGACAGGAGTTGGTAATAGAACTAAGTCTTTGATTTGTAGCTGAGAATACCACCTTCCAAAAGATAAAGTAGAATAAAGCAAGAAGACGCTGGCTCAGTACATATTATGTGGGTTTTGTATTTTTTATGAATACCTGTGAGTTTTTTTTTCAATTGCAATTACCTTGTCATTGGCTGTTTAAATTTTTAATCACAATATATTTTAATTATTATTATTTCTCATCAAACTAGAAAATATTGATGTAATATTTTGCTCAGTTTCTTTTTGCTCAATTATAAGTTATTACTGATTCCATGTAGGTTATTTCTTGATATGTAATGAATCATAGAGCCCAGAAAAACAAGATCACTGAGGTAGGAGTGAGGGGTATGTTGTCATCATACCTTGGCCAGTAGCTAGACAAGTGGTTTGCAGCAGAGCCATTTATCTGCTTGGTCTTGGTTTCTTCATTGTAAATTATGTTTAATAATACAGTACTTGTTTTACTTCCCTACCATGATTTTGAGAATTAGATAATGCTGAAGAAAACACTTGGAAAAGTATAAAGATCTACATGAATTAATGTATTCAACTCATTTTTTTTCTAAGGTAAGCCTATGGGGTAAACATAGGCAAATGAAGTTGAAGTCATGCTACGTTATGGGTAGAACCTTGTGTTTCTAATGAAACGATCTGTGACATGAGTTGTACTAGTCCCAGTGTATAGAGGAGGAACTTATACTTATGTTGGGTTGACGGCATTTCATCGCAGGTATACAACCGTGAATGGAACCCTAGGTTTGTAGCCTTTAGACTTAAGCTAAAACAATTATTTATTTATTTGTCTTTCAAAGTTATTCAAAATTTTCAATATAATATTTTGTATTGAGTAACTGGCTTTTCCTTATCCTTAAAGGATAAGAAGAAACTCTTTGTTTCAAGAAAGAACATTTTTAGTAAGGAGACTGAAAAATCTGAGCAAGTTTTAAAATCTCAATGGCATAATTTATTTAGCATGCTGATGGGCTTGGCTTTTGTGCCATAATTATGTCAATGAGAGCCTTAATAGTGGCTATAGAGTGATTAGGCTCTAGGTAAAAGTGAGAGTATGGGGGAGAGTGAATTTTTGAGATTCTGCAGAGTGCTTGGATGTGGCTCCCCTCTGGTTTGAACCCTCATGATGTGTTGGACTAGTCAGTAATGGATATCAGGCAGGCCCATTGGGGCCTAATCATAAGCATCTTTGTCAATTTTCTAAGAACTCACCATCTGCTTACTTTCTCCTTTTTTGCTTTCTTCTTTTCCTCTTCCTCCTTCCTGAATACTTCACCCACATTGCCCTGTCCACTCATTGTCTTCATTTGTCTTCTTTCCTCTACCCTTGGCATGCAGCAACTTAGCTCCTAGCAGAAAGTGGTTCCAAATCGGGAAGCTGGGAGCCAATATAAAAAATATCCCTCCAACTTTTGACATGCAGATATATGGTTAGCAGCATTCTATTGCTGTGGGCTGGTAGGGCTAGTCTCTTCAGTGACTGAAATGGGGGCTGTACCACTGTCAGCTCCTAGCATCCCACTGGGCCAAAGGGGTAATGCTGAGACACAGAGTGGTGCAATGGGACGAGAAATATTAGACTGTGAGCAAGCCAAGCCTGGCGAATTGCCTGCCATTGGTCACAGTCTACAGGAACAGCTATCTGACAACCCAGAGGAAGAACTGCAAACACATACGCTATCTATATCCTGTCTACCCAGGGAGAGTTAAAGAGAGAATTGCTCATCAATAATTAATTAAAGGTACTTCTTGCTCTCAAGAAGCTTAGAATGAAATATAGTGTTATCTTAATAAAATCTGCCTTACATTATTCAGCATCATTTTATTTCCATAGTATACTCCATAGCCTCTCCCCTTACTCTAAAGGCTTGTCGAGTTGGATTGCTGCATTTTGTACACAACAATTGGGGTATTTCATTGGTTGACTACTCCCTTTCTGTGAAACAGTTAGATTAGAATGTAATTATATTCAAGACTTGGTGAAAGAGGAGGCACTAGATAATTTTTTAAAATAATTAATGGGACATCACATTTTTTCCCCTGGTATACTCAAAATTGTTTTGGCAAAAGGATGCAAGAAACATGACAATTTAAATGCTGGAATAATTACTACTCCTTTAATATTCAAAATTGTGAACCAATCAATATATTGATTCAAACAAGGAAAAAATACGGCAAAGTCTTCTTCACATTTCCCTCCCCTCCCCTCCCCTCCCCTCCCTCCCTCCCTCCCTCCCTCCCTTCCTTCCTTCCTTCCTTCCATCCTTCTGGCAGGATCTTGGTCTGTTGCCCAGGCTGGAGTGCAGTGGCATGATCACAACTTATTGCAGCCTTGACTTCCTGGGCTCAAGTGATTCTCCCACCTCAGCCTCCCAAGTAGCTGGGAATACAGGTGCACACCACCATGCCTGGCTATTTTTAAAAAATTTTTAAATTTTTAGTAGAATCGAGGTCTCGTTCTGTTTCCCAGGCTGGCCTCAAACTCCAGGCCTCAAGTCACCCTCCCACCTTGGCCTTCCAAAGTGCTGCAATTGCAGACATGAGCCACTGTGCCTGGCCTTCCCTTATTTCTTAGCATGGTATAGTATATATTACCCTGCCACAGGCAATCAGAAAATGACGAAAAGAAAATACTTCAAGGGCAACAGTTGATGACCCTCTCAAAGAAACTGCTGATCAGGTAGATTTCTTAGACACATACAGGAGTAGCTACTGACCTACATATTAAAGTGCCTGAAGATTTTGTACTCTAAATGATTTCTTAATGAAATGTTTTTGAGAAATGAGTGATAGCTTGTTTTGTGTTTTGCATATGTGTGCTTTTATCTTTTCCCACATGAGTATTATTTTCAGTTGTTAACAGAAATATCTGTGAATTTCTTGTTTTGATACACTTTCTTCCCATTAAGACATACAGTGGGTTGTCTCAAATTATAAAGGGGTTTCTGCCTCTTTGAGTCTTATGGCGGGAATGTTTAATCATTAGAATGGAATCACTACTGATTCTGACTCATCCATTCATTTGATTTAGAATGAACTGATTTCCAACTTATATTTAGATTTATTTTCAAATTTCTGAAACCTTTTTGAATATAAACCAAAGATCGTTAAGGATATACATAGAAGAGTTTGAAGCAAGCCTACATAAAATCAATGTCCAAGTAGGAAACTTACCATGTAAAATGGGACAATATGTGTACATAGCCTTTCTGAGTCATTAAATAAGGTGGACAGAACATCATGAACCAATGGATATGACTGAACTCTAGGTATTCCATACAGTTGGTGGAAACATATAATTTAGATGATCCTTTCTGATCAAGTGAGAAGGCTTTTGTTAGGAAATTAATGGTGAGAATCTTCCTCAAGCTGCTCCGTCTAAAACATGTCAAAATGAAAAGAGGAAGATCAGCTAGTAATGAGGTTGATTAATATAAAATATTCCAAGTGGAACTGGGTGGTGTGATTAAAAACAGACTTTTCTAAGATCAGTAGTAAAGAAAAGATGTCTGAAGGGTGCATTTGTTTTTAACTAAAAGGACAAAATTATAAAAATAAATGATTATACCAGTATACTTGTATTTATGCCCAGTGCTTGGAGAAACTAATGTTCACATTAAAGGGATATTTGGATTACCTCAGATAAAGATGATGTGTTTTCAGGTAATTAACGTGTATTAAAATATACTTGTCTTTGTGTGATTTTCTTTGAACTTTTACTTTCTCAAAATCCTTCAGTGTCTTAGGGGCATCTTAACTGATGTCTGTTTTCACTGTACACATCTATAGATGTAGAAGGTATAGGCAATTGAGCTGCTGCTCATATCGCTCATATAGCTCTAAAGTTACTTAATGCAAGAGATGTTTTATTATGTAGTTGCCATTTCTCATAAAAATAATATGGAGCATGTGAAAGTACCACCACCAGATTTTAGTTTAGCTTGCTTGTTCATTTGCGTTCAGGCCAATGAGCATGCCCTGTACATTGTTCAGACACATTAATTCTTGATTATGCTTCTCAAGAAGTATGCTTAGGAAGACAAACTTCAGTAGATGTATGGAAAAAACCTATGAATTTTGGGCATGTTTCTTAATGGTAACATGAACATATACAGGTCTATATTCATTTATTCTTAAGCAGTAACTGTATGCTGAGCCTTCTTATGGAATACACACATGTGACGAAACATTATTCTTGGGCCAAAACCTCAAAACCTAACTGGGAAACTTGACATGTGTATCACTATTTAGAATGAACGTTGTAATTCATAATCTGAATTGTTACACATAATGCCTAAATAAATGCTTCCCAGTGTCTAGATATTGGAATAATGTAAATGAGCTGTTCAATATGCAATGCGTATTAACCTTGTTCTGACACTTTGGAATTATACAGGGAATCCTTGAATGTACAATAGTTAAGAAGGAATTTCACAAGAAATGTCAAAGAAAACAATAACAATAAATATTCTTTAGGAAGTATTTTCTTAGAAAAAATGTTAGTGGCAACTCAGTTAGTTAGTGGCAACATGAGTATAATTTTTTGAATTATATTATAATTTAAGTTTTAAAAATATTGTTTCAGCCAGGGGCGGTGGCTCACAACTGTAATCCCAGCATTTGGGAGGCCAAGGTGGGAGGGTCATCTGAGGTCAGGAGTGTGAGACCAACCTGGCCAACATGGCGAAACCCCATCTCTACTAAAAATACAAAAATTATCTGGGCGTGGTGGTATGCGCTTATAGTCCCAGCTACTCAGGAGGCTGAGGCACGAGAACCACTTGCACCCAGGAGGCAGATGTTGCAGTGAGCCAAGATCACGCCACTGCATTCCAGCCTGGGCAACAGAGTGAAACTCCATCTCAAAAAAATCCCCCCAAAAACAAAAACAAAAGAATCCTATCTATCTATCTATCTATCTATCTATCTATCTATCTATCTATCTATCTATCTGTCTATCCACATATATACACACACGTGTATATGTGTGTGTATATATATAGAGAGAGTTTCTATTAATTTAAATTCTAAACTTTGTCTGAAGAATATTTACTATGTGACTCTCTGAGGATTAAAAAAAAAAAAGCCCTTAAATATAGTTTTGCAAGTTCCGAGATTATAAGCCACCAATTCCTAATAAATTCCATTTAAAAAAATAGAGAAACCTACTATAACTGAACAAACACTGAATAGATTTTTAAAACCAAATCATACTAATTATATACAGATTTAGAGTGACAGGGCTACAATTTGTGATCATATCTGAGTCTGAGAAAGCACAAAGCACTCTGGTCTGTCGTATAAGATAGATCTCCTCACATTCATTGATTCATTCATGCAGGGAGAATTTTATTCAATGAGTGTTTATTGAGTGACTATTATATGTTGGGCACTGCTGGATCACAATGGCTAGTATGGCCTCTGGGTGCCATTGGTGGAGTTTCTGTTATTACCCTTTGAATATAACCCATCAAGGGAGCAATTTAACTAAAATAGAAATAAAGATAACATATACCTCTCAAAATGCTATAGTTTCAAAAATGATGTTTTCAAGCTGATCTGACAAAAAATCCCCATAAATTAGTTGTTTCACTTTTAGGAAAACTGCCCAGGTAGAAGACTGAAACATAATAAAATTACTCAACGTCTACATAGATTCAAGAAGCAGACCTTTTTTGATGAATACCATTGAGTTTGTTTCACTTAGGGCTTAAAAAATATTAAAAAAAAAAGAGGAACAGCTATTAATGTTCATCCAACTTCAGAATGTTAGAAGGAAAAGGAGAACAGATTTGAATCCCATTCTTCTGTTCAGGGTGAACCTATCAAGGTCCTTGCCATGTAACTCAAGAAAATAGAGTTTTCTGAAAATATTAATGTGCTGACAGTGCATAGGCAACTTTTTGGGACTTGGGGACATGTTTATGCATTGCAGATGGAGAGATTTAAAATATGCAAGAGTATATTTTATATATGGATTTTTATATATAATTTGATACAACCTAACGAGAGTGTTTGAGATGTTTGAGTTAAAATTAGCATTTAGACAATGACTCAAGTTCTCTGATTTTACCTTATAAGGCATATACTTTATAGTATAAAACATTACATTGTATGTTTTTCTTCTAATAACAAAGATTAGTATTCTTATCCTTTTCTAGAGAAGAAAACAAATTTATGTGGTGATACAGCTAAGTGCTTTTGTAAAACCACAGAGGAGGGAGAGAGCATGCTAGGCTGGAGAAAGGTCAGGAGGGATCAGGGATGGCATTTGTCCTTGGCAATGAAAGATGGGTAGGAAAGGAATATGTGCAGGGAGAGGGAGGTGAGACAGGATGAGCCGTTCATGGAAGTAAGAGATTGGGGAAGAATTAAGTGTCCAGTTTGACAATATTATAGGATGCGTCAATACAAAGGGAAGAAGAGGGAATTAAGGCTAGATTTGTAGGATGGGATCAGATAACTGAAAGTCTTAGATGCTCTAATAAGCAGTTAGACTTATTAAGTTATTTTAGGTTACTGAGTAGAGAAATGACATGATCAGAGATGTGCCCAAATATGATACTCTGGGGGAAAATCTATAGGACAAAAGGAGAAGGAAAAGACCAGAGTTTGGGGATCAGTTAGGAGGCTACTGCAGTCATTTAGAGGGGAAGAAATGTGAGTCTAAGTGGGGTGGAGGCAGCCAGGACGGAGAGGGAAGTGCTCTGATTTGAACAGAATCTGGACCAGGTCAGCTAAAAGAAGATTTGATTATTTTTGAGAAGGCACTCAGCAGTGCCTGTCAAATAATGGGTATTTAATACTTGTTTGTTGAAAGGTTATTGAAAGCCACTACAGGAAAGAGATCTGCTCTCCAGGGCCTAGGGTGCTGAGTGAGCTAGAGGCTGCTGGGAGGACAGCAGCTAGCTATTCAGACCGTGGGCTATGGATGCCTGCCGGACTACAGACTGTGTGGCCAGACCGTGATGAGAACAGAAATTGGGAGTAAGCATTTAGAAATAACTGTAGCAGTTTGAGAGAGCACTTTTATATTTTTTGTCCTAATATTTAAGAATCGGGTCTTGTATTTTGGTTTTTGTTTTTTTCCATCTCATTTTTTCTCATAATTGATTTTTATTGTATTTCACAAAAGTATTGTCTTCTATGAATTGTTAAAAAACGGGTATTTTATGACAGAATGTTTGAGAAGCACTGGTGCCAGCCAGATATCCAAGTGGAAGTAAGAGTGAATTTGGATTCTGGGAGTGCATCTAATCATGGATGGGGGGAGCGGTTCCTCATTGTGGGGGCATCAGGTTGGTACTAGTCATGACCCTGAAAATCTGTACCTATAAGGTGATGATGTGGAAGCAGTAGAGTAAGGCTGACAATAGCTACAAGTATCAAGGCCCCAGCCAAATGGCCTGGTCTTCAGCTGGGGCACCTTGCCTGAAAGGGATGCCCTGGAATGTGAGGCAGGGAAACTATTTAGGAGTACAGGACAGCAGCCCAGGTCTGTAGAATGGGCAGTAAGTGGGGAGTAAGACTTTTCAGAGATCACGCAATTAAGGAGGTCACATTCTGTGTTTGGGTGACAGGAAGGTGGGTCAGGGTTACCTGGGGTCCCAACATGAGTGGCCAGACCACTGATACAGCTTCACCTCAAGCTCTGAGGAGCACAGACCAGGAGCCCCTCAGCCATTTAACAAAGAATTACTGAGTCAGGTTAGAGGCACAATCTAGCTGTTAGGGATACTTCGGGAAACAAAGCAGAAAAGACCTCCACTCTCATGGAGACTACATTCTACAAGAAAGGCAGGCAATAAAAACATGAAAAAGGTATCCAACAGTGGCAAATAATATGCAGAGAATCAAAGTGGGGTGATGTGACAGAGAGGGAACAGGTGGTACTTCAATTTGGCTGGTCAGGCCTCTCTCTCTCTCTCTGATGACACTGAAGCTAAGATTAGAATAGCCAAAAGGAAATGGCCACTGGAGGGTCTGGAGGAAAGTCATTCCAGGCAGAGATGCTAAGATGAAACAAGTCTTCATAATGATGTGAAAGAAAGGGAGGCTGGAGAGCAGGAAACAGGAGAGCATAAGTGAGGAGGTCAGAGAGGGTCAGTTGTCAGTTCTAAGTGGGCTGGGGAACAAGTGGAAGATTTTAAGCAGAGGAGTTGTCTGGCTAATGTTTTGAAAAGACCACTCTGGCTGCTGTTGGAGAATGGATTGCGGGAGAAGTACATACCTACTAGATGAAAGAGATGTTGGAAGCTGGCTGGCCTGTAGCAACAGAAGTGGAGACAAGCGGTTGTGATCTGCAGTGGTTTGCACTGGGAGGTGGAGTACACAGGACTGGTTGAGTGATTTGACAGGGCAGATGAGGGAGAGGAATAAAGAAACATTTCCAGTTTTTTGGGCTTGAGCAATTGGGTGAGCGATGGTGCCATTTTCTAAGGTGGGAAAGACTGGGAGAGGAACATGTTTGATGGTAGGAATTAAAGAGTTTACTTTGGCAAGTAAAGTTAGAGATGTGTAGTGAAACGGTCAAAAGAAAGCTGGAGTGTGGAATTCTGGGGAGAAGTCGGAGTGTGGAATTCTGGGGAGAAGTCAGAGCTTGGAATTTGGATTTGGGGATCATGAGTCCTGGATGCATGTGTAGATAGAGAGAAAGAGGGGTACCAAGAACAATTTGGGGGGCACACTAACCCTCAAACACAGAAGGACTCAGCAAAGGAACTGGAGAAGGAAGGATCTGAAGTAGGAAGGAAACCAGGAGAGTATGGTGTCCAGAAGCCAAGAGAGAAGATGTTTCCAGAAGGAGGCAATAAGCAGTCCACTGTGCTGAGAGTAATTGAGGAAAGGACAGATAAATGACCAGTGGCTTGGCAACACAGGGAACCCTGTGGCTGTGGCAACCACAGGGTCAGAGGAGTGGTGCAGCTGGAAATGTGGATGGAATGGTTTGGGAGGGAATGTGAGGTGGAGGTGTTGAGAATATGACTTTTGAGAAATTTTGTCCTAACAAGGAATAGAGTGTAAGGAGAGTCTTTTAATGGGAGAGATAATACAACAGGTCTGTGTGCTTATGGGAATGCTGTACTGAAGAGGGAAAATTGCAGGAAGGAGTGAGATAAAGGAAGGAGGGAACCTTGAGAAGGCTCAGATGGTGGAATTCAAAGCATGGTGGGGAGGAACTAGTCTTTGACAGGACTAGGACACTGTCCATAGTACAGAGGAGACACTGAGAATGGGGGTGTAAATGAAGGTAATTTGGTAGATTTCATGATTTCGTGGTGGGAATCATAGGCAGTTCCTCTCTGGTGGCTTCTCTTTCTCTGTGAACTCTGAGGCAAGGATATCAATAGTGAACAAAGATGCTAGTTGTTGGGGGAGGTGTGTAGGATGTTTGTACAAAGAGAAGTGGGAAACAGTCATTTCGAAGAGTAAGAAAGGAAATATACTAAAGAAGTGTTATGTGTAAAGTTGACATTTGTGGTGGGGATTCAGTAGAGGGCGTGATGAGCAGAAAGAAGCTACCGCTGTTTAGAATCTGCGACCTTGGAAAAGATGAACTCAGATCTGTGCCCAAGAAGCCAGAACCATCATCTTATAAATGAGGATAGTGGGGCAGTGCATATTTGAGGGGGCTCAGTAGGACTTGGGTCCTGATTGTACTGGGGAGTGGGGTATGAGAGAGAGAGAAGAGGGAATTAAGATAATTTTAAAATAATTTTTTTTTTAAGAGACAAAGTTTCACGCCATCATCCAGGCTGGAGTGCAGTGGTGCAATCATAGCTCACTGCAGCCTGAAACTCCTGGGTTCAAGTGATCTTCCTGCCTCAGCCTCCCGAGTAGCTAAGACTACAGGTGTGCACCACCATGCTGGGCTAATTTTTAATTTTTTTTTGTAGAGATGTTGGTCTTGCAATGTTCCCCAGGCTGGTCTTGAACTGGGTTCACGTGATGTTCCCACCTTGGACTCCCAGTGTGTTGGAATTACAGCCATGAGCCATCACACCTGGTGATGAGATGTGACTTAGCAATCACTTCAAGGTTTTATGTCTGGTCCACTGGAGTGATGGTGTCCCCTTTAGCCTGTGTCGTATGTTTTGTTTCAGGAAAACAGCTTAACTTTTGGGGGTTTCAATTCTCTCATTTGTAAACTGGTTAAAATAATTCTAGTTTTTCATTTCCCCTTGGATGTTTGGGAATTTTACATGCAATAACATCTGGGAGAGGGCTTGGAAAGCTGCCAAGCACCATGTAACTGTTATCCTGGTCCCAAAATTAAAAGGAGAGCCTGGGTTTTCGTGGCTTTGCGCTGTCATCTGGCCTGTGATAAATGCTGACCGGCTTCCTCGGCTCGCAGTGACTTTGATGCATAGTCCCTACTCTGGGGACTGTCGTTTTTGTCATGAGCCTTGTCAGTCAGAGTCTGAAGTGAAACCCACCGATCTATGAACTAGGACACTAGGCTGTTTACTTCAATGTGTTCATGTTTGTTTATATATATGTGTGCATATAAAGTATAAATATATGTAACAGAAAGTAAAAATGCATATGTATTTAATAAAAGTATAAATATATGTATTTATGGAAAGTATATAGCAAGCCTCCTCTTGGGAAGGCGATTTCAGCACTAGCATATGTTCTGCTGTCTAATTGTGCCTCTCAGCCCAGGAGCTCCGCGGTACCTGTGGTTCCTGAAAGAGAGTTTGACAGGCTTCAGGAAAGGGTTAGTGCCTCTTGAACTGGGGAGATTACAAAACGAGCGTGGGCCTAAAAGGCTCCACAGAGGCAGGCAGCGGGATGGATAGAGCGGCTCAGAGGGAAGGGACAGAGCCGCTTTAATGTGCTAATGAGGGGAAGCCCAGATGCCAGCGGGCTCAGTGGAGCTCTTTGTGACGCCGGGTTCCCGGGGCTGGCTGGAGTCTCTGTACCTATCTGGATCCTGCTGCAGGCCGGGGAAACACTGCGCTCTTAGAGAGGGGCCCTGTCCTCCACAGATAGCCCCGCAGACCCTCGGAACGCGGGTGGACGGGGAGGGCGTGCGCGAGCCTCGGGGCTTGGGTGGTGGCTGGAAAAGGGAGAACCAGGAGGCGGGGGAGGGGCGCTCGGACTACAGAGGACCGGACGGGGGCGAGTGTTCCGCGGGGTGTGTGGAGTAAGAGCTGGGACGGACCTTTGTAGCTTTGCGAAATTAACCGTTTTTCCTCCACAACTGCCAGCTCGGCGAATGGCCTTCAAGCCCATCCAACAGGAGATAATCTGTCCTTGGAACTAGTGCAAGTCAGTTTTTAACTACTTGCGGAGAAAGTCTGAAACGTCACAACCAACCAAACAAAAATGACCACCACCCAGTGAGTGCTGGAATGAAATTCATGTTCTGGTTATTTCATTCAGAGATGGCTCCAAGAATGCTAGATGGGAGGAGTTAGAGCACCCATTGAGTGGCAGCTGGGTCAGGGGGTTGTCTTGAAGTTGTGTTTGCATATCAAGAACACAGTGCAGGATTTACAAAGAGTATGTTTACTCGTACTAATCCATCTGCTAATGGAAAGATTGGGTAATGGGAGCTCCTCCAGCCACCCTTAAATGCTGCCTCTAGATTGCATTATAAAGTGTTGGGTCATAACTGTCTCTGGAAATATAAGTTCCCAGATAAAATAGACAGCTGAAGATGATCGATCCATGATATCTTGACCTTTTGTGTCCTATATTTCCTTTCTGAATATTCATGGGGGATATATAAATATTTAAATATAACATATATAATGTGTTATATATGTTATTTCTCAAATAATGAATATGAGATATTATTTGTAATGAGTCTTTGTCTATCCGCCTGAGTCTCTTTTTATGCTTTGCTCTATTTCTCTTTGACACACACACACACACACACACACACACACACACACACTTACTTAGACTGATAGGTAGAGGATAGTCTTTCACTTAATTGATGATAGCCCCCCAACTTTTTTTACTATGTTTTTTGGGAGGAGAGCTCAAGAGTTAGTTCAAGAAGAATGATTCATTTTTAAAGTGCTTCATTTCTATTTTGGAGTCACACTGAATTGATACCACCTAAGAAAAATAGAAGCATTTAATGTAGAATTACCCATGAGCTAGCTATATTTGGAAGTGTGAATGCACCTGTAGAACAGTCACCCCGTAAGGGGTTTCCCCCCATGTTCCTGAGCCATATATGGCTTCATTATAACACTTCAGTTCCAGGTGACAATAAGTACTGTGACTTGGATTTCAAATTTTACTCTTTTTTAGCTGTTCTAACAGTTTGTGTGATTTTAGTGCCTTTCAGGCAAAATTCTTCTATTTTATATAAAAAATTTCTCCTTGTTGCTTCCCATCTATTTCCTGCCCCTAGTGGGATACATGCCTTTTGGATTCACCTTCCTTAGTGAAAGCGGGGTGCTTTCAAGCCTAAAGAAGTATAGGCAATGAGGTGCTTGCTAGCACTAGTTTTAGAAAATTGATCATTTGCAACTCTTAGGCTGATAAATGAACTCATTTGTGTCCAAAGCAAAGAGACCCTAATTATTACTTCCCTGGCCCCAAAGTTAATTCCAACCTGAGAGCATGCCTTCCACAATGATGGAAGAAAAACACCATTTAATGCATTTATAGCAGTGGATATAAGATTGTTCATTTTGGATATCAATCGTCAAAGAAAATAGTGATTATGAAAAAATGTAAATGGGAATGTAGGTAGAATAAACTGGTGTACTGGACTTGCAGTTGGCTAGGCTGTGGCTTGGTGAATTAAGACAACAACAAAAAAAGATTTCTTAGCCAAATTGTCATCTTTATTGTCACAGCTAGAAAGCCATTCATTGGATTTAAGATCCAAGGATTCTCTTCCTTTTTAGTTGCTATTGAGCAAGCATGTAAAGGCCGGAGTCTACAAAGTACTTTTTTTCTAAAAGAAATTTCCACAGCCTGGTATATTCCACCACCAAGAGTGGTTGGAGGAGATAACACTTGTTTAATGAGTTAGTGGTGTGCTTATGGTAGGCTGGGGAAGAAAAGCTAAGAGAGTTGTATGGTAGTTAGGTAGTCCCAGCTCAAAGTAAGCATGGGGAAGGGAGAACAACATTTTCTTATTCTCATTCATAAATACTTTCCTGAACAAGTTCTACCAGTTAGATATTAATTTGTGTTAAATTTCTTCTGTATATACATCACCCTGGGAAAATTAAACAAAATTAGATTTATATCATTTGCATGTTACTTTAAGGACAGCGTAGTCCTAAATGTGATTAGCAGATGCAAAGAAGTATAAGGTTAGGTCCCTGCTCTCAAGTATACATATATTTTTATTTGTATGTATTCATGGAGTACAAGTGCAATTTTGCTACATCGTTAAGTATATTTTAATTTAGTTAATCAGTTATTATTTTAGTAATCAACTTGATTGCTTTCCCTTTAAGAGCTGAAATCAATCACAGAGAAGGATGGGAGCATTACTTGAAGGCATCTTTAGAACATGGGACATTGGACATTAGGACAGGTCTGATTGCAGTGCTACATGCTTGTAGCTTGCCCTGTCACTGGACTTTCATTATGTGGGATAATTAATATCCTCTTTGAGCCAGGTTTAGTTGGGATTTGTTTAACTTGCAGCTGAAAGCATCCCTAAGCATCTTCCTGTGTTACCAGCAGCCACTTTATGACCATGAAGTTGGGGTTTTACAGGGGAGCAAATTGTATCACTAGAGAGTTGGAAGCATTTTGGGCTAGCGGAGAACACATAAGCATGGAGAGCTTAGAGATCATCTTTGCTATCTTTAAAATATGTTCAGGACCCTCCACCAATGGAATCAAACATCATTTCACCAGATTTTCAGAGGCACACTGGTCAATAAATGTTTGAGAATATATCTGTGCAACAGCTATGCAAATTTTGACAAGTTTGCTGAAATACATGGTTTCTAAATCCCTGCAAACTCTTAAAATCCGTGATTATACATGACAATACAGCCCAAAGTCCTTCTGACAAACCAGATGAAGTTTATTTCTAAAGCATATGTATAGTCTTTCTTCTTAATGTGCTGGCACCTCAGAATAAAACTACAGCCCAGCCATTTCAGCAGTCATTCCGTGTGTGCTTGTGGCCTACAGGCAGACAGCCCATGCAGAGTTTAGAAATTAAACGTCTTGTGTGCTAAAGCTAAGCTCCGAAGAAGGAATTATTAGATACCCCAGTATATTGCGATAACCTTGCAAAAGTGGGTTCAGTTTAACTTGATAGGTTTTCTGTACTGGAATAGAATGGAAATTGACATACATGTATATATATATAAAATATATATATACACATACATGTGTATATACACATATATGGAATAGAATGGAAATTGACATACATATATACAAATACATATGTGTGTGTATATATACATATGTGTATATATACATATACATATGTATATATACATATATGTACATATGTACATATGTACATATGTATATATACATATATGTACATATATACATATGTACATATACATATATGTACATATATACATATATACATATGTATATATACATATATGTACATATATACATATGCACATACATATGTATATATACATATATGTACATATATACATATACACATACATATGTATATATACATATACACATTACATATATGCACATATATATGTGTGTACATATATACATATGTAGATACACATATACACATATATGTGTGTGTACATATATACATATGTGTTATGTACTAGATTGACACTTTATATATACATATATAGGGAATAGAATGGAAATTGACATACATATATACACATACATGTGTGTACGTATATACCTATACACACATAGGTACACATGCATATGTATATACACACATAGGTACACATGCATATGTATATACACACATAGGTACACATGCATATGTATATACACACATAGGTACACATGCATATGTATATATACACACATAGGTACACATGCATATGTATATACACACATAGGTACACATGCATATGTATATACACACATAGGTACACATGCATATGTATATACACACATAGGTACACATGCATATGTATATACACACATAGGTACACATGCATATGTATATACACACATAGGTACACATGCATATGTATATACACACATAGGTACACATGCATATGTATATACACACATAGGTACACATGCATATGTATATACACACATAGGTACACATGCATATGTATATATACACATACGCATAACACATATATACACATACCTATATGTGTGTACATATATACATATGTATATACGTATATACATATGTATATACGTATATACATATATATATGTCAAGTTCCATTCTGTTCCATATATATGTGTATTTATATATATTTAAAGTTTCTGTTAACCTAGTTGGCTTTTAAATTCCTGCTCCAGAAAACACAAATGTAACACCTTGAGGAGGAGGGCAATGCCAGAAGGTTGTTTACTGTGACAAGCTTTCTTTTCCTCTCTCGAGTATATGTTGCTTCACTAAAGCAGGGTGTTTTATCCAGTGTGATGTGATAGAAACTTGCTTTATAATAGTATCAAGGATCTGCCTACATAAAGAAGAATAATGAAGTCATTTGGCTTACATTTTTGATATCATTTGTATTGCCTCTGTGCAGGGTTGAGTGAAGCAGTTTCTATAGCTGCTGTAAGCAATAAGCCTCTAAATGTTAAATGCTGACTCAACATAAGCATGTCTGCAGAAGAAGATGATTAGCTTGAAGAGAAGCTAGCATCAGCAAGAAGAAATTCAACTACACATTCAAAAGGAATATAGAGTATTTACATGTGACATCTTCAGAAGCCACCTGAGAAAGAGAAAAACGTAATTGTGTTACATGGAAATAAGTGTGTTATCTCCCTTCTATCATTGACATTTGAGATTTTGTTCCCCAAAGTCTTGCATTGGTTTTCTCATCTAGTAAATCCATTTTACCTCAGATAGTTAATCTAAGCCAATTAGTTTATGGCATTTCTCTGGAGTCCAGGGCATGGAGATTGTTGTTGGTCTTGGGGTGGGCAAAGGTCCTGGGTTGGTACAACCAGATTGAAGATAAAGGACTTGCATTTAGATGGGGGAGGAGCTGTCCCTTTCTCTTGCTGAATTTGACAAAGCCATCTTGCTACCAGCTGCTAACAGTAGCCACTTTATGACCATGAAGGAAACCAGCAGTAGGATGTTACTAATGCTAAGGACAGCAGAGTGGACAGAAGGAAACTAGCTGGGTCCTTGGAGATATTATTTAGCAACTGATTGCATTGCTACATGCTTGAAGCTTGCCCTATCACTGGATTGTCATTATGTGGGATAATTAATATTCTCTTTAAGCCAGGTTTAGTTGGGGTTTGTTTGACTTGCAGCTGAAAGCATCTCTAACTAATATACACCTCTTTTACTCTGGCCTGAGACTGATGACCTTTGAATACAGTTCAGGGCCTTTTCATTTCTTTCAGTCTGGACACATCTGTCAAGGAAGAGCAGGGGCAGGTTTGCTCGAGTGTGTGATGTGCAGGGTGGTTTGCCCAAGATGTAGTTCTGCTGAGGGTAGAAAGAATGGGCTCTATGGTAGGTGTCATCCATACTGGTCTGTATATCCATACCAGTCTGTGGCACCTTTGATAATCCAAATCAGGTCTGGATTAGACAAATATATTGAGGAGCTTGAAGTACTGGGTGAAAGGCCCCCACTCCATGTCATCATCCATTTATTTATTTGATAAACATTTATTCTGAGCCTGCTTTGCCCAGGCTGGGGCTGGCATTGGGTATATGAAAGATCTCACACAGTATAATAGAAAACCATGGGAGCACTCAATAAAAGGAGTTGGGGAAGGCATCTAAGCATATGACAGTGATATGGTTTGGCTCTGTGTCCCCACCCAAATCTCACCTTGAATTGTAATCCCTATAATCCCCACTTGTCAAGGGTGGGACCAGCTGGAGGTAATTGAATCATGAGGGTGGTTTCCGCCATGCTGTTCTCTTGGTAATGAGTGAGTCTCATGAGATATGATGGTTTTATAAGCATCTAGCATTTCCCCTGCTTGCACTCATTCTCTCTCCTGCTGCCCTGTGAAGAGGTGCTTTCTACCGTAATTATAAGTTTCCTGAGACCTCCTCAGCCATGGGAACTGTTTGTCAATTAAGCCTCTTTTCTTTATAAATTACCCAGTCTTGAGTTTTTTTCGTAGCAGCATGAGGATGGACTGATACACACAGCTATGCTGACAACTAGAAAAAGAGGAGGACATAGCCAGAATTAAAAGAGGAGTGTGTGTGTGTGTTTGTGTTTGTGTGTACATGTGCATGTGCACATATGTGGTGGCAGTGGGGGTTATAGAGAATAGAGTTTTAGGCAGAGGAAACAATACATTAGAAGCCTGTGAGTGGGTGAGTATGTGATGAATTCTGGGAAATGAAACAGGTTCAGATGGCTGCAGCCATATATGAGAGGAAGAGATGTCAGAGGCTGGAGGAGTAGGTAGGGGCCAGATCATGCAGGGCTTTGGAGTTAAGTTGTGTATTTTGTCTTAAGAGCACTAAGTAGCATTGGAGACACTAAGCAGAAAAGTAACATGACTGATGTGTTCATAAGATCTGGCTGCCTGCAGTATAAACAGTGAATTTGAGTAGGGGAGCCCAGGTAGGAGACAGTTGCAGAGGAGAAATGGAGAGTTATGATGTACTCTAAAGTTACATTCTAACTACCCTTTTTGAAACCACGGGTTTTGATTGGTAATTACTGCATAAGAGAAATGTGAATTGAGTTTGATGCTGGTCAATGTTTGATTTCATTTGGTGTACCAACCTCGTGACCTCAGACAAGTTATCTAAACTCACTGAGCTTTAGTTCCATCATCTGTGAAATTCAGTAAGAGTACCTACCTCATAGGGATACTGAAGAGGATTAAAGATGGTAATATATTTATAGTTCTTGGCACCATGCCTGAAACATATTAGTCATTATAATGATTAATATTTAGCATAATGCATGTGTAAGGAAGAAGCACAAGAATGAAGGCAGAAGAAGAGAGTCTTTCTGAGCTCCTTCATGGTCTGAGAGTTGAGATTCACATGAAAATCACAAAGTGTAACTATGATGCTATCCTTTTATTCTTTGGGAGTGGGACTTGTAGTTATTATGTAGGCATCACATTTCTAATAATCTTTGATCCTGAAAGAAGCAGAAGTAAAAATCAAGACAAAACTGCAAAGCAGAAGGTGTGCTTATTTTTGGCTAAGAGGAAGAGGAGGGAAGGCGTGTTGACCTCACAGGGCAGGGAGAGAAGGAGTCTTATCCCTGGGAGATGCTGGGAGCAGGGGCTTCAAAAGACCTGTGCTTTTGCAGTGAGAACATTCTGCAGAGACACACCTGGAAGCTGATGAAAGTAGGTGTACATCTTTTAGGGCAGGGACTTCTGTTTGTTTTTCTAATCGCTTAGAACAGTGCCTGCCATATGGTAGATATTGTAGTCAACAAATATTTGTTGAATGAATGAATGAAAGGTGATGGGATGGATGTGCTTCCACCAAGTTTTGAGTTCTGGGATTAAAATTTCTGCCAGGGCATAGACACATGCTGTGTTGGGTTCCCTCCATTTGTTGCCTACAAAGCAGCCTTGTACTTTCTATTGCAGCCATTAGAGGAGCTAATCAGAGAAGCTAATCAATAGCTGATGAACTGATTCATGGAGATAGATTTCTCGAGCCAGAGTTTGAAAGAAAAGAACAGATTCTTTCCTTGAACTGTGTAAGCAGCTAATTTTAGTCAGCAGGTGTTGCAGCTTTTAAAAGGCATTTGGCAGGGTTTCCTTCTACTCCCATTTCATCCAAAATATGTAACTTTCATTGCTCCCATTCCAGAAACATGCTGCTTTGTGAGTGTTTTCTGAGTAGAAAAGGGAATTGTGGGAAAGTATAATCAAGAAAAAAAATGAAGTGCTTAGCTCAGAACCTGGCCCCAAAGAAAATGGGAAATAAATGAGAGCGAATATAGAACTGCCATTCACAGAGTCTGGATGGAGGAAAGAGATGGCGGGTAGACACTGCTTCATGCTGAACGTGGAGGAAATCTCTGCATCACTAGAGATAATGTGTTGCTTTTAGCTTCCGCAGTCTGAATCAATTTCTGTATCCAGAGCCTTGGCTTATAATTTTACACATCAATACCTATTTACTTAGGGAAGGGCCAATTAGTTTTCTTTATGCATTGCTTAAAAACAAACAAATCCCCTCCAAATCAATTGGTGAAAACAACGTAACTTAATGCCTTGAAAAAAAATGGATCCTTAGGAAAATAGTTTGATACATAATTCTGAGATGAGAACCAGGCCTCCAGAATAGTTATTTTCCATGATAAATTTCTAATCATTAATTAGATGTATGCCAGAAGTTGATAACACATATAAGCCATAGATACTAGTTTGCTCTATGTTCATACAGTGCACTGTGAGATTCCAGACGTAGGTCTTTGATGAAGACAGTGTGGACATTTTTTGCTTTTTGGAGAGCAGTTGCACAAGTCAATCAAGTATGCTAACAGCTTGCTTCAATGAGCTGTACATGGTCTGCAGTTATGGCTCATGTCTCACCAGTACTACAAAGGGGTTGGAGAACAGCTAGGTAGTTACGGTGATTGTGAAACTGGCCCAGTTGTCCCATAGAATTGATATTTATAGTTTCTATTGAATAAACATAGAAATTGACCCTCCTAGTCTTAAAAACTTGAGAAACCACATTTGCCTTATCTGAGTTCCTTTTTCAGGAAACCAATCATCAGGCCTTCCAGATAGTATGAAGGAACTGAAACTTACGAGATCACCACATCCGGACAATGAGATGCAAGAACCCTCACCCATCATGATTGCCTTTCTGACCATCAGCTTCCTTTTGACCAACTCTTCTTTCTTACCCCTCTCTAATTCCTGTTTTCCCACACATGGTTATATTTCTTCCCTGCTATATAAACCCCTAATTTTAGTTTGTCGAGGAGATGGATTTGAGGCTAATCTCCCATCTCCTCAGCTGCAGCACCAGAGTAAAGCCTTCTTCCCTGGCAATACTCATTGTCTCAGTGACTGGCTTTTTGTGTGGTGAGCAGCAGGACTTAGACCAAATCCCTGGCATTTGGTAATAATTGTGTCAATAGGATCTATCTATCTATCTATCTACTATATTTATATGTAAGTATAATATATTCACATTTGTATATATGTGTATGTATTTATGTGTGTGTGTGTGTGTGTGTGTGTGTGTGTGTGTATAGAGAGAGAGAGACAGAGAGAGAGATTGATTTACTTTAAGGAATTGGTTTTTGTAACTGTAGGGGATGGCAAGTCTCAAATTTGTAGGGCAAGCCAGCAGGCTAGAAACTCAGTCTGGGTTTCTATGTTACAGTCTTGAGGCTGAATTTCTTCTTCTCTGGAAAACTTCAGTTTTTGCTCTTAAGACCTTCAACTGATTGGATGAGACCCACCCATATTATCAAGGGTTATCTGCTTTACTTAAAGCTAACTGATTGTAAAAGCTAATGACATCTATAAAATACCTTCATAGCAAACATCTAAACTAATATTTGACTGAACAGCTGGGAACCATAGCTTAGCCAAGCTGACACATAAAACGAATCATCACAGTGATAATGACAATTAATGGTAATAGTGAGGTTACTCTCAGATGTCCTGGAATTACTATGTATCAGCCACTTTGCTAAGTTTTTACGTTTATTTTCCTGCTTAATCCTTTCAAACCATCTCCAATTTAAAGATGAAGATACTGAGCCAGAGACATCTGCTAAATTGCCCAAAGTCACATAGATACCAAGTGGCATTGTTAGGGCTTGAACCTATTTGGATCCGAGCCCATGCTCTTACATAGCTTTCTATAGAGCAGATATTAGTTGGTACCATTTTGTTTTGTCCCTTTGACAGAAAGTTGACTTAAGCTAGGATAAGCAAACATGGCAATTTATTGTCTTATGTCCTCAGGAAGTCCAAGTTACGTGGATCCAGGGGCTAAAAGGATGTTGTCTGGACTCTACATTTTGCTCCATCTCTTGGCTCTGTTTCCTCTTAGCATTATTCTGCAGACAGGCTCCCTTTTATTTATTCTGCAGAGGAAGGCAGGACTCATATCTTTTGACTCAACAAGTGGAGTAGAAATGGGCTTTCCTCTTCCACAGCATTATAGCTGAATTCATTTTGTGGGAGCCCTGTTTTTAGGGCTTGAAAGGAAAGCCCTAAACTATCTAGAATTTAAATATGTACTTAATTTTTTTTTCTCTGATTCAAAGTACAGGACCTAGATAGGCCTCTTTTCTAAGCCTTAATGCTAAATTAGCTTCCCAGTAGGTGCCTAAACAGCAAAAGCAGTCTTAGGGAGGTAATAGTGTGACCTAATGCTCGTATCACTTCATCCTTCCTAACTGCTGATCACAGACTGCCTCGAAATATGACTGTTTGTATTCCAGTCTTATCTTCCTTCTTGACTATGGCTATTGGCGGGCAGGCAGGGCCCAAACTTATTTCTCTTAGTAACTCACTGCAGTTCCTGGTGCAGATTTCTGTTGCAGTGGGCACTTAGTAAGTGCTTTTGAGCAAGTTAATGAATCTGAGTCATTGTGGAGTAAAATAACCCATTGTATGCAGCACTAAAGAGTTCTCCAGTGTAATTTCCGGAAGGAACAGGCACAGAACAGGATTAAAGGCATTGGTTCTGGGTCAGGCCATCTGAACTTGAGTCCTTTACCTTTTACCCTTTTAGCCTCTATACCCTTATCTGTCAAATGGAGATAGTAACATCTACCCCACAGAGATGTTTTGAGAATATATTGTAAGCACCTGGCCCGTGGTTAGTTTTCAGTAGACATTACGTGTTATAATTATTGGTGTTGTTCATTGTTTTTGGTGCTAGGAGGTTACCACACCCTATTTGAATGGTTTTGTTATGCTTATAATTGTGCCTCTATCATATATAAGAACTTAGGTCTCTTCGTGCTTGCATTGCAAAAATAAAGAAATATCTTTTAAAAAACTACTTGCTCCTTTTTATTTTATTAAAAGAATAATGTATATGTCAATAAAGTGGTTACAAAAACAGATACAAACAATACTAGTATACAGGTTGTTCTGTAAGGATCCTGATCTCAGGCATGATAAACCTGCAGCTGGTCATCTTGATAATCCCCAAAGACATTTTTTTCTTCAAGTTGACTGAATTATTTTCACTGTGAATGTGGCCCATTTCTCTCTAAGCTCATGTTTGACTAGTGAATTTAACCTTGTCATGTTAATTCTCTTATAGTTCAGTCACTTCCTGGCACAACATTTGATAATCTTTACATTCCAACTACATTCAAATCACTCACAGGGTTTTTTTGTTTTGTTTTGTTTTGTTTTTAACTGCAGGTAGATCTACTTAATTGTGTGAGTAGGTGAAGGTAGGGTGGAGTGTGTCAAGGCTTCTCTGGAATCCACTCTGGATTTCTGGAGATGTGGGGAGTACTAGAAGTGCTTGCAGAGAGGTCTTTAGACTTGCTGCATACAGTGCAGACTCCTGAAGGAACTACTGCAGCCAGTTGCTGCTTAATTATTGCTAGTGGTTTTTGAAAATCTATGGATAAAGAGTTACCTCCAGATCAAGGTGAGAAAATGCCTTTATTGTTTTTTGCTATAGTTGCCTAATACATTGCTGTGGTTTGAATGTTTGTATCCCTCCAAAATTTATGTTGGAACTTAAATCCCAAGGTGATGATTAAGAGTGGGGTCTTTGCAAGGTGATTAGGCCATGAGAGGTCTGCCCTCATCAATGGCATTGATGCCTTTATAAAAGAGGTTTCAGAGAGCTGCTTGGTCCTTCCATATCTTCTGCCACATGAGGACACAGTGTTCATCTTTTTTGCCCTCCCACTGTGTGAGGACGCAGCAAAATGCACCATCTTGGAAGCAGAGAGCAGCGCTCACTAGACACGAAATCTGCTGGCACCTGGAATGTGGATTTCCCAGCTTCCAGAACTGTGAGAAATACATTTCTACTATTTATAAATACTCAGAATATGGTATTTTGTTATAGCAGCAGGAACAGACTAAGAAATACATTTCAATTTTTTTGACCATTATCTATATTTCAAGGTATAAGAAACTAAGGCACATGAAGTTTAAGGTAACAGATCAAGTAGTAGAGCTGAGAGTTGAATTCAGACAGTTTGGCTTTAGTGTCTATTCTCTTAACCATCATACTATAACGACATAGATGGCAAAAAAGAACACCTTTTAAAGCTTCTGTCATCTCTTCTCAGATAAATTAACTTTCTGTACCCAAATCCAAGATGAAAAATGTTAGATAAACCAAATCTCAAGCATAGAGGCTTTTCTTCTGGATGACCAAGACATTCAAATCCTTCATTTCTAGAAATGTACTCTGTAGTGTAATTAGCATTGTCTGAACTACATCTTTTCAAGGATGATATGAAGTTTTCAGGAAATGAAAACACCATGTGGGACTTCCAGAACTTGGAGTAACTTGGAGTTGATTCCCATTTTCCTTTGGAGGTGACTGGCAAATGCAATCTTTAGGAAGCTCCTCTGACCCAAGAGACATGCACACATATTTGAGTGGGATTCCAGGGCCCGTGAGCCAGCAGTTTTCCCAAGGCTTATCTCCTGTCCTGCACCATCCCAGATCTCCCTGATAGACTTCTCGGAAGTTGCTGCTCAGAAAACTAGTGATAACAAAACAAGTTTCTTACGTTGATTTTACTAAAACTGTAAGGATAAGCTCACAACTTGTTTGACTTCTGCTTTTTATGCTTCATAACTAGAAGCATAAATCTGCACAAAGACTTCTGATGCTCATGAAATAAATATGATGTATATTGAAGTATGTTACAGATGAGGATACAAGCATTTATTACTACTGAATTGATTCCTTTCTTACACTTTTCACTCTGGTAGTGTCTCTTGGACATGCATACATTGTCTTGAGTTATAAACCTTATATATTTATGTCTTAAATAATTTATCAGTACGTACCATATTCTATATTTAAACTCCCCTCCCTACTGTTTGCTGCCTCCTGACAAAAGTAAACTCTACGAAGCTCTTCAAACTGTATTGTTTTAGAGTAGCAAATTGTCTTTAAAACAACACACTTAAGGGACTCCCATTTTCTTTTAAGCATTTTTATAAAGAGGGTATACCACACTCACAATATTTCTGAGTAAACATAGATTTCTTGTGATGTAGTGGTTGCCATAGTAATTAATCACCTCCCAAAAAGAATAGTGGAGAATATAAATCCACGTAAATTATTCAGAACACTGGTTAGAACTGCCCTCTGGGCACCTTGGTTTATGAGAAATTTTAGAAAAAAAAAGGATGTTTTCCTCTCTTTCAGCTTCATGGAAAGCAGGATAGAGAAAGCTGCTTTTGTGCTCTGATTGCCCAGCTCTCTCTCTTCCCACTGGTGAGTGCCAGAGGCTGAGCAGCAGTCAGGCAGCCATTGTAGCAGACAGAGAGGGCTCTTGTGATAACAAAGTGAAAAATACGCTTGGGTGTGGTGGGCTCCATGACTTTATGAATATTCTTCATTCAGGTTCTAAACTGCTAGTGCACTTTCTAGGACCCTGCGTGAGAACGTAGAGCTCAGTGCTCACTGCTTTGGTGGATGTGCTTCTGCTTGTCCCGACCTATGTTTTGTTTCAAATTAAAGTGGAATCAGTGGACCACTGATTTCCATTCAATGGAAATAACAAAAGTGGAAATCATTTGGAAAGTTGGCTGTTGATCATGGGTTTGCTCCGACAGAGTAAGGCATTGTGGAGGGAAATTCATGAACTACAGAAAAAGAGCTGCAAAGGGAATGAGCCGCTGAAGGGTGATCTCCGAAATTTAAACTATACTGAGCAGTTGCTGTTGGGCATCTAGGATAGGATTCAACTTTTTAACCGCTCCTTGTAAATCAAACCCATAGCTTTCAATTCTTTTAAAGACAGTCTGTGGTCCTCAGAAGTATGGTGCAGTTCAGCGTGGCTGATGTGAGCCATTCTTGATTGAAAGGATTTCTTACAGAAAAGCTAATGGAAACAGGTTAATAGGAAACAGGCTAATGGAAGGTGTTTTTAGCTAGGACAAATGCAGGGACTCATATTAAAAAGATACTCTGGGACAGTATTGGGGAGATACATTATGATAAGAGAATGATAATTATTAAGGATATATTTTTAGATATACTTAATAGTCGCAAAATAGCCTCAATAATTCATATATAGGTTTACCTCACTTTGCACAACGTATTTTAAAAGGAACTTGTAAAATGAATTCTGGTCTCAATAAAAACAAAGTTGCTTTGGCTAGAATTCAATTCTCAGTTATGAAATTCATAAATTATTATTTTAGGATTATATTTGGTTAAGATATAAATATCAAACATATGAATTAGACAAACCATTATATTTAATGGTTTCATATAAATAAACTCTTTTCTGATATTGTACAAAACAAATGTCAAGATATGAACATTTTTAATGTTTTACTCAACGGTAAGATACAGAGTTCAGTGTATAACCTGTTAGAGCCCTCTGGTGTGAAAACTACTCACTTGGCCGGGCATGGCAGCTCTCGCCTGTCATCCCAGAACTTTGGGAGGCCGAGGCAGGTGGATCATCTGAGGTCAGGAGTTCGAGACCCAGCCTGGCCAGCATGGTGAAACCCCATCTCTACTAAAAATACAAAATTAGCTGGACATCGTGGTGAATGCCTTTAATCCCAGCTCCTCTGAATGCTGAGGCAGGAGAATCGTTTGAACCTGGGAGGCAGAGGTTGCAGTTAGCTAAGATCACACCATTGCACTCCAGCTTGGGCAACAAGAGCAAAACTCCATCTCAATAAATAAATAAATAAATAAACTACTCACTTAACCATCTGAAATAACTTATGCACAAATTCTACACCAAGAAAACCTATCTATCTTTTCCATTGGACAGATTTCTACTCTCATACAGCCTAGTCTTGGATTCAATGGCTTTTTAAATCCACATGATATTAATTATACAGTTGATTTTTATTATTCACTGAAGTTATGCTCTATAAAGTTGCTGCAAATTAGTAAGTAAGCAAATACTGAATTCATGAATATAGAATCATTACTCCTAGGGGAAATACAGGGTTAGGCTCTTGTGAGCTACTGATGATAACATTTTCATCAACTGATTAATACAAACCTTTTTAAAATGTGTGTTTCTGTTGAAGACAGCTTATTTAATATATATTGTTGATTCATAAACATTGAGCCACAGTCATCAGCACTATAACTCCTGCCTGAAGGAAGCTTATCTAATATATGTATTTTCTCCTTAAAGAACATCACAACCTTTTGGCACCTAGGAACCAAGACTACTACTTCAGCACTATGCTTGGTGGAGGGGAGGGTGAGCATTTAAACAGTGAAATCACCAACAAAATGCACAAAAATGTGAAACATAGCACTAAAATGACCGCAAAAAGACACTTGCTTATAGTACGAGAGCTAAAACAAGAAAGCAGAGTGTTGCTTTATTTGACCTCAGCTAGGAATGTGCATGTTGTGTGACTCAAATTTTTTGCCACTCTAGATGTATGTCTGTGAATGATCATGAAAGTGGCAAGAGTATTGAAATGGGGTTATAAATAAGTTTTAGCAAGTAAGCAACTTCACAGTTATGGAGTCCGCAAACAATGAGGATCAACCATACTTCTTTGAAAGTCACCTTCTCTTTGTTCAAGTATGTTTGAACAAAAAGATGTTTGTGGTTCTCTTGATTGAATTTGGTGCCCTCTCTTATGGGGCTGGTTTTCTTGAACTATTTGATGATTCCTGTATGTGCTCATTGCTGTATTTGAGATTCCTTGCTTACTCACCTGTAAATAACATTTCTGCTTACTAGGATCTGCCTTTGTTGGAGGGTGAGAGTTGGGATGTGCTGCCAAGTGTGGTGTTTAAATGCTCCTCTTCTGCATATAGGGACTTTCTGTTTCTTGTGAACACTGACAGTCCAAGTCCCTCCAAAGTCTACTGTCCTCACATGCTGTGTAGGTCCAGGGGTGGATGCTTCTGCTATTGCTGTTGGGGGTTTGGGTAGTTGGTGGTAGGATTATAGAAGGTGTGAGGGTGGGATGTGCTAAACTGTTCCCCAGCCAATTACTGGCCCACTTCCCTAGGACTTCTTCCTGCTGCCTTGTCTGTCATCCCTGAATTTTGAGTGTCTCAGAGTTGCTCTCATCTTTGCAATTGAGTTCTCCTCCATGTTATCTGGATTGTGGTTTTCCTCATCAAAGACTGAATTCTTGTCAGTCTCGAAATCCATAAAATTTCTGTTCATCAATTCCACCCATTCTTGTTATCTAGCACTGTTGTGAATTTATTCTTTTTAAAAACAGATTTTTGGTATTTTTAGGAAATTGAGGTGGGAGTAGATAGGCATAAAGGCTTAGTCTGACATTTGGATCTAATTCCCTACTATTTTAATTAGAAAAAATTACAGTTCTTTTAAAAAAAAACTTTGTATTTTAAAAATGTTCACACAAAGATGTCTCAAATCTGGATATCAAGGCAGGATTTGCATGGAATCCTTTATTGATGGCTTATGTAGGCATCTATAAGAATAAACAAGTAGTTCCAATTTATTATTGTTACTGTTTTACTTACTGTATGATTTTATCTGCTTCAATGATTTCATAATCATTGAAAAATGCTTTATATTAGTTACCTTTTATGTGAGCACCTTCTGCACTCTAACATGTTTGCATCATAACAATGGATGCCAGACACTTTATGGTTCATTATCTCACTAAATTCTCACAGAGGTCCCATAAGGAAGTGATTGTCATTCTCATTTTGAGGATGAGGAAACATTTTCACTGACTTTAATTTACCTGTGGGTTCCAAATAAGTAGTAGAGTTGGGGTCTGATCTAATAACTCTTCGACTCCAAATTTCTTCAGTCTGCCACACTCTTATGGAAGATTGGCATTCATTCCATAATGCTGATTATTAGCTTTCTGCTTGTGTACTCATACACATAAGAATCAGGAAGGAAGGCAGCGCACTACGAGGAGTTAGATGCACATTGCAGGGACTGCGTGGTAAACATTGAAGCATATGCTACAGCCTTCTATTATTGGGTTCTTCTTCATGTTAGAATGAATAACTATTTAAAAGTTCATCTTTCAAAACAAATTAATGCTAAATTTACTGTCATTATCAACCACTAAAAAACTCCTGCCCAAATTAAGGCATAGCAATCAAACACTTATTTAAGGAAAAGAGTTCTTTTCTCCCCAGGGTTTTTTATTTGAATAAACAGATAATAAATCAAGAAATACTGTACCCAGCAGGCCTTTAGCTCAGAAGAGCTAAAAAATTCTCCCAGTGTCTCAACATCTATGATGTAAAAACAAAACGTAGAAGAATTATAATGATTGGATTTATGTTGGAAAAATACTGCTGCTTTTATCCTTAGAGATTATGAGTACACTGGGCAAAAACACAAGGTCCCAATGTCTAAATTCTCCATTTTGAGCTGTTCGAACTCAGAATGAACTCAAATTTAGGATAATTCCCTGCGAATTTCAGGCCAAACATCACATCCATGTTACACCCTCTACTTGTCTTCACCCTCCAGTGCCTGATGATCTGATTAGAAGAGAAGAGTTAGGTCATACTCTCTTCCAATGTGTACCTCCTTCCCCTTATGCCACCACACACCATACTTCAGGGCATAATTTCTCTCTGTGGGTCATGGCACCATATTTAGAGACTAGTTCAATCATCTATGGCATAAAATGACATCAAAACTAAATACAAGCCTGCTGAAATCAGGCCTTAGGCAACAGGTCTAAAAAATAAACTTACGTGTTTCTTGACTTCTCTGTCTCTTTACTATTTTGGGGGGCTCTGGGGTAATATAGAGGAGATGATTTGTTGAAATCCCAAGTGTTTTTATCTCTGCTAAGTGCTAGTTACTGATCTGTCAGTCTAAGTCATCTGAGAAATGTAACATATAAGTAAATATCACTAAAATTAAACTGGATAAGTTTCATAGGACCAAAAAAAAGTCACTCTTATGATTTTGGTTAATACTGCCATACTGGATCATATTGACATTAATAACTAAACTCACTATTCGAAACCTTGATTTGTTCCAACAGAAGCTTATCTCTTCTGGCAAACTTTCAGGAGTTGCCTCACACACCTCACAAGCCAGTCAGGAACCCCCTGTGCTGCCTCCTCATGCATTCTCTGCAGGGCTCACTGCCCCCAGCCCACCTGCCCCCCTGATTGGCATTTTGCCAGCAGGAGGGGCGGATTCCTGCTGAGTCACTAAGGCTCCTGAGAAGCTTCAGCCTGCTCCTGACAGCTTGGCCATCTCTTGGGAAGTGGGAAGGAAGATGTTTTCTTCCTTTTTGGTAATTCTCAGTGGTGAAGGGCCCAGAACAAGGGTTCTTGGGTCCAAACTATGGCAGAGTTGAGTGGGATGGCTTTGCCAGGTCATACTTAGTTCTTTGCCTGCCTGGGATATACGCACATCACAAGGTAGCTTTGTCTGAATAGATTTAAGTGCCAGCTTACTGAATGCTATCCCCCTCCCCCGCCCTCAGGCCCCTGGCTTGCTGTGTTAGACAACTTCTGCTCCTAAAAATAATTTTGTTTTACAGGCAGTCCCCTCTGTCCTCCCTGAATCCAGTGTCCATTCCTTTTACTTCCGAAGTTCTACCAGATATGCCTGTATGTGCTTGAATTCTTGTTCTTTTTTTTTTTTTTTTTCCGGAGACAGCCTCCTGCTATGTCACCCAGGCTGGCATGCAGTGGCGTGATCATGGCTCAAAATCTTGAGCTCAAATGATCTTCCTGCTTCTTCCTCCCAAGTAGCTGTGACTACAGGCACGCATCACCACAACTGGCTAATTTTTAAAATTTGTTGGTATTATTTTGTAGAGACAGGGTCTCACTGTCTTACCCAAGCTATACTTGAATTCTGAGCAGAGACATGATTCAAATGTTTCCACTACCCCACCAAGGCCTTTCAACCCTAATGAATATCAGTAGATGCAAATGTGTCATTTTGAGAAAAAGCAGCGCTTAGCTCTATTTCCCAGACAGATCTGAGTCTGACTTCACCCCAGCCAGGGACTGCATGTGAGTTTTGCATTTATTTATTTTCCTCGGGTTCTTGCCCTTCCTCTGATACTTTTATGTTTAAACAGCAAGTTAAGGTATGCTAAGATTCTGTGGCCATTCTGGATCTTGATCTTCTGTAACCCTCAATACATCTTTGAAATTTTCTGACACTGAAGGTTACTAAAAAATTTCAGAGTCAGTTGGAATCCAAGTAATACTTTTGTCCTAATAGTTTCCTGAAAAGTACCAGTTAAAAAGGACCTAAAGGGAATAAACCCGGAAATATAACAAGGACATCTTACTGTGGAGTTGATGGAAGAGAAAAATAGGGAGGAGATGGTTTTTTAAAGAAGTGAAAGGTTATGCTTTTTTTTTCACTTACTTTCTTTTGTTAAATTAGGAGAGTTCTCCTTTTAAATTAGCCCAGAGAGGTAGGACCAAGCAAGTGGAGTGGGGACAGGTCATTGCATCCTTGTTGCCTGGTGGGGTCAGAGCGGTGGAGGGTCCTCACACACTTTTCCTCAGGTCCTATAGCCCTGTGGCCCAGCACAGCATGGAAGGTAGAATGGGCAAATGAATGTGCATGACTTCAGTTGTCTTCATGCCAGTCTAGGAGCACACAGTGGGTGCTCTTTTAAGGCAGCCTTTACCTTGCTGATTAGAGAGACCCTGCTGTCAATTAGCCATGGCAATATAACCAAGTACATGGAGGCACTATGCAAGAAAACCATTTTTCATTTCAAAATGAGTATCTTAGAGGGAGAGAAATACATAAGGGTCAATAGCTCTTTCTGTGCTGATTGCTTTTGATTCATTATATATCTGTTTGTTTAATACCTAGAGGGATCAAAAACAACAAAACAAGCACGAGTCTTCTATTCACTGTTGGGGGATAGCCATAGGTACTTTTTGTTGAAGTGCTGATGGAGGATGGAGTTTTCTTTCATTACTGAGGGTCATCTGGGACATTTAATCTATACTAGGACTGTCTGTACGTGCTGCATTTGTTCTTGCTTATTTATTCATTTATTTATCTATTTATTCAGCATTATTGAAGCATAACTGACGTATAAAAATAGAACTACCATGTGATCCAGCAATCCCACATCTGGTTGTATATCCAAAGAAAAATAAATCAGTATCTCAAAGAGATATCTGTACCCCCATGTTCATTACAAGATTATTCACAATAACCAAGACATGGAATCAACCTGTGTTCCGCAACAGATAAATGAATGGAGAAGATGTGCTTTTTTTTCTCCTTTCTTTTTTTTTGTGTGTGTGTGTGTGACAGGGTCTTACTCTGTCACCCAGGCTGTAGTACAGTGGCATAATCACAGCTCCCTGCAGCCTCCACCTCCCAGGCTCAGGTGAACCTCCCACCTCAGCCACACGAGTAGCTGGGACTACAAGCACATGCCGCCACACCCATATAATTTTAGTATTTTTTGTAGAGATGGAGTTTTGCCATGTTGCCAAGGCTAGCCTCAAACTCCTGGACTCAAGTGATCCACCCACCTGGGCCTCTCAAAATGTTAGGATTACAGGTATGAGCTACCATGCCTGGCCCAAAGATGTGGTTTTTTAGATTATTTCACACATCTGAAAACTTCTCTTCAAAATACAAAATGGCAACTTGCATTTATATTTATATGATGCTCACTGTTACCTGAAGGCTGCATGTCAAATTTGATCCCTGGTCATGGTTTATCTCCTTCTTCGTTATTTTAAGACTTGGTGTCCCCATGTTGGCTATGCTGTTTACATTTGGGTTTAAGAATTTAAACATATTTTTCTGATTTATAGATTCCATATTAAAGAAAGTGTTTCTTAAAGCAAAATGAAAGCTCTTGTACCTCTTGAGAAAAACCTGTATTTAGAATCAATTATTTTTAGTTTTTTTGGGTTAGATGAGAAAACATATTGGAAAGAGTTTCTGGTATTTAAAAGTTTTTAGAAGGAAATGAGTCCTTCCACATTGTGTACATTCATGGTAAAGCTCTATCTTTACTATTCAGTTCTATGATCAAGATAGACAGGCTTACTGAATAGGGGTCACATCTTTGATGAAACTATGAAGCCAAAGCCATTCAGTAACAATAGCAAAACCAATAGCAAATACTACAACAATGACCCTTCAAGTAAACCAGGAATCATAGAGGTGTCAGGGACATCTTACCTAGTTGTGACATGCCTACTTACCTTTAAGCCAGTGGATTTCATTCTTTTCTTTTATACAATATTATATTTGCCTTTGGAGATTATTGATTTGGTTACTAATATTGCAATAGATTAGTTTTCAGTTAAGAAACAAATTCATTCCATGGGGTGAATTGTTCAAGTATCACTAAAAATTTGAGCCTATATTTAAACACCATTTATATTTAATAGTGTTTCTTGTTTACTTGAAGCTTTTCCGAAAGAAAACAGTCCTGCTCCCCCAATCCCCGATGTGGGATTCCCCATCCACATATGGAAAACCTGGATAAAATTAGCATGACTCAGTAGTTGTTGTTGATCACCCTGGAGTTATCTAAGCAGATATTCTTCTTCATTGTATCATCATTAGGTTAATAGTAACCTTATATTTGAATACATCTGTGTGCCAGGAAGACCTTTTTCTCAAGATCTTAAGCATCATTGTCATGGAGGAGAGTAAAGTGTCAGAAAGGTCAATGACATGTATTTTATCAAAATTATCATTTAATACTCTCAACAACACTTTGCAGTATCACATCTTTTTACAGACATTGGTACTTACCCAGCAGAACCTCAGTCACTTGTTTAAGATGATGCAGCTGGTGGTAGAGTGGGCTTGAATTCGAGTCTCACTGACACCAAGGCCCATGCTCTTGTTCTGGGATTCTGACCTAATTCTATTGTTGTTACAGAATATGAATTACATAGACACTGAGAGCTTAGATATTGTAAATATCCAGGAAAGGGGGAGAAGAGTTTTTTGAATATGTAGTCAAGAGATCAACATCACTTCGTTATAGAATGTTTTGACCCTGAGAATGTTCATGACTTTCTGTTCATAAATTTAAATTTTTAAAACTTAATTAACACTGGTTAGTCTAGTCTTTTCTAGAATTAACCTCCATTCTATACAGAACAGCTAAATTTCACTTTTTATGTCCATCTTAGTTTAATGGGATTAATTTCATTGGATGGCTTACATTTTGTATAGCTTTTAAAACAATAATTTAACATATTATTCAACTTTCTGGCATGAATTAAAATGTTAACGATTATAGCTTCTGTTATTGAAATTGCTGTTTCATGAAGTCCAGACTTCTTGGTCAAATATTGGCATGACTGAAATTTTACGAGGAAGATTTAATTCTTCTATCAGTGGTTAGCCACTGCCAATTTTGTGTTATTTCTACTAAATCTAGTTTTCTAAAATTGGTGTTGTAATTATCATTGTTGTTAGCAAAATCACATTTGACGTTTTAGCTATTATGAACTTTATTTTATCTTACTTATTGTTACAAGTAATGCATTTGTTTAGAAATGAATTAACAGCCTGTAGTTTTTATTTATTTCTTACCCAAGCCCTGAGACAATTATGATCAATTTCTCTTAGTTCACAGTTTATCCTTTGTCAATATACCATGCCAATCTCAATTCTTTCAGTTCTAACACAGTCAATAGTCAAGTGCCTCTGAGACAATTTTTTCCTGTCAAATGTACCGATCTTGTTATCGATCCATTTTGGATTGGGTCTTGCCGATCCTGTTAATGGATTTCTAAAATACAGAGGAGTGCTCTATTTCAAATTCCATTTGAACGTGACATGTGTATCTCTAACCGAATTGTTTGGTAGTTCATTACTGCTGATTGACCAGACCTGTGGAGGTAACCAAAACACATTTCCTGAATCAATTTAAGTGTTATTATAATTTTTCTAGTATATTAACTGCTAAGGTCTCCAATGAAGCCCTAGCTTATAAGTCGGAATTTAGGCAGGTGACACAATCATCTCCTTTGCATGAGCAAAATACGTGTTATCAGATGTGCTGTTAACATTTTCTGCTCCAACTTTCACTGAATTGAAAAAAACTAACAAATTTAATGTCAGGAGAAATTGAACAGTTGTTTTAATGCCTCTTGTTGAAGTGATGGACATTGATACCATTGTGAAATTTTGTGTAAAGTTCTTATGGCTTTAAGAATACATCAGTAGGAGGTCAGAAATAATTAAAATTATCTTTCAATGGAAATTTACTAAATCCTTGCTAAAAGAGTTGGCTCTATTTGAAATATTTTATGAAGGAGGTCTTTTCATGTGATTGTTGAAGTGAACATGAGGACTACTGGCCAGATCCAAACCAAATAAAAGTTTCCCATATTTGTAGGTCTGAAAATGTTCTTGAACCTCAGTTTAAAACCATTGATTTTGCTGGAGCTAGAAGAGATTCCTAAAGCTTTACATCACTTTTTATCATTACATCTGGCTTTAGTTGTTTTTCTTTTGCCTACTCTTATGTGCTCTGATAAACACATATATGAATTAAAGAGTGTTCAAACTTTGTAAGTATCAGTCATGGCAGCAGGAACTCTGGCAACAACACTTCCATGAGAATGTTTCTTCACCATCCATAGATCTGATCTTTTCATGGGGAATGTGAAGTCTAGCTTTGCAAGTGTGAAAAAAAGCACTAAAAATTGATGGTTTCATTGTCATTTATTTTTGAAAAGCAGAATAAGTGGCCATGATATGATAATTTTCTGTAATTATATTTGATACTCTTGTTGTCCTATATTTGTGGTTGCTATTCAAATATAAAACTTGAACAATTATGGAGAATTATTTCTATAATTGAACTTAGTCCTGTTCTTGTGTCTGTTTGCTATCAGTTTGCTTACTATATGCTATCTGTATACATCACTGGCAGTTCAAAAACCATTAGCAAAGAAAAGATAAACTGTCTGTGTGTAGGGAAGGGAAGAATCATCTCAGAGATCAACCTTGTGAGGTCAAAATATCCCACTTTGTTGCCAAACATAGTATAAATTTGGTTGTTAGGCTCAGAAATTCAGAGCCATGCTGCAATTGAAAAATGCTATGAATAGCTTAAAAGTTCAAAATATATTGAAAAAATACTGAGTATTGAAATGCTAGTTATTATTTTTGTTTTTATTTTCTCAGAAAAGCTTTCAAGTTTGTTTTTTGAGATCCCCCTCTCCCAAAACACACACATACACATACACACACACACACACACACACACACACACAGAATATATTCTAAATGCAAACACATGATACGTATTAGTTGATTTGTTTCAACTTACTTTACTACCATCCCTATGGATGCATCTGTTCTAGAGAGAGAATGCCTGCATATAAACAAGAGAAATTTAACTAAACTTTACAGGATTCCAGTTTTAAGGAGTAATTTGTAAGCAGTTTTTGAGATGTGATTCTTATTTCAGTATGAAGCCATTCTTCTTTTAGTTTCAGTTTTGTTGTCTAAATCTGAGTGCTTTTACTGTGTTCCCAAATGGTCTGGATCTGTCTTTGACAAGGTACAGCAGGCTTAGGGGGCAGAGGGCATTTGTTTAACAGGTATTAACTGAGTGCCTGCTCTGTGCCAAACACATTTTTGGGTTTGGGGGAAACAACAGTGAACAAAGTAGACAAAAATCTGCATTCATGGAGCTTGCATCCATTTGGGGGAAGACAGATGATAATAAGTTACATATATAAATATATATGGTATGGTAATGGCTGAGGAAGATCCCTCTTGGCAGGGCATTTGGAAAAGCTGTGGGGCTCCGAGGGCCAGTGCTGTCCCCATCCGTGGGTCATCTGGCAATTGCCCAGTCCTCCTCTAATGCTGCTCAGTCTCAGTTGAGTTGCACTACTGACTCTTCTTAAGTCACTTAGAGATGAAGTTGGCACTATTTGGAAAGATCTGTTGCAGCAAAGGGTATGTTTTTCCTTAAGTTATTTGTTTTCCACATATAGTCACAAATTTACTACTATTTATTCAGTACTTGCTACATGCATTGTATGGCTTAATCCCCATCCTGCAAGGTGGGCAGTAGTCACTATCCCATTTTACAGATGAGTAGATTGTTATTTAGGAAGAGTAACTCATATTATGGGTATATAATACTCCTCATAGCTTTTCTGAAAAAATAAAAGTTAAGTGCTCATGATGACTATTTTAGAGAGAGTTGCAAGAGTTTAAAATGATCACTGCTTAAAAGTTAGTAGCAGCATTCTTTTCCCGATTCTCTAGTTTTTAGACCTGCAAGTAAAGACATGCTTTCAGTATTGCAGGTTTAATGAGACTCTGCTGTCTTTTCCCCACTGATGCCATGCTTCCTGGAGTTGCCATGTGTCTTCACAGCAGGATTGAAGGGAAACCCTTTTCTTCTGCATAGTAACAAGCTTTTGCTTTCACTTTGTAGGACCATTTTTAATTTTGGAAAAAGTGTAAGTTGCTCAATATTATGGTCCCCCAGAGTGAACTTTTAGAGATGGGTCTCGGAAGATCTTAAGACCAAAACATCAAAAGAGAGAGACCAGGGTCCTAAGAGAATATGAGAGTTGTTAAAATCATGAGCATTTTCCGTAAGCTGCAGAGAGTTTTGAAAGTAATTGCAGTTTATGTTGTTGTCTTAGAACTGAAGAACAGAAACTCTCTTTCTTTGTGCTCCATTTTCCTGACCAGACCTTAGTGCAAGAATAAAAGGAAAATGAACTGGATTGTTTTCCCTGTGGCACTCATTTTCCTCCCTTCTCTTCACACCTAGCTTCCAAGTCCTGACCTGTTTCCAGATACTTTTTTTTTGGAAAAGGTTGAGGTTTGAGTAGGAGAAGAGTAGTCTAAATGGGTTTGCACCTACTCCCAAAAATATGGATTTAAAAATTATTATCTTAATAACAATGACATCCATATAAATAAACTGATTATGAAAGCAATCTGCAAATTGCCAATCAAATATAATTCTCACAACAATTCTAAGATAAAAAATAATGGCTGATTTTGTGCTTCTTAGTTCAAATAAGAGTCAGCTGAAGTTTTGAGAGATTGATGCATCTGCTCACAGAGGTCCTAAGGGCTGGAGCTTGGGTAAGAATTCAGATCCTATGACATTTAGTCCAGTGTTCTTCAGTTCACTATTACTTTCCAATTTTAAGCTGTCATAAGTTTGAGAGACCATCTAATATATCTCTCTTTGAGATGACAACCTACATGTAAACTCTTAAGTGGTTTGACCTAGAGGAAAGCCATTAGTGGCTAATTGAAAACTCTGTGCTTTTTTACATTACCAAAGAAGTGTGAACTTTGATACAGTACCAAAGAAGGGATGAATTTCTGTAGAAAAACATTGACCTTTTTGCACACTAAGATTATTTAGGCCACCCCACCTGATACTGAATTTTAACTATTGCAGACGTTTTTAGAAGTTATGGAACACTGTCATTTGTTTTTATTTTCAAAAAGCAGTCCATTTTCAACATGGAAAGCTGTTAATTTTACTGGTTCATGCATTCATTTAACAGGTGTTTACTGAGTGCCTGCTCTGTGCCAAGCACATTTTTAGGTTTTGAGAAAACAGTGAACAAAGTAGACAAAAATCTGTTTTCATGGAGCTTACATCCATTTGGGGGAAGATAGACAATAATAAGGTATGTATGTAAAATATATGGTATGGTAATGGCTAAGGAGAAGAATTTGAATTGGAAGGGTAATATAAAGTATGGAAAGGGTAATGAAATTTTAGATGAGATGGTCAGGGAAGTCCTTGTTGAGAAGGTGACTTTTGAGTAAAGACTGGAAGGACATGAGGGAACAAGCTAGTTAGATATCTGGGGAAGAGCTTCCCAGACAGAAGGAACCAGAAATGCAAATGCCTGAGCCCAGAGGTGTCTTGGATGTCCAGAAAATAGCAGGAGCCCAGGAAGGCTGGAAAGTACTGGGAGGACAGTGAGAAATGAGATTCTAGAGATGAAAGGAGGACTGGTAATTGGAGAAGGGCCCCGCAAACCATTGTAAAGACTTTGGGTTTTACTCCTAGCACAATGAGTCATTTGGGGGATTTTTTAGCAGAGAAGAAGTGTAATCTGATTTATAACAGCTCTCTGGCTGCTGTAAAGAAGAGACAGTCATAAGTGGGCAAGAACAGAATTAGAGAGATCACTTAGAATGTAACATCTAGATGCAAGAGAATGGCAACAGTGTCAATAATAAAAGGTGGTAGGATTCTGCATATTTTGAAGTTAGAGCCATCAGGATTTCTGTACTGATTGGGTGTAAAGTATGAGACAAGAAGTGTTAAAGGTTTGTCATCAATTATGATAGGGAGGGTGCAGTGAGCAGGTGTGGGGGAGGACCAGCAGTTCAGTGTTGTATTTGGAATGTATAGTATGTATTCATGTCAAGTTGTTGAGTAGGCAATTGAGTATAGGAGTCTGGAGCCTGAGAGAGGTATTGCCAAGCATACACTTTGAGAGTCATTGTATAGTTGATATTTAAAGCCATGTTACTGGATGAAATCTCCAAGGAATTGAGTATAGATGAAGGAAGAAGAGGACCAAGGACTGAGTGCTTGGTCACTCCTATATTAAGAGCTCAAGACGAGGAACCAGCAAAGAGATTAAGAAGGAGCTATCTGTAGCTAATACAAAAACATTTTGTGTATTACTAGATTTAATTCATGTTTCAAATTTCTTTTCATTATGAAACAAATGACATTCAAGGAATCTGAAAAAGTGTGGCCAATGGTTTAGGGAAAACCCAGGAAAATGTTCATAAATGACAGGGCTTTAACCAAGACAAATCTTAACTGTGTTAAGTAGCAAGACTAAGTGCATGGAGGTTGGGGTGAAAAAGCAATACCACTTCATTTTTTTTACAGTACTTAAGACCTATGAATTCTAATTTCTTTGGATTTGAACTGGTACTGAAAAATTATTTAAGCTACCATATCTTGATACTGAGTAAAGAGTACCTACTCCTTTACTTTACTCTGAGGTCAAGTCCCTTGCTCTCTAACTCACGTTCATATAATTTGGGGAAGGATTGGTTATTTTCTCTCTGATTTGATTCCCAATTATCTACTTTTCTTCTGGTGCTTGAGTTTAAGAGCATTCTGGTTCTGGTGGAGGGTCTAGACTTGTCATCATAGCCCTTATTCATTTATGTAGCAAACATTGTCCAGAATCTATCACATATCAAGTTTTGCATTTGACATTGGGGATACAAGTATCAAATAAAGAGCTCTGGCTGCTGTAAAGAAGAGACAAATGATACAAATAATACAATTGATAACTGCCTGCCCTGAAAGAGTTCCCATTCATGTGTGAATGAGCAATTATAATATAGGCTGATGTGTGCTATAGTGGAAATGACTATTGAGAAGGGATTCGTTAAGCAAACTCAAGGGAGAGAACAAGCAACTTCCTGGTAAGGGTTGAAGAGTACTTCACGCAAGAGATAATACTCAAGCTTAATCTTGAAGGATCAGAGTTTCTCGGGGACTAAGACAGCAAAAGATATTCCAAGCAGGGAAGCAGTACATGGAAGGGGAACTTAGTACAAAAGAGGAAGGACAGAGTTTCAAAGACATTTGGTGGATAAAATCAGAAGGGTTAACAGGAGCTGGATCATGAAGGCCATTTTATGCCCCAAGCGGGGTGCTATTCATAATGCTTTTTGTGTATTTACCCACTGAATTCTGAAACAACCCTCTGAGATGATACAGTATTTATCCAATTTTTGCAGATATGTGTCCTGAGGCATGGAAAGATTGAGTGGTTTTTCAAAGTCTTATACTCTGGGATGTTCCTTAACTTCACCAAGCATCCAAAACCTGGAAGTTAGTAAGAAGAAATGCCAGTTCAGAGTTGATAGTAGAGCTGTAATACGTTGTGCTTCTGATGCTGACAATGTTAGTTCATTAGTCTTAACATGCTTCTCCAGTATTTTCTTCTTGAAATTATTAGGAATAATAATACAAATGATAACCATTACAAGTTATTGTTTATTCCTCTCTTGGCACACCTGCTGTCTTCCATCATATCCAATTTGACAAGCACTTTATTATTTTTTTCGAGTAGTTATTTCCCCTCTTTCCAAAAATTTGAATTTAAAGCCTCTTTGTTAGGTTGGTAAACCTTCTGCCAAGGTGTGATTTATGTGAGACGCCCTTGTGACCCTTTCCAGCAGTCCACGGCTCAGAAAAAAAGCCTCCATCCTTTAACACCATTCCTGGAACTGACTGTTTACTATGATCATTTTCATCATGTAATTATCGCCTTCAGGTTGGACACAGTTTGAATATGTTACTTGTTCACCTGTGTCAGTGAAGTTTTTGGTTCATAACCTATCACTGTAGGTTTCTACTGAGTGATTTGCAAAGGGTAGTGTGTGTGGCATGGGACCAGGAAGTTGGTGCACCACCTGAAGAGCCACAGAGGATTTACGTTTGGTCATCTTTACTCTCTGTCTCGGGGATAACTGGGTTGGGGGGTGGTCTACGCACTTGATAATGTATCCTCTCAGGTGTTGTGCAGAGTGAAGTGTTTCTCCATCTGCAGGTCTAGAATCGTCCCCCACCCACTCTGGGCAAAGTCTTACCTCTTTTGAGTAGCTCTTTTGGTGTATGTAGCTTTTTACTCTGTGTTGCAGTCTCCGTTCACAGCCCTTCATTTGGGGCTTGATTCTATGCTACCCATTTTCTTGCCCCATACCCAATCTTGTTCTTTGGGGTGTTGTTTCTGGCCGTGGATTATTCATTTTCTTTAATAAGCTGGTAGAGATATATTCCTCAAGATCTTTCACATTCTTTCCTAGCAACGAGTTTGACTCTAAGTGGCAATAAGATGATTGGGGGCCCATACATCTAGCAAGGGCATGCCTGAAATGGCATTTATTGTAGACTCTACTGACTTCTAGATTTTGGATGCTTGTGGAAGTTAAATAATATCCCAGAATGCATACTACTATCATCCTGAGGCTTGAACCATGACTGGCTGGACTCCAGAGACACAGTTCTCTGTTACTGTGTTCTGCTGCCTCTCCCAGTTCTTAACATTAAGGACTAGTGATTTTGATTTTGCTGATTTTGTTTGATAAGCACTTATTGAGCATCATTTATTGAGTACTCTGTACCAGCTGCCATGGAAGATCCTTGGCATATATAAATCTGTGCCTTCAAGGGGCATCACTCTTCAGTAGAGTGACTCAAAAGATGGATGTGAATGACAATGGCTCTGGCTATTGACTTACTTCAAACATTCTTGGCACACATAGCCACAGATTAAAGTAAAATAGATGATTTCCATTATAAAATTAAGATGATAGATATAGAGAAACCATCTGAAATAACGTTTACAATTTAAATGAGTATTGAACATTAACAGTAAACATGATTAAAACATTTAATTTGAAAATGTGCAGTGTTGGAATTATAATTCCTTAAATTACAGTTAAGGCACAGAAGAAAGCAGGTGTTGAGACATCAATGTTGATAAATAAGGGCCTTTAAAATAGTCTAAGTCATTTCTAAGAAATGGAAATAAATTTTTTTCATATTATTTAACATATAGTCAAATAATACATTCTTAAATATGTCTAAACTAAAATAAAATCACAGACATGTACAACTGAATGAATTACTTTACTATTCACTTATGTCTAGATGTTCTATTCTTAGGCTCGAATGGGAACATTTCTCTTCATAAGTTTTCATATAATTTATCTTGATAGCATGAATGCAATCTATGAAAAAGATGTATTGTAGGGTTTGCACAGAGCCCAGAATCCTTCCAGAATGTACTGAGGGAGCTTTGGAGAAAGGCTGGAAAAGTCTAAAGATTTGTGGATGAAATTCAAAAAAGGAAGGGCTTAATCTGTGCTTTTACAGGAAGAAAAACAACAAAAAAACCAAAATCATACTAGAAGGAGTAAAGAGTTTTCTGCTGTTTGAGGTCGAAAAACTTAGTTATGTGTCTTGATAATGGTCTAAACATAAAACTGTCTTGGAGATGGAAAGAACAAATCTGACTTAATAGAAATTCAGCAGTGTGATTTTGTCTTGCCAAGAAAAAGAAACAAAATGAGATTTAGTTGTTTAGTAGAATTGAGTGATGTGGGGAAAATTAGGAGTATGTATAAGATACAATATGAGATGTTAATATACTCCAAGAAAACACAATAATAACAGAAGTAAAAGTAAAAGAAAACATTTCTGCAAGTTGAAGGCATGATCTAATTTTTCTTTCTTTTAAATTTCTGGCTTCCTTGAAAGAAGTGTTAACCAGTTTGCTTCTTTGTGCTGTGCAGGACAAGGAATATGCTAAGGATAAGAGACTGGGGAAAGAGCCCTGTGCAAACCCAGGCTAGTGTTCAAGGACCCCACACTAATGCTCTTTTGACTGGAGCCTAACCTTTGCCAAACAATGTCAATGGTGCAAGTAGAGTGGGTGGGAGAGAAGACCTAGGGAAATGACAAGGGATTCAGTCCTGATTGCCAATGGACTGCGCCTAAAGCTATCCATTAAGCCCAAGGGATTTCCTGCAAAGTGCCAGTGGAATGCAGAGCTTCTGAAAGGAACCTGAACTTACAGCTGGAGTGAATGCTGCCTGAGTTGTGGCTGCCAGCCGGCAGCCTGCCTCATGCTGTGTCCTTCTGCAGAGCAGCCATCTGCTGCAGCATTAATGAATGTATCTCTCTCATTTTGTTTTGTTTTGTTTTTTTGACAGAACAATAGCTTCCATGGTGTGATCTGCATTCCGATGGATTGAGTCCTTTGCTCACACTTGTGTGTGTCTGTATGAGTGTGTGTGTGTGTGCATGTGTAGGGCTGGGGAGGAGACAGTGTAAGTCTGAGAACTCTCAGGTGGGGCCTTGGATGTTTTCAAGAAGGTTAATGTTTTAAGTTTGTTTTTAATTAGAATGTTCAATCAATTTTTCCTCTGGAGACCTGTACCATGGGGCTGCTCCTCTTTACTCTACATTTTGCATATCTGTTGTCCCCTTTTCCATAGCCTGAATGCTAAAGGATGGATTTGCTTCTTTCAGAAAATGCTGGTGAAGTATAATTCTGTTAAAATAAAATATTTAAGAGGATTTTTCTTTTTCTTAAATCACCTGACATTAACTTGGCTTGATTAATCCCTTCTTGTTCCTCTTGCCTTGGCTGGTGTCTGTAAATCCATTTGGCTGCCTTTGAAGCAGTAGCAAGAAGAACCCTCTGTAGCAACTGTCAATATTTCTTTTCCCCGTGGTGTACATCAAACTCGAGACTGGAGACAGATTCTTCTTAATTACAAAGGAGAGAAAGAAACACCCCAAAAGACAAATCAAAAACTTTACCAAGAGAGGATTGATTTGGTCTTCAGTCTAATCATCCTTAGAAACAGAGAAAATCCTATTTTGCCCATCAATAATGGCCCTGTGTTTATAATTTTTAGCCTACCAGAACTAAAGAAGAACCTAATTTGGGGAAAAACTTTTGAAGATTGGTTATTGGGCTCAGTGAAGTCATCTAGTTTCTGGTTTTCAACAAAAAATTATTTCAAACAAAATATTACTGAGAACCTTCACCTATAAACCAGATACAGTTGTAACTGCTCTGGTTGAAGCAGAGAGAAGCGAGAGAAGTGAGCAGGAAGTGGGCACTGGTCCATGTTCATGGGCTCCACTGGACAGTCTGTAAAGATACTCATTGAGGGTATTTCTTTTTCTTGACACTGATGGTAGAGAGTAGTTGTTATTGTTTATTTTTATTCTGCCTTTTAACTGTTTGCATAAATGTTATTTTATATCCCTCATTGGTATCCTTTTCTCTCATCATTTTGGGCTACATTTGGCAGAGAATGTAATAGGTGAGAGCTAAAATCTCTTCCATTCTAAAATTCAAAGGCAAAATACCTTTACTTTCTTGTGGTTATATGTTGACATTTTCTTACACAGTTGTCACATGACAACCTTATTATTTGCTTTATTTTTTATTGAATTTTTTTCTAAATATGGCTTTGTACACATATATATCGACATGTATTTATTTATATACATGTCATATACATAAGAGACATGTTTGTATAACTCTTCCATAGTTCTTTCTGAGAGACACATATATCTAGTGGTAGACAGTAATATGGAAAATCTTGAAACTCCTATTTACAAATCCACTTACCAATCCCTGAAAAAATCATTTTTATAGTCCACTTACCTGTCCAGAAGCATGAACAAAACCTCACCCAGTGTAAAAGTTGTTGTTTCCCATCTGTGGGTCAGCCAGGGACCAGAACAGTAGGCCAAAGAAGCAGACATTTGTAGTTACATTTGTATTTGTCTTATAAGTGAATGTTCCAGAGTCCCCAAGTGGTTCTGGACCCCTACAATCTGGGAGTATGGGGAGATTCACATCTACAAGTAGGCCCTATATGAAGGTGTCTAAGTAGGTGGGTAACCTGCCATTGTCATAATGGGGCACAAAGCAGATAATTTATTGTTAAAACTGGGATCATTTTGAGAGTGATAGAAAGGGAACATGAATGGGATCCTGAAACAACAAGTTACCACCCAGGGCATGTGGTCAATCTCCTTGTAATTTTTGCTATCTCCCAGGGTCCCGTGGATGAAGAGAATCTTCAGCCTTATAGATTTCAAAGTATAGTCTTAGGTTGTATAAGCAATTATGAAGAAAACCTCAGCAACTCCAGAAAAGGAAAGCAGTCATATTTTTGTTAAAGCAAACTGATGCTTTATAGCAATCTTAACAGGTTACAGTGGCTTCATCTTGATCATGGATTATGAAAGCAGTGCAGTGAGAGAGCCAGTTGAACAACCATCAGTGTAATGAACATGGTGAATATGGTGACCAAGAAGACAAGAGTTTGTTTTTTTTCTTTTTCTTTTTTTTTGAGACGGAGTTTCGCTCTTGTTGCCCAGGCCGGAGTGCAATGGTGCAATCTCGGCTCCCTGCAACGTCCACCTCCTGGCTTCAAGGGATTCTCCTGCCTCAGCCTCCCGAGTAGCTGGGATTACAGGCACCCGCCACCATGCCTGGCTAAATTTTTTTGTACTTTTAACAGAGATGGGGTTTTACCATTTTGGTTAAGCCAGTCTTGAACTCCTGACATCAGGTGAGCCACCTGTCTCCATCTCCCAAAGTGCTGAGATTACAGGCGTGAGCCACTGCGCTTGGCTGTTTTTTTCTTTTTAAAGAGTCACTGAGATAATGCTACTTAATCTAGACCTACAGAATTAAAATATCATAAGTTAAGAAGTAGGGCTGGCAGGTGGAAATTATTCTCTCCGCTGGATATTTGTTCTACTGCATCCTAACATTTGAATATGCAGGAATCTGTGGACCCAAAACTTCTGTATGAAGGCTCATGATCCAGACTTTGCGTTCAGATGGTCTGATGGTGCCTAATCACAGGCTGTGTCCTTTGGTTCCCAGTTTTCTTGTCTATGTAAATGGCTAAATCTGCAAGAAATACAGTGGTGACCCCAAGATTTTCTTACTCATTGACTGTTATATGCTCAGTATAAAATTTGGAATGTTAAGCATATTCTCTTGTAATTCTTTGAAAATATTAAATATTACCTCATCTATAATTTATTTTGAACTCCAATTAGCCTTAATATTAAATTAAACTTCACCATGTATTCCTAGACTATTCCAAGTACCTGGGAGCTAATACTTCATTTAAAAATGTACCATGGGTAAGTTCTTTTTTATAGTTAATACATTTTTTAGCATTAAGTTGACTAACATTTTTACATGACATTTATGCAACTTCATCTATTATGGATTAATTTGGCTATTTTATATTTCAGGACTCATAACTCTTGATTTTCTAAGAGATTTTTAAATTGCTATTGCCAGAAGAAGTACCTTTTAGGAATTACAAGCAAAAATGAATACTTAAACTGCATTTTTAATACTTATTTACTCCACAAATTATGGAGATTCTGTTTCCAAAGCTAAACTTGGAACCTATTGTTCAATGCGTGGTCTGACAAGTGGTCTTGAGAAATGGATTCCTGTTTGGAATCAAGACTGTCTAGCCTGTGGATACCACACTCAGAGAGGCTGACACAGTGCTTTGCATAAGCTAGAAGAAACTTGCTGGAGTGCAGGATTGTATTGTGTCTGGCTTCAAGTTCTTCATTGCTTCTTTGGGTCTTGAAAGGACACTTGATGCTCCATGGTCAACAATTATAGACAAGATTTCCAATGCTGTTCCAAGAACTTTCTCCATCTCACCACTTCACCAGAGACCCAAGGTGAAGAAAATAAGTTAGAATAATCAGGAACTGGAAAGGGTGAGAGAAAAATGGGGATTGTGTTAGGATTCAAGCCCAGTGTGATCTTGCTTCAGTCTGGTGTTAGCCACTTTTTCTCATGCATGCCTGTGCTGACTCAGTTACTACCCTTGTTACCTTGCTCAATTTAAAGTTTTGTACCTGAACTCAAGTGCAAGCACAAGTACTGCCTGAGGGTAGTCTAATGTAATAAAAAGCAGAAGTGAAAACATAGAACTAAGCACTGAAAAGCAAATGTACAGGCATTTTATAACTGGAAGTTCATCTTCCAATGCCACAATAGTCATTAAGAGAAACAGCATGAGGGATCAATATCGTGCTGGCTTAAACCAGCTAGCTGTGCTCTGGCTCATGGGGATGGCAATGTTTTGTCACTTGGGAGAGTATGAGTTGCTTTATAGGAAGATTAAGAACCTCCAACCAGAGCTGAATGTAGTCCCTGCTTCCAGGCCTACTATTACATGTCTTTTCTGCAGTTGTATTGGATGCCCCAGGGTAGTGCACAAATACCTGTCTTTCAGTTCACAAACAGGTGTTGGCTTAGGAGTGGGGCAGGGTATCTTCCTACCGCACAGAATGGAGCACCTCAAGCTCTTTGTCTCCAGCATTCACAGCCTTCTGGACAGTGGACATCAGGCTTTCCCAGAAGGTGAGCAAGCCCTGATTCTTTGCCTTGCCCAGCTGGAGAGAACATATAAGGGGCAATGCAGAGCAATGGTGCTGTCTTTTGATGTGCTGTTGAACTGCCTTTTGCAGGGAGGATTCTGCCCCTTGCATTGTGGATGTGAAACTGTGATTAAACCTTCAATGAGTGCTGCTTTACTAGGCAACGCGGGGACAGTGCCTGGAATCTAGTCAGTTCATTGATAAAACTCGAGGTTGAAAGCATGACTGTTCCTTTGTGTAAGTGCATCCAGGCCTTATTAACGGGCCACTGCCCAACTCTGCCATCTGATTCAGCCACTGACTAATAGGAGACATTGCAGAGGCCATTTTAAAGTGCCTACAAGGGAAGCTTTTAATCTCTTATTGGAAAATTTCAGGACTCGCCAAATGTCAGTAAGGCCCCTGTTGGTAGGTTAGGATTTCAGCAGAGACTGTGGACAGTTAATATTTAGGCAAATATCCAGGAGGGCAGGGAAACCCTATCCTTCTCAGTGCACATATTTTCTGTATTTTCTTCAAGCAGCTATCTAACTTCAAAGTCAGGCATTTGTCATAACTCTTACCATCAAAATGAAAGCTGAAAAAGGAGAGAAGATGAATAAGGACATCTATTTCTTCCACTTTGGTCCATGGAGCAATATTCTAAGCCTGCGGTGATGACTTCCTTCCTGGCCCTGGGAGGGTGCTTTTTCTTTAGCCATGTGCTTGGTGGGCATCTCTCCTCCTGACTCGGGTATCCTGAGTGATTTGTGACTCTGCCTGTGCATCCAGCGTGTCATCATTTTTTCTTCCATCTTCCTCAGACATATTTCTGGGTAAAACAAATATTTATCAAAAGAAAGAATGACCCCAATCACCCACGTGAATATTTTAATATTTATTGATTCTAATTTTTTTTGGTCACTCTTCATCTCTTCTAGAAATACCTTTGTCATTTTCAGTTTTCAGAGGTTAGTGAGCCTCAAACTATACAACACTGGAGCCCTGTGCTTTAGAAAGCCACAAGAATTAAAGAAAAAAGAGCATCAAAGTGTAAAACATTGTAATGGTACTGAATATGTATAAGAATTTTCAGAATAGTTTCTACCAAGCATCCAAAAAGCTTGAATTTTAGATGCGATCTTGATAGAAATATCTGAAAAACAGTTTTGTCATACAGTCCATTGTTCCTTTGGACTATTTATTGAGAAATATGGAAGATTTACATAGGGTTATATAAAGTTGTGAGTCCTTGGTACTGGCTGTTAAGATATAGTCATGTGCCACATAATGACATTTTGGTCAGTGACAGACTGCATATACAGTGGTCCCATAAGATCATAATGGAGCTGAAAAATTTCTATCGCCTAATGATATAGCCATTGTAATATTGTAGCACAAGATACTACTCATGTGTTTGTGGTGATGCTTGTGTAAACAAACCTGCTGTGTTGCCAGTTGCATAAAAGTATAGCACATACAATTATGTACACTACGTAATACTTGATAATAAGTGAACAAGTTACTGGCTTATGCATTTACCATACTATGCTTTTTATTGTTATTTTAGACGGTACTCCTACTTTAAAAAAAAAGTTAACTGTAAAACGGCCTCAGGCAGGTCCTTCAGGAGGTGTTCCGAAAGAAGGCATTGTTATCATAGGAGATGACAGCTCTATGAGTGTTATTGCCTGTGAAAGCCTTCCAGTGGGACAAGATGTGGAGTGGAAGACAGTGATATTGATTATCCTGACCCTGTGTAGACCTAGACTAATGTGTGTATTTGTGTATTAGTTTTTAACAAAAGTTTAAAAAGTAAAAAGTAAAAATAAAAAATTTTAAAAATAGGAAAAAGTGTATAGAATAAAGATATAAATACAAATATTTTTGCATAGCTGTACAATGTATTTGTGTTTTAAACTGTTATCACAAAAGAGTCAAAAAGTTAAAAAAATTAAAAGTAAAAAAGATATAATAAGCTAATGTCCATTTGTTATTGAAAAAAGGAAAATTTTAAAAATAAATGTAGTATAGCCTAAATGAATCACGCTTATGGTCTACAGCGGTGCATAATGATATCCTAGACCTTCACATTCACCAACCACTCACTCACTGACTCACCCAGAGAAACTTCAGTCCTCCAAGTTCCATTCATGGTAGGTTCCCTGTACAAATGTACCATTTTTTGTCTTTTATACCATATTTTTTCTGTACCTTTTCTATATTTAGATATGTTTAGATACACAAATACTTACCATTGTGTTACGATTGCCTACAGTATTCAGTAAAGTAACATGCTGTACAGGTTTGTAGCCTAGGAGCAGTAGGCCATGCCACAGAGCCTAGGTGTGCAGTAAGCTATGCCATCTCGGTTTATGTAAGTACATTCTATGATGTTTGCACAAAGAGGAAATTGCCCAGTGATACATTTCCCAGAGTGTTTCCTCATTGTTAAGCTACACATGACTATATACTTCTTTATATGTTTAAAGAGTAACAGTTTTACATCTCACTTCGTTGACAATTCTTAGTTAGCCACAGAGTGTTTCAGTGAAAGACTATAGTAAAATACTCATTCATTTGGTAGAACTTTGCATTTTGAGAATATCTAATCCCTAATTTGTTGTTACCGTAACTGTGGAATTCCTGTTTTGGAGAGATAGTTTAGTGAACTAAGAGCATGGACTTCAGAGGCAGGCTGGTTGGTTTAGATTCCAACTTCCACGTGCTTGTTGCAGGATCCTGGGTGAATCACTTAAACTCTCCCTGCATCAATTTCTTCATTTATAAAATGAGGATATTCAAAGGGCTGTTATGAGATCTATCAAGCTGATCTAAATCATGCATGTTCCCTTGAACAGTGTGACACATGGGAACACTACACGAGTGTCCATTATTTCCTAACATTGTAAGTCCCTTAAATGGGTATAGTAGTGCACTCTGAGCAGGATGGGGAACTGCAAGAAGAGGAGACTGAGGCAGCCTCCTAGTTCTCTTGTTAGGACTGTGTTTGAGAGTTGAGTACCCTCCTTTTTTAAGCACATTGTACTAAATGCTGTCCTCCAGGTCCAGGACTTATGAGTGAGACTTCCATGTTACAAGGGCCTTTTGACATTTCAGTAACAAAATCTCTGTCTGTAGGGCCAGAGGCAAAGTTTCCCAATGCTCAGCGTGTCATATCTGAGGGAAAGAAAACAATTCTAGCATCCAGAAATAGACATGTCTTGCCATACCTGAGATGTAGGAAAATTAAATGAAATATATTTGTACATAATACATAGATATAAAGGTAGGATTCACTAAACACACTTTTTGGATGAATAATGTGTGGATTAAGAAAAGGAATGCACAATGGCATTTGAAATTCCTCCCCTCTATGTACAGTTGAAGAACAGTCTGCTGAACCAAGAAGTTTCGACGTATAATACCTGACATATATAAATGCATAAAGAATGCTACTTATAAGTTAAAACAATTATTTTTGATCCCCCTACTATGTGATAAACAATTTCACAAGCTTTCTCAATTAATATTCTCCATAGATATATGAATTATATGTTATTTTCATTTTTAGAGAGAGGAAAACTGAAGTCATGAGAGATTTATTTGAGGTTATAAACAGCTAATAATTGACAAGGCAGCATTCAAATCCAGGAATTTCTGACTCTGAATCCACACACTTTTCAGTATCATCTTACTCTTTCAAGGATAATTTAGTTCAGTCCAGTGGAAAATTACTAAGCCCCTATTGATTGCAAGGCATTGAAGAGGGTGCTAGGGTTATGAAACAAACCAGACTGGCATGCTCCCTGCCTTCGAGGAACTGATAGTCTAGAGGGGTTGACAAATATTACAAACTATCTATGTTTGCTTCTTTCTTTCTGTGTATTCCTAGATGTGTGTATTCAGAACACAGTGCCTTACAAACTGTCTAAACTGTATAAACTGTATGGTTTAGACAGTTTGTAAGGCACTGTGTTCCCTTGAAGATAATATCTTTAAATGAACTTGTTTGTACAGAAATATGCACATCTCACATTCTTAACCCCATTACCTAACATTGCCACCTGACAAGGCAGTTTACAGACTAGATTATGTACATTATAGGCTCATCATTGATTTGGTTTCTCTAAAGAATCAGGGGGAGGATTATAATTTAGCAAGTTACTATGTATTTCATGTTAAAATAAAACATCTTACTATGTCAGCTTTCTTACTTCCAACACTGCAACTAAAGCTGGGTAGATTTATCCTGATATTGTAGAGCTCATGTAGAAAGGGGGAAGAGGGAAAGAAAAGCGATTTATCTGGTATATCCCCCCCAAAAGTGGGTACAGTATGAATGAAGTGTATTCTCTGCAGAAGGAAAAGTTGTGTATCAAGTGATGCTTGATAGAGAAAGAACAATTAATAGTATAGGCATGGGAGAGACAAAAGTCAGGTGACCAGAGAAACAGGGAGAGAATGAGGGGTGATGGGATGTTTCAGAGCTTATTTTAGGAAAGATTGTACTGTTTGTTTCTTACGTCTACATAGTTATATGAAACTTGCATTCCTTCATTGACTGGGCTCTTTCCACCTAGGAACTTAAGAGCTTAAGAGGAGAAAGACATGTGCCATATGATACCCTGCTCTGAATCACTTGTCTTTGACTAGCTTGGTACTACTTAACATAGTATTACAATATCTCCTTCAGGTCTGTATGCAAAAAAAATTTAAAAAAATGGAATGGAAATCAAAAGGAGAATGTGTTACATTTCTCTTAAGTGAATCACACATTCCCTTTAGGTCTAGCCCCTTTCTTTTTTTCTATCCTCAGTACTTGGGCAGTTGCTCATTTACAATGGGAACCTCTATAATGAACTCCATGAAAAACTTGGAAATGAGACAGCTGAATCGCCATGAATGGATAACTGAAGAATCTCTAGCAGATTCAATTATTCTGACAACATTTTTATTCTGCTTTATCACTGAAACTATTCAGAAAGCTAGAACTACTGCAGGCAGGACACCAAGACCCCTGGTCATCTCTACAGGATGGGAACATTTAGTAAAACCAAATGGAAAACTTGTGAGCTCTTCCTTCCCAGCTGATGCTCAGGCAGTCTGGACAAAGGACTGATTAATAGAAGAGAGCTCAGCCTGAAGCTCTGGAGTTGCTTCGTCGGGTCTAGAAGGGAAGTGATTTCCAGGACCTCTCAATCCTGTGTCTGTCTTCCTATTCCTCCACTCCTCCTCTTAGTTGCCTTTTGTGCTCAGTTAACATAAAGCACAGATACACAGTGTTTCCTGAAGGACCTGACTGCCATTTTTTTTATTCCACTATCAGTTTCTTTAATCTAGCTATTAGTCCGTTCTGAAGTCTCACATTAGATATACAATCCAACATATACAAATGTAATGTTTCCCAGTAATCCACTGTGAAAGGAGAGATTTATTTCTAGGGTTGAACATACTAATATATGACATGTTTCATTTTCTGTGATTCTAATTCAATGCAACTCAATCAATAGCTCTTCCTATATTTATGTCTAGCTTGTGATACCTAGTCTTACAGTTTATACATAAATATATGTGGAGAAAAGTCTTGGCTGGAGGAAGATGGTGGTAAGTTATATCAGAACTCAGTTTATGCATAGAATAAATACCCATAGTAATTGTTATTCATGTGTGTGAGGACCTGTGTCTGATGATACTATTGAAGATGCTGTGTAGTTATGTTTTTAACATTTAGATGTTTAGTAACTCTTGTATTATCGACTGGATCACTCGGTTTCCATTTAAGGGTTTGAGTCCTCAATGTATAACATTGCTTTAGAATTCAGGATCAATCCATTGCCAGACTAAGATATAACCATATACAAGAGGTGAGATGAGCAGGGGACTGCCTTTCCCATCCTGTCTATCAGCCTCCCTTCTTGAGTACTGTGTGTAGATGAGGAAGCAGCATAGCTCATGAAATTAGTCCCCTGGTATTTTAATACAAAAAAACAAAACTTGAGGTGTGATGTTTTGCAAGGCAGTGAGAATTATTTTTTCCCTTCACTTATTAAAACTTCCCATTGTTTCAGTAGTTGTTTCAGCATGTTTACATTTTGAAATGACTCCCTCCTTGCTTTTTAAAAATGCAAGTCCTTGAACACCACCACACACACAAACACACAAAAGATTTTGATTCCGTCTTCTTTGATGTAAAACCGTGGGGTCTTATATAATCATCTGCTCACCCAGAGAGCAGATGCTGCTCTCTTTCTTGGCAAACAAAGCTTGGATGAAAAGGGCAACAATGCAGGGAAGATGTGAACGCCCACCACTCCTCTCCTACTGATAGACACTGGACTCCCCTGGAGGGCCTGCCAGCTCCCATCAGCTGCAAGACTTAGGGTACTCCTGGGGGATCAAAGAAGAAAGTGTCTTCATTGTGTACTTGCTGGAGAAGAAACACTGAAAAATGCAGAAAACATAAGACTCGATCAGCTAGGCACTCTTTAATTGTAATTTTGTTGCTCTGCCCACTTGCATAGTGCTAGAAGCTCTGCTACATGTGTGAAGGGGACAGTGTGTTAGAGCTTGTGCTGGGGGACCTGAGACATTGGGGCTCAGAGCCTCATTCCATCACTTCCTACCTCTGTGATCTGACCACACATCTTAAACTCTCAGAGCCCCGGTTTCCTTATGCTGTGGTGTGTTCGTAAACCCATTGGAGGGGAGGGGGAAGGAAGGAAGCCAGGGACCTGGATTTGTAACACTTGCCAATTTCCGTGATTTATCTACTTCCAATATGGCAATTTCAAAATACCTAAGGTTGTGGCTTGCAAAACTCTGGAATATTTAACAGTAGGCTCATTAAGTGGCCCAAGTACATCATTGCTGATCTATAAAATGACCATACTAGAATTTACCACATATGATTGTGGTAAGGATTACTGAGACAACATATGCAAAGTTCTCAGCACCCTAAGTTTTGGCGTAAAGTAAATAGTAAATACTTAGTGATTAGTTACTATTTTATTTTATTGTTTTTTTTTTTTGGCTGCATATCACTTTTAGGGGGACTTTGTGCCAGCGATTCTAACTCTGGCTTCAGAGTATCACACATCACATATGCACAAAATGGTTACATGTGCGCATTCTAAGGGTAAAACTAATTTTTATTTTAATTCTTAATCATTGTGTGCTACACGATAATATTAGAGGGAAAAAGGGATTCTTAAAAATGTGAAAGTAAACATTTCCAAGAAACTGTTAATTGATGCTTTTTAAACTCCTAAAGTCTTTCTAGACAATTTTCCCCCCTGAATTCTTGAAGATTTTTCACCAAATCTTGAATACTTTATGTATTTTTAGTGACTGATTCTGTACTCTCTTTCACTGGGGAACCTTGTTAAGGAGGTTTTATTGATGACCCTTACTTTGGTTGGGTATAAACATGATTGTTTTTGCTTGTTTCCCCACCACTTTATTTTTTTTAAATTAAATTAAATTTTAAGTTCTGGGATACATGTGCAGGGATACATGTGCAGGATGTGCGGGTTTGTTACATAGGTAAACATGCGCCATGGTGGTTTGCTGCACCTATCAAGTCATTACCTAGGTATTAAGCCCCACATGCATTAAGTATTTATCCTGATGCTCTCCCTTCCCTCTGTACCCCTGACAGGTTCCAGTGTGTGCTGTTCCATGTCCCTCCCTGCATCCATGTGTTCTCATTGTTCAGCTCCCACTTACAAGTGAGAACATGCAGTGTTTGGTTTTCTGTTCTTGTGTTAGTTTGCTGAGGATAATGGCTTCCAGCTCCATCCACGTCCCTGCAAAGGACATGATCTTATTCCTTTTTATGGCTGCATAGTATTCCATAGTGTATATGTACCATATTTTCTTTCTCCAGTCTATCATTGATGTTGCCCACCACTTTCACCTGTGCTTTCTCATGTTCTCTTTGCCCAGCCTTCACAACATATTGGGAATATCCCTAACCTTTCTGGTTGCTTTGACTTATTAAACATTTAGCCAGTCCAGTTTAAATTTTTACTCTCACATCCAATTTAAAACTTCCTCTCTTCTCTAGTGCAGACTCCACTAGTGACCTAAGTAGCTTGGAGGTGGGACCTAAACTACTATTTGTACACTGTTCTTTCCTGTTTTTTTCTAGGCAAACTCATCCATTATTGGCTGCAAGAAGGACCTGAGAAGAGAGGGTGATGTTTCATCATGTAATTGAGTGAGGCCTAGGCCTCTCCTTTTGCTGTTTCTTTGACTGATAGTGACTAGTCACTGGAAGAGGTGTTGCCTCTCCTGTAGAGCAGAGAGCACTCTGGAGGACCCTGAGGGCTTCCTAACTCCACTTCTCTCTGGTGTGAAGATTTAGGCTCTGGCTTGATCAGCATCCTCCCACTTAGCTCAAGCCACTGTTACAGAAACACCAGGGATTTGGTCTAGGACTTGCTGCTCACCACACAGAAACCTAATCACTGAGACAACAAGTATTGCCAGGGAAGAAGGCTTTAATCCAGTGCTGCAGCAGAGGAGACGGGAGGTCAGTCGCAAATTCATTTCTCTGACTGACTAAAGTTAGGGGTTCATATAGCAGGGAATAAATGTAACTACATGCAGGAAAACAGAAATAAGGGAGGGATACGGAAGAGGAGTTGGCCAACAGGAAGGAGACGGTCACTTAGGCAATCATAATGAGTGAGGAGTCTGACATCTCATTGACCAGATCTGGTCATCTGATAAGTTTCAGTTGCTTGATAGGATCTGGTAGAACTGACAGTTGATTTTCTAAGAAAGGAACTCAGATAAGACAAATATAATTTTCCTGAGTTTCTAAGAGGGTGGATTTCTATGTTTATTCAAAATACCCATAAACATCAGTTATATGAGACAGTTGGGTCAGTTTCCACCACCACTGCTTACCCTACAGCCTCTATGGTGGTGCCAGCAACATGCCACAAGTCCAGTGGCCTCCAGGAAAGGACATGCAAGTCATAGTTCACAAATCCTTGCCCTCAACCAAGTGGTAGGAGCAAACATTGAGCTACTGGCAAGCCTTTTTTCAGGCCTACCATCTCTCCTCAGTTCTTATGAACCCTGCTTAGATTGCAGAAACAGGTGAGGCTGCTGCCAAAGCAGAAGTTTTCCTTCTGGCATTTACCCCAGTCTTTTGGAATGAATGGCCTGGAGGCCCTCTCCATTGTATTAGGGAGGAAGAGCACCCGTCCTCCCTCCCCAAAAGGATTCTGGACCATGAGGTTGATTCCCTCACAGAGCTGAGGACTCTCATTATTCCCACCCCACAGCTGGGGTGGTAGACGGTGGATGTATGTGTTTGCTCTGGCTGACATAACATAGTACCACAGACTGGGTGGCTTAAATGATAGAAATTTATTTTCTCACAGTTCTGGTGTTGGCAGTGAGAGGTGAAGCCAGCTGGGCTTCTGGGTTGGGTGGGGACTTGGAGAACCTTTCTGTCTAGCTAAAGGATTGTAAATGCACCAATCAGCACTCTGTGTCTAGCTAAAGGTTTGTAAATGCACCAATCAGCGCTATGTCTAACTGATCGGGTAGGGGACCTGGAGAACTTTTCTGTCTAGCTAAAGGATTATAAATACACCAGTCAGCACTCTGTGTCTAGCTAAAGGTTTGTAAACGCACCAGTCAGCACTCTGTCAAAATGGACCAATCAGCACTCTGTAAAGCAGGCCAATCAGCACTCTGTAAAACCGACCAATCAGCTCTCTGTAAAATGGACCAATTAGCAGGATGTAGGTTGGGCCAAATAAGGGAATAAAAGCAGGCCACCGCCCCCCCCCCCACTCCCGCCCCGCCCCAAGCAGCAGCGGTACCCTGCTGGGGTCCCTGTCCATGCTGTGGAAGCTTTGTTCTTTCGCACTTCGCAATAAATCTTGCTGCTGCTCACTCTTTGGGTCCACACTGCCTTTATGAGATGTAACACTCACGGCAAAGGTCTTCAGCTTCGCTCCTGAAGTCAGCGAGACCACGAACCCACCGGCAGGAACTAACAACTCCAGAGGCACTGCCTTTAAGAGCTGTAACACTCGCCGCGAAGATCTGCAGCTTCACTCCTGAAGACCACCAACCCACCAGGAGGAGGAATGAACAACTCGGGATGCGCTGCCTTTATGAACTGTAACACTCACTGTGAAGGTCTGCAGCTTCACTCCTGAAGTCAGCGAGACCACGAACCCACCAGAAGGAAGAAACTCCGGACACACCATTTTTAAGAACTGTAACACTCACCACGAGGGTCCGTGGCTTCATTCTTGAAGTCAGCGAGACCAAGAACCAACCAATTCTGGACACAGCAGGATTGGTTCTTCTGAGGCCTCTCTCCTTGGCTTGTTGATGGCCATCTTCTCCCTGTGTCTTCACATGGTCTTGTCTCTGTTTCCTGTGTCCAAATTTCCTCTTCTTGTAAAGCCATTAGCCATATTGGATTATGGCCACTCTAAAGACCTCATTTCCACTCCATTACCTCTTTAAATACCCTGTGTCCAAATACAGTCACATTCTGAGGTATTGAGAGTTAGGACTTCAACATGTGAATTGTGGGGGACACAATTCAGTGCATCACAAGAGGGTAGGGCTGTTTCCTGGCCCCAAGTGTCACTGATACTTCTCTTTAGAAACTTTGATATTTTTGATTTGTTTCAGCTTGGGGCCTTTTCCTCCAATTCTACGAAGACAGAAATAGCCCACTCAATATTCCATTCACTGGAAATATAAGTAGCTAATGCTGAATATTTTTGAGACCCTTGCTTTCTTTAGTACTTTGATACTTTGCTATATCATCCAAATACTTGAAAGTATGAAACACACAAAATAGAACATTCTTAGAGCACACAGAAAAAGGAGCTGAAAAGAATGAAAGGAAAAATTAACTACAAAGCATGGGAAACAACTGGAAGAAGGATAGAAAATACAGGAAAAAAATGAAAATATCAAAAATACATTTTGAAACCATAGAAAAAATTTTTACTATATTTCTAAAAAATGAATAAACAGGATTCTGTCATCAAAAACTCCACTGAAGAGAGTGTTTTAAGAATTTAAGTAATCAGCAAAAAGGTACTAATGTTGCCTATCAGTAACACAGAAATTGGTAGGTTATTCCTACTGACGCTTGTGTCCTCATCCTCTTATGGTTTAATGCCTTGGTCTTTATGGGGGTTTCTTAACACTTCAAGATAACGTTTGTTCAACTTGACAAATTGAAGAAATCGACACATTGTGACCCTGTTTACTCTTGTTTCTAAAGTGAATTGCTGGCTTTTTGGCAATTTCTGAGGGTTAAGAACCATTAATGTCCATTGAAATAAATAAGCCATTGAGAGCAAAAAGATCAAACAATCTTATGCAATGAGTGAGTTAATGAAAGTTAACTTAATTATTCTGCTCCTTGGTAGACACAGCTACCAAGAAAGGGTGAGTTACCCAAAGGACATAGCTCTTTAAAGTAACTTGGGGGAGCCATTTCAATCCAATATGAGCATAATACAGGAACAAATATTTTTCTTTGTTTCAGAAACTCTCTTGTAAGTCTTCAAATTCTTAGTTATAGGGAGAAATAGAGAGATGGATATATATGTGAGCTTAATGCAGTATTGCAGAGGATGAAGATGTTAATATTTTCCCAGAACACTATTTTTATTTTATTTCTAAAATAAATGACAGAGAGATTAGCATAAGTTCTGGTAATCATTTCATAATTAGGTGTTTATGTGAATTGTATTTGACTTCTATACCCTAGTAGAACTTTCTTGTTTGCTTAAATTACTGCAGAAATGCATTCGTGTTCAGACAGTACCATTCACTTTTTTATCCTCCTTCTAGACCATATTCCTATTTTTTAAAGGAAAATAAGAACCTCATTTTAATTTGTAAAAATAATAAACCTTGCCAGATTAACTGATTTTGTGGGCTTTCTCACTGAGAACAGCTTTCCATATTAGGGCTTTCCTAACAGTGTATTTTATTTGTCTATTGTTTGGTAAGAAGTTACATTATTTGGTAGTATCAGGAATCGTACCATTTCAGGGAAGTTCAAGTGCAGGATGATTAATCATTAAGATTTCTTTTGGATGTTGAGGAGCAGTAGGGAGGGATAGAAAATAAATCGAAGAGAGGTAAAACCTTGCTTCAAAGAAGGCTTGGGGAGTGCCAAAACTCTACCAATATTTCGTTGCAACTATTTTTATACAAATTGTGCATTAAAGTCACAAGTGAGGTAGATTTTGTTTATTTTTATACATCCAGTGAGATTTGGATTGACAGTTGTATACTCAGAAGTGGTTTGGGATATCTAATACCCAATCTTTGGTATGTTTAAAGACTTTTGGAAAATATGGCCCCTAGTCTACCTGCATCAGAAACATCTATGGTATAAACCTGCTGTTTCTGGGTCCCTGAGATTCTGATTCAGTATGGCTGTGTCCAAAGACCTGTATTTGTATAGGGGTTTCCAGTTGATTCTGGTGCACATAGAGATTTGAGAACTATTGTTTTGGGAAAATAACTCTGCTCACAGACAATTTCTGTTGGAAGCATTGGAGTCTACTTGTCTATATATCTCTTTTTCCCTTCTGTCTGTTGTATAAGTTCTCCAACTCCTAGTTTTGCTCTGGAGAAGGGTTATGTGATGATTCTTTTATATGGGTAGCTTATAGCCTAGAAAATGTTTTCTTGTAGGTTGAAAGTTATTTCATAATTTCAGTACTATATTATCTACCCCATGTGCCTTTTAGTCTTGGATGGATGTATTTCAGCTCACAGAAACAAACTGAGAGAGATGGTCCTTTCTGAAGTGAGAAAAAGGAATTTTATTATAAAACATGTTCACATTTTCACAATAAATTTATCTGTAATATAGTTCAACATTTTTACCTGTAGGCTGAAACAACTTTATGCATCTTTAAACAAGAATATATTTTTTATTTGTGTCCATACTTTCCAAAAAACAAACTTTGATAGGAAGGTATATAGAGATCTTATTCAATTTCCAGTCAGGACTCAGTGACATGGTTGGTCTTGTAAAAAAGAAAACATTCACTTATTTTTATTTCCTGATTCAGAAACGTAATGTATGGACATGGTCTAACTTTTGAAATATAATGAAAAGTATAAAAACAAATAAACCCAGGCCAAGGAGGTAGGATCGCTTGAGATGAGTTTGAGACTGACTCAGGCAACATAGTGAGACTTCATCTCTACAAAAAAATTTAAAAATTAGCTAGATGTGGGCCTGTGGTCCTAGCTACTCTGGAGGGTGAGGTGAAAGTATCACTTGAGCCCAGGAATTTGAGGGTTCAGTGAGCTATGATCATGCCTCTGCACTCCAGCCTGTGTAACAGAGTGAGACCCTGTTTCTTAAAAAAAAAATCATCTGCAATTTCATAACCCAAAGAAAAACATTTTTTACTTTTTGGTGTATGTTTTTCTTTTCTAGAATATACATAGCTATTGTTAATATTTTATACCTAAATCTGTGGGCATTCCTGATCATCCCTTTAGGATAAATTCCAGAAAGTATAATTCCTGTAAAAGAAGATACATTTTTAGGGTTTTTGATACATATTGCCAAGTTGCTTTCCAGAAAAGTTGAACTAATTGGTATTCTAACAGTTGTATGGATAGTCAGACTTCATTGGTTCAAATAGATTATTTTTAAAATTTAACTTGTAAGGACAAAGGTGTCTGTTTTTAGGAAGTTCGTACATTTTTAGTGATTTTGTCTGAATTTGGTGACTTTACTTTTTGATGCTGAGGTTGTTGTAATCAGTGGATTGAATGGGGTACTATAACTGGATGATGTATTCATCATGCCAGTGACTCTGCCAACTGCAGTGTTTGAAGTTGAATACTGTGTTCACAGAGTTCACCTATAATGCTTACTCTTTAACTTACTCGATCTTTAGGAGCTCTCCTGACTATAGTGATGATAAGAACTACTAACAGCCACAGACCACAATGCAGCTACCAGGTATAGCCTCTGTTATTCATGACAACTCATCAAGCACCTTAGTGAAACATTTCACCTCCTTATAGCATTCTAGAATATAATAGACAGGTATGACCTTGAATTTCTCTATCTACTTTTTAAATAGTGTCTTTTCAGTTAGTCTCTTTTTCTACAGATTTTCCTTGTCAGCTCCTTGTGGACTGGGGAGGTGGACCACAACCACCACTACCTGGTGCCACCTGAGAGCCACTGTATTAGTCAATTTTCATACTACTATGAAGAAATATCCGAGACTGGGTAATTTATAAAGAAAAGGAGGTTTAATGGACTCACAGTTCCACATGGCTGGAGAGGCCTCACAATCATGGCAAAAGGAGAAGGAGGAGCAAAGGCATGTCTTACATGGTGGTGGGCAGCAGAATGTTCAGGGGAACTGCCCTTTATAAAACCATCAGATCTTGTGAGACTTATTCACTGTCACAAGAACAGCATGGGGAAGACTCGCCCCTATGTTTCAATTAGTTCCTACTGGGTCCCTTTCACGACATGTAGGGATTATGGGAACTACAACTCAAGATTAGATTTTGGTGGGGACACAGCCAAATCTTATTATTCTGCTTCTGCTCCCTCCCAAATCTCATGTCCTCACATTTCAGAACACAACCATGCCTTCTCAATAGTCTCCCAAAGTATTAACTTATTCCATCATTAATCCAAAAGTCCAATTCCAAAACCTTATCTGAGATAAGGCAAGTACCCTCCACCTACGCGCCTGTAAAATCAAAAGCAAGTTAGTTACTTCCTAGATACAATGGAGGTACAGGCATTGGGTAAATACACCCATTCCAAGTGGGAGAAATTGGCCAAAACAAAGGGGCTACAGGCCTCGTGCAAGTCCGAAATCCAATAGGGCAGTCATTAAACCTTCAAGTTCCAAAATAATCTCATTTGACTCCATGTCTCATATCCAGGTCATGCTGATGCAAGAGGTGGGTTCCCATGGCCTTGGGCAGCTCTGCCCTTGTGGCTTTGCAGGGTACAGCCCCCCTCCCAGCTGCTTTCACAGGCTGTTGTTGAGTGTCTGTGGCCTTTCCAGGTGCACAGTGCAAGCTGTCACTGGATCACAGTTCTGGCATCTGGAGGATGGTGGCTCTCTTCTCACAGCTCCACTAAGCAGTGCCCCAGTAGGGACTCTGTGTGGGGACTCCAACCCAACATTTCCCTTCTGCACTGCCCTAGCAGAGGCTCTCCATGAGGGGTCCACCCCTGCAGTAAGCTTCTGCCTGGACATCCAGTCATTTCCATACATCCTCTGAAATCTAAGTGAAGGTTCCCAAACCTCAGTTCTTGACTTGTATGCACCTGCAGGCCCAATGCCACATGTAAACCACCAAGGCTTGGAGCTTGCACCCTCTGAAGCAACAGCCTGACCTGTACATTGGCCCCTTTTAGCCCTGGCTAGAGCTATAGCAGCTGGGACACAGGGCACCATGTCTGGGGCTACATAGAGGACAGGGGCCCTGGGCCTGGCCCAGGAAACCATTTTTCCCTCCTAGGCCTCCAGGCCTGTGATGGATGGAAGGGCTTGCTGTGAAGGTCTCTGATATGCCCTGGAGACATTTTCCCTATTGTCTTGGTGATTAACATTTGGCTCTTCATTACTTTTGCAAATTTCTCCAGCTGGCTTGAATTTCTCCCCAGAAAAAGGGTTTTTCTTTTATATCATCATCAGGGTGCAAATTTTCCAAACTTTCATGCTCTGCTTCCTTTTGAATACTTTGCTGCTTAGAAATTTCTTCTGCCAGATACTTTAAGTCATCCCTCTCAAGTTTGAGTTTTCACAGATCTCTAAGGTAGGGTCAAAATGCCACCAGTCTCTTTGCATTGCAAGAGTGAGCTTTACTCTAGTTCCCAACAAACTCCACATCTCCTTATGAGACCACCTCAGCCTGGACTTGATTGTCCATATCACTATCAGCATTTTGGTCAAAGCCATTCAACAAGTCTCTAGGAAGTTCCAAATTTTCCCACATTTTCTTTTGTTTTTCTGAGCCCTCCAAGTGGTTACAACCTCTGCCTGTTACCCATTTCCAAAGTTACTTCTGCATTTTTGGGTATGTTTACAGCAGTGCCCCCACTCTGCAGTACCAATTTACCATATTAGTCTGTTCTCATGCTGCTAATAAAGACATACCTAAGACTGGGTTATTTATAAAGAAAAAGAGATTTAATGGACTCACAGTTCCACATAGCTAGGGAGGCCTCACAATCATGGCAGAAGGCGAAGGAGGAGCAAAGACACATCTTACATGGTGGCAGGCAAGAGCGTGTACAGGGGAACTGCCCTTTATAAAACCATCAGATCTCATAAGACTTATTCACTATCACAAGAACAGCATGGGAAAAACCTGCCCCCATGAGTCAGTTACCTCCCACTGGGTCCCTCCCATGACATGTGAGGATTATGGAAACTACAATTCAAGATGAAGTTTGGGTGGGGACACAGCCAAATCATATCAGCCACCCATACCTAGATCCCCATTATAAAATTAGGGATACTTCTGTTTTTCTTCATAGGCAAGTACCTAGATGCTACAATTTAATAAGTTTACAAGCATTATGATAAATGTTAAAATTGTGGAATTTTAAAAAATACAGTTGGATGAAAGAGTTTGGCTGGTGTTTTATCTGTTACAGTATCTGTTAGGACTACTATAACAAAATCCCACAGACTAGGAGGCTTAAACAATAGAAATTTATTTTTTTCACAATATCTCACAGGAGGCTGGAAGTCCAAGATCAAGGTGTCAGTGGCAGGTTTGGTATCTTCCAAAGCCTCTCTCCTTGGCTTGCAGATGGCCACCTTCTTGCTGTGCTTTCACATGGCTTTTTCTCTGTACCTATGTGTCCCTAGTCTCTCTCTTCTTATAAAGACAGCAGTCCTGTTGGATGACGGTCCACCCACATGACCTCATTTTACCTTCTTTAAAGTCCTTATCTCCTAGTACAGTCTCATCCTGAAGTGAACTGGGGGTTAGGACTTCAACATATGGATTTGGGGTTGTAAGGGGACAAAGGACATAATGACTGATTTATGTATTTATTTACTCATCTATTTACCTAAAAATAAGTGTTACTGAAGGTTCGTAGACATTTTTCCTGAGAGCTGGTTTGATGATGATATGCTTTCTGGGTCTCTCCACATTGCAAGGTCAAAACTTGTTTTTAAATTTATTATTATTTTGTTTATTTATTTATTTAATTTTTAATATATATTTTTTTGAGACAAGGTCTTGCTCTGTTGCCCAGGCTGGAATGCAGTCATGCTCATTGCAGCCTAGAACTCCTAGGCTGAAGAGACCCTCCTGCCTCAGCCTTCCCAGTACCTGGGAATATAATCTTGTACCACCATGCCCAGCTGGTCAAAACTTGTTTTATAGAAACTATACTTTAGGATTATGGGTAATATTAGGGCCATTTCTTCACAACTTTTATAACTGTGAATAAGTGAAGGATGACCAGAAGTACCTATCAATTAATTTTTTAGTCCAATAGTCAGAATCCAGGAATTAACAGTAAACTCAAAGTTATGGTTTCTTCCAGCTCTGCCAAGGTAAACTACATCCAGTGAATCTTGACATTGCTTTGGGTTTAGCTCTGTTACATGCAGCTGGTATGCATATCCAGGCCCAGTACCCTGCTGGATGGTGCCAGTTTTACTGGGGAGGTTATATGCAGAGATTCTGCTGGTTTGAATCCTGGCTCTGCCACTTGTCAGCTCTTTGGACAAATTGTTTAATCTCTCTATGCCCCAGTTTCCTCATCCATGAAATAGGAATAATAATAATACATAGGGTTCTTGTTAGAAATAAATTAGTTATGCCATTAAGCACTTAGTACAAGGTCTAGCACTTAGCATATACTTAATCAGTGTTAGGTCTTACTATTTAGGAGCAGGGCATATATGGTTTTAGTCTGAAAAGATACCATTTTATTTCCCCAGACTAGCAATGTTCCAAACATAGCTGTATTTTCACATGATAGATACTCAGTAAATTTTTATTGAATGGATGAATGAATGATATTTGAAAATTTCTTATTCTGCACTGAAGTGAAATTTAATTTGGATTTTGAGTAGCATAAAGTCAAAAATGCCTTTGAACTCTGGAGCACAGCAGGAGGTTGCTTTGATTCTGAAAATCTGGAAAGATTTTTTGGAGTGTCTGAGCTCAACATTAATATAACTTTTTAATGCTGAATCAAAATAAGAGATCTGTGACAGCTATTCTTAAGAATTTTGGTCTAGGACTCATTTACACTCTTTAAAATTATTAAAGACCCAAAGAGCTTTGGTTTCTGTGGGATTATCTCAATTTATATTCATTACATTATAAATTAAAATAGAGGAATTTAAAAATATTTATGACATGTCCAAAGAACAAAAGTAAGCCCATGTGGGTTAATCTAAATAATGCTTTTTAAATTGTGTTTTCCAAAATAAAACAGAAAGTGAGAAGAGTAGCATTGTTTTACATTTTTGCAAATCTCTTTAATGTCTGACTTAATAGAAGACAAGTGGACTCACATATCTGCTTCTGCATCAATCTGTTGCAAAACTTGCATTGTATACTTGTAGGAGAATGAGAGTGATAAAGGCAAATAATGTGTTAGTATGATTATGAAAGTAGTTTTGAAGGTTTGGACTTCTTGAAAGGATCTTAGGGATTTCCCACACCACACTTGGAGAGCCACTGATGTAAGTCAAGTCCATTAGGAATCCATAGCCTCTGAGTTTTGCAATCTCCATTTATCAGCACTAATGAGCTGAACAGATGGAAATGTTTACTTCCTTCCATTGATGTTTAGAAACAAGTTGACTAAAATGATTTTCCAATGTCATTCACTCACCCTTCAGTGCTAATGCCCATCCTCAAATAAATGAGAACATTAAATAGCTAGAAAAAAAGTTTGTTGAAGTTATTTGACAAAAATAAAGAAATTTTGATTAGAGTTAACTGCATTATAAATGCTTAAAGACAATGTGTGGCCTTTCTCAAATTTAGAGTCCGCTAACTGGGAATGCCAATTAAGCTTTGACCTGGGATTGGCTGGCAGCATCCCAGGAAAAGTCTGGCAGTGTTGTTGAAGAATACTATAGGACCTAATGCCTTGAAAATTTTTTTTCATTTTAGTATGATCTCCCTCCCACTTTGATGTTTTAGAATTAATTGTGTATCTTAACCTGTCAATCAGATGTGAAATTACTATAGTAAGGTGTAATTTTAAAAACTCCCAGATTAGAGTGATAGGAGATGTGATTCTCTTATTTATTTATTTATTTTTGTAGACGGGAATCTACTAACCTATGTAAAAGGGAACTTATTCTGTTCTACAAGTGCTCTGTGCTATGCTGAAGTTGTAGTCTGTATTCTAAATAATCTCCAATTTTATTTTGTTCCTGCGCTAACAAGTTGTTTTCATCATTTTTATTTTTCAAGAAATGATTTATGACTCTTTAAGAATTTAGAAAAGTTACTATCTTCTATCATTTCTGAAAGACTTGATCCCTCTTCTGGAAATTCTGCTTTTTACATGTGAGCACAGTACATCGTACTCGCCAAAAGGTAGATTATCACGTCCTCCACTGTGATAACTTCCCACGCAGTGGCAGTAGTACAGAACATTCACGTTGCCTCTCATGAATTTTAAGACAAGCTGTAAATCTATTGAATGTCAGGCACTTTCCCATACAAATGCATTGTATGTTGAAAATCTAAATAATCAGGAATTCTGAGATGATTTTACTTTAAGGAGTGTGATCTTCTTTGTCTAGTGAGCACAATTCTTTGTCTTCCCTCATGGTGAAATAACTGAAGTCCCTTTCAGCTTCAAATGTATTTTAAGGTTTTCATCTCATGCTCACAAGAGGGCGCTAATTCCTATTCATGCCTATAGTGGCAACAAGACATTTACTCAAATCTCTCACCTCCAAGGTAAACCGGAGAAACCCTGGCTGAAAGAAAACTGCTAATTGGCTTTCTTCCTTTTTAGAAGAGTAATTTCAAATTTTACAAATTTTAGGTTGTAAGAAAACAAATAACATAGTTGGATTATGTGGCAAACTCAGTTTTAAGGGAGGAAAATTTGATTTGGGGAGCAAAGATTTTGTTCTTTGTTCAGTTTAATTCCTGTTTATTTTTTACTGTATTATTTAGATGATAAATAAAGAGTTGCAGTACACAAGGTAATCATTAAATATGTAAATATAAATGTTTAAATAAATACCAAGGTATTTATTTATTGCCTTGTACAGGTCTAAGCCTATGCATATTCTTAGATTAATCTATGTTGCTATTTTCCTTGCTATAATAAAAAAAAAGTTCTTTAGCTAAATCTAGTTCTGCTCATTTTCTCCCCTGATTTCAAAAGTAGTACACATTTATTGCAGAATCCTCAGAAAACACAGGCAAAGTATTTAAAGGAAAACAATAATTGCTCCATAATCCTATAAATCATTTAATCACAGTTAACGTTGGGGCATATTTTCTTCCACTGTTTTCATGTATAATTGTAATCATGCTGTATATAGACAGATAAATATAGTTTTGTGTGCTACTTTGAAAATCTTAATATTATATCAATCAAGGATCATTTAAATTAAATTGTTTTAACTGCAATTTTAATGACTGTCCAGTATTCAATTTTAACTATTCTTTTATTAATGAACATTTATACATTTATATGCTTTTCCATTTTCTACACTATTATAAATAAGTGTGATGAATATCTTTGTAAGTCTTTGATGATACATGTGATGATTTCCTTAGGACAGATTCCTAGAAGTGGAATTCCTGGATGAAAGAACATGATTTTTCTTTTTCTTTTTCTTTCTTTCTTTTTTTTTTTTTGAGACGGAGTCTCTCTCCCTCACCCAGGCTGGAGTGCAATGGTGCGATCTCGGCCCACTGCAACCTCTGCCTCCCGGGTTCAAGCGATTCTCCTGCCTCAGCCTCCCAAGGCTTTTGACATATACTGCTGAACTACTTTCTAGAAAGGTTTTTTAAAACCAATTTATACACTAGGAAGGTGTTTGATGCTCACTACCTTAATTAGTGCTAAATATTTTAATTTAAAAAATAGCTAATTTGATACATGAAAATGTTAGCTAAGTATTGATATAATAAGGATTTTTTTGATTCCTAGGGAAGTTAGCTATTTTCTGTGTTCATTGTCCATTTTTTTTCCTTTTTTATAAATTATCTTCTCATGACTTTTTTCCATTTTCCTATGTGGTGTAAAAGATTTTATCTTCTAAAATGAGCTCTTAATAGTGTAAGACTAATATATCTCCATCTGCTATATCTGGGGTATTTCTAGGTTTGTAGTTTGCCATTTACTTGTCTATGGTTTTAAAAATATATGCATTTGAGCAATTTTAAGTTTTTATGTATTTAAATCTATTAAATACTTTTGTGGTTTTGGTCATTGATTTTTCTTTTAATGCATAGGATATTGAGGTAATTCTTTATCAAAATTTTTTAATGATAGGGAAAGATTTTCAGAGGCAGAGGCTTAAATTTTAGCTTCATTTAGTAATGGATTTCCAGAAGAAACAAGCAGTTGGAATAATAAATATTAAGATGAAAAATTATTTTTATGTTAATTTGGGAGTAGATTTAGTTTTTACTTGAATTTTAGGAAGATTGTGCTTCATATTGTACCAAAGTCTTTTCTGATAAACTAATACAAGTATTTATTACAGTCATTTTTTTCAGAGTAAATTATTTTATTTCTTCAGATGTGTTTATCTGAACTGAATTTGATTTCCTCTGCTATTGGACCTATCTTCTCCCTCCAAAGCAGTAAAGTGGTGCCTGATTTTTTCATGCTTTAGAAATGTCCAATAACAGAAATAAGGGCCTATTTTCTCTTTGGTTCCACTTTGAAAGAATATTCCTATGGAAAATAACTCTTCCCCCTCCCCTGGCCCCCACCCTCTCCAGTTTGCAAAGAAAATAAATCTTACCAGATTACCAGTTGTATGGAGTCTGTCACAGAGTCCAGGTCCCCTTTACCACATTTACTTAGTGTTTTTCTTCAGGCTGGATTAGTCGTTCCCTTTTTTGTGGACACCAACACCGTGTCCCTCCCCTTCCTTACATCTTCATCATAATGAGCAACAAGCCATGTGGTCTTAAGTGCTGTTTATCTTCAATACACAGTTACTCACTACAAAAACTTTACTTTTCCCTTCACGTTATTTTCTTCACTGGCCCTTTCCTTTGACTCCTAGCTTGCTTCAGACCTAAGTCAGCTTTCCTCTGGCAGAAACCCTGGTTCCCATTCTGTCTCACTTACACTGTCATTCCCTAGTCTCTCTCTTTGTCTCATTTAAGGCTACCTTGAGCCCCATTTCCTCATCTAGAGTTGTCAGATTTAGCAAATAAAAATACAGGACACCCACTGAATTTGAATTTCAGATACACAAAGAATAATATTTCTGTATAAGCCTGTCCCATTACTTACACTCCAAAATTATTCTTCATGTGTCTGAAATTCCAGTTTAATAAGACATCCCATGTTTTATGTGACAACCCTGCCCTCATCCTGTGGCTCATTTCATGGCTCTTGTTACTTTCCTTTGGGGGCATGTGGAGCTTGCTCTGGTAGCCACAACTCTTGCCTGAACTCTCAATCTGGTCCCTGTCAGGCTTGACCTGTTCCCCGCATGCCTAGTGTTATTAATTCTTTTACACAATGTGAATCCATTTTTCAGCTTAGCCTGTACTACTGTCTGACTCATTTATATGTTAGTAGATGCCTTTGTGGTCAGTTTAGATGGAAAGCTAGCGAAGAGCAGCTCCCCACCACATCCCCCAAACTTACACCTTGCTTGGACATCACCTCCTGTGTCAAAAAAGCTTCAGTTAATTATAATTCCCAAAGTTGGTGGTGGAACAGGGCTCAGGTTGGAGAGCTTTTCTTTGTACAGTCCATAATATCACAACCCTCCGTTACCCCATTGGAAGATTTTCTTATGAGTCAGAGGCTAGTTTCTGGTCCCTTGAATACTGTTAAGATTTAACTGTGGTGTAAAGCAAATATCAGCAGGTATAGCTTAAGGATTGGTTTTGCCTCACGATGTTTTTCCTTTTTCCAACAGAAGTAGACTTCAGATACATTCATTTTACCTAACCTGCATCTAGAAAATATTAATAGTGCTTTTTATTTCACTAACACAGCTTGCTCTCTAGTAATCAGCATACTGGTATGTTCCCAATCCTGCTGTGTTCTGCCTTTACATCAAAAAGAGAAAATCTTGCTTAAAACACTCTTCTTAAAGCACAGAGAGTTAAAATTTTATAATTATGTCTTTCTTTTCTTCTCTGTGGCTCTTAGTCCAAAGTCATGTAAGAGGGTCTGTTGTAGGAGAAAAGAGAAAATCCAGTTCTGCTTCCATAGGATGTGCTGCGCGATCATCAATGTCATTGTTCCTTAACTTGTATCCATGGGATCCAGCTGATGATGTTTTCAATATTGGAGCCTTTTGTTTCCCAGCATGATGGGATGATGGAGCACTTTGTACATCTCATCAGGAGTATCTGATTCATGTTTCTCCTAACTGTGCCAGCAAGAATTACTTATCAGAATTTTTTTCCCTTTACTGTAGTAAAAAGTTGCTGTTAGCACAGTTGTGAAATTTCTTCTACCCGTGTTGAGTTTGAGGCCTCTGATTCTTTTTACTCATCGAATGGGTTTCTGTTTTATATGTTTATGGTAACCATGGAACCTTGTCTAGAGCCTCATGTGTAAGATTGCAGACTCTGTTTGTGAGGTGTTCTCAACATCGTTGATTTTGAGACAATGTGTGAGGGGGGAAACTTCAGAAATCTACATAAGTAAACCTCCCACTGAGGTTTGGGTGATCAGATGGGCTAGACCTCCAAAACCTCTGCTAAATCTGGGATTCCAGGATGCACATCATTAAAGAAATGTAAGGGGTGGCAGGAGGTACAAGCACCCTTGATTGTCTTTGAAGAAAGCCTAATTATTCCCATTTCACAAAGCCCCTGATTACATTGTAGAATTACAAGAATTAGGTTGAACATCCAGTTCTAATGTTGTATATGTTGAGGTGCCTGACTAATTCAAAATACATTTCATTGGAGGATATTACAATTTCTAGAAATGTTACTGGATATAAGATAAAGAGAAAATGGAACAGAAAGGAGTTTCTGTTTTCATTCTCATTTATCAGACAATTATTAGTACCCTATATCCTTGGCACTGTGTTGGCTGTTGGGCTTATAAGGTCTCTGACTTTAGGGAGCTCAAATTTTAAAGTGAATATACACATGAAATAAGTAATCAGAGTACACTGTAGTAAAGACTAACTAGAAATATTTATAAAGTGTCATATGATTACTGAAGAGTCTGTGAAAGAGAATCAATTTTGTGGGGACTATTCGGTTTTTCAAAGGAGGTGACATCTGAGTTAAATCTTGATGAAAGTGGAGGAGTTCAACAGCTAGGCCCAGAGAGCATTTAAGGTAGTGGGAGGGATATTGCAAAAATGTTTAGAGTTATCCTGTGGCAACAGGGAACCCTGGGTGATTGTAAGCAATAAAGTGACATAATCAGTTCTGAATTTTGGGAAAAAAAACCCTCAAAATGTAGGAATACCAGTTAGTGGTCTATGATAAAAGTATGCAGCAGAAGCAGAGGTGGGGAAAGGAGAGGAAGAGATGAGTTTGAGAAAGCTTTGGTTGTAGGGCAAAAGGAGATTCCCTGTTTCCATGTAAAAAGGGTATTTTGGGTTGCCATTAAGTAAGATAGGAGACTGAGGTTGCACAGGTGTTTTGTATTTTGGTCATGTTGGCTCAGAGGTGGAAGATGCAGTTGGAGATGCTGGAAATCCTGATCTGGAGGGCAGGAGAGAGATGGTGCTGGAGTCGTGGAGATGATGCTGGAGACATGGAGATGGTGTTGGAGATGTGATCATTACCCAAATATAGCTGATGGCTGAAGCTATGGTACTGGAGGAGGCCATCCAGGGAGAATGGAGTATATAAAACTGAGAGTAGAGTTCTTAGAACATTTAAGATGGAGAAGGGAGCAAGAGAAAGTGACTGCAGGAAGGCTGAGTGGAGAGGCTTCCATGGTGTTGTCACAGTGCATGAGGGAGGATTGAGGGAGGTGACATCAGGGAGTGCTGGGAGTTGACAGGGCATTTAAATAACTTAGTGGGATTACATTATTGAAATGCCTCTGTATGGTTCTATTCCCAAGCATCATTGGAGGGCTTCTGCATGTTTATAGGGGCTGAAGTACGTGGGACGGCAAGCAGTCATGAAAAGAAAAAGAGGCTACGTGAAGTGGAATATAGTTAATGGTTAATGTTTTATTTTTGGAGTTAATGTTAAGCTTTACATTTTCTAAACTCTGTTAAACTATGTAACAGTGGTCAAAGACTTTTTTTTGTATATTCATACCACAACCTACACTATTCTTTTATAATCCCAATCTTTTACAGTAGTTATCAGCATTGTTTTTACATTGCCTTTTTTTCTTATTTTTTCCCAAGAAATCATTTTGGGGCAGGGAGAAATTCTCCATAGACTCCATGGTGCCTCTGCTGCCTGATGGATGTTAAGGATTCTGATGTCAGTCTGACAAGCTAGGCATTGCATTCTCTGTATGTTTCAAGATCACAGCTCCATGCTTATGCTTTTAAGAATACAAAAATACGAGATTCATATTTAATCTGTGATCTATTACAACCCCCAAATCTGTTTCTGTCAAACTTATATTTAAAATATATTTATTTACAGTTTCTGTTTTTCTTTCTAAATAAATTAGCCTTTCTTTATTTCTTTTTACATTGATGTGATCTGTAAATCAGTTATAGGAAATGAAGTAATTTTGACTCTAACTTTACTGGGTGTATTTCTGTCATGTATTTCTTGTTAGCTTTTCCTTCTGAGATGACAACAAATATTTTTGAAAATTACTGAATTGCAGATGGTATGAAAGGAGACCAAGAAGTCAATATTTAATGAGGATTTTGACTAGCATTGAAGCCTTTATTTCAAGAAATAAAAACTATGATTTTAGAGAACAGCAGGTTCTTTTCCCTAATCTTCATTCTTCGTTTCCATGCACATAAAATGTTATGGAAGTACAAAGGGTAGAAACTATTTTAATTTTCCTTGACAACAGCATTCAGAACATTAGCAGTGGTGAATAATGTGGGATGATGAGTTGACATTTAATTGGAGCAGAATCTGTGGTATGGATGGACAAAGAGAACCTCATAGGAGCTCTGACTTCAGAATAGACTCCACTCTGCTTGGAAAGTGCTTCCAACTGGCAGAATTGTATGAACATTATCAGTGAGAACTTCTCAGAAGAGAGTGCAGTTAAGGCATCAGATCTGGAGCTTGAGGTACTTCTACTCAAAGAGAATGAATACGGATCTGACACTAAGATCCATGGAGAATGAATATGGAACTGAAACAAAAAAACGTAGTTTTTTTTTCTCCAAATTTTCTGTACATAATTACTTCTTTTAAAATATCAGCAAATTAACCAATCTGATTTTGGGCCATTACCCAGGAGACTCTCTACAAATACATTTATTAACCTTTCTGCATCTTCAGGTTCTCAGCTACATGATCTTCATTATCCAGCATCATTCCCTAATACCTTAATGAGGTGGTGACATTTAAATTTCACCTATTTCTCTGTCTGCCTACCTTTCTTGATTCTATTCATTAAACTGGAGAGACCTAGACTAGAACACTTGGTATAGAAAAAAGAAAAATATAATTTTTCCCTTTACTGCACTCTGTCAATAGACTTGTCATTGTATTCCCTCTGTCTCAAAGGGCAGTCAGCAACAGGATGGTGATAGATGAGTCTGAGGCCTAGAAAACCAACTCCAAGCACACACCTTTGGACAAGTGGCTTGTACACAGTCTTTTGTGGAGGAAGCATTTGGTGGCTCCCGCCTATAATCCCAGCACTTTGGGAGGCTGAGGCTGGCGGATCACGAGGTCAGGAGTTCGAGACCCGCCTGGCCAACATGGTGAAATCCCGTCTCTACTAAAAATACAAAAAAATTAGTCGGGTGTGGTGGCAGTTGCCTGTAATCCCAGCTACTCAGGAGGCTGAGGCAGGAGAATCACTTGAACCCAGGAGGCAGAGGTTGCAGTGAGCCAAGACTGCACCATTGCACTCCAGCCTGGGTGACAGAGTGAGACGCAGTGTCGAAAAAGAAAAAGAAAAGAAAAGAAAATTCAGAAGCAGCTGTAAATCTATGCCATGTTTTTAGATAGGAAAAAAAGTTTTTTCCTGATCCACAGAACTTTCCTCATTCTGACCTCACTGGCGAAATAGAAAGGTGTTTAAAGATAAAATAATAAAAACCCATTTGTGGTACAGCTGAAAAATCAAAACAGAAATGGTCAGTCTTTCTCTTTATGTTTAGTTAGAATTCATGCTGATCCCTTACACCTGTTGTGACTGGCCTGATTTTTTGAATGTTAGGCATGTAGGTGAATCTAAACTCGTGTGTCTAGGCCACTGTATAAAATTAGACTAGCTAAAGATGGAAGCTACAATGGGATGATAATTGGCCTTCCTTGGTCCTTCTTGAACCCTTTGAGAAGTATATTGTATTACTTCAGGGCATCCATTCTAAACTTGTTATAACCTGCCCTCCAACAACAGTTTAAACAGTAGGAAATAAGTAAAAACACATTTACTTTGAAAAAACTCCTTATATATTTGATAGTAACACAACTATCAAATATATAACCTCTATCTTCAGTTACTATTATTAATGGCAATGCTAATAATATTTTTCAGAGTTTATTGTGGAGCAGACTCACTGCCTGTTTTTATACAGCTTGCAAGCTAAGAATTGTTTTCACAATTTTAAATGGATGAAAAAAATCAAAAGAAATAAGCAGGCAGATCACGAGGTCAGGAGATCACCTGGCTAACGCAGTGAAACCCTGTCTCTACTAAAAATACAAAAGATTAGCCTGGTGTGGTGGCGGGTGCCTGTAGTCTCAGCTACTCAGGAGGCTGAGGCAGGAGAATGGCGTGAACCTCGGAGGCCGAGCTTGTAGTGAGCCGAGATTGCGCCACTGCACTCTGGGCGACAGAGCAAGACTCGGTCTCAAAAAAAAAAAAAAAAAAAGGAATAATATTTCATGACACATAAATGTATATGAAATTCAAATTTTAGTGTCCCAGAAGTTAAGTGTTACTGGATCCCAGCCATGCCCATTCATTTATGGATTCTCTGTGGCTGGTTTTGCGCTACAACAGCAGAGTTGGGTAGTTGCTGAAAAGCTTAAAATATTTACTGTCTGGTCCTGCACAGGAAAAGTTTGCCAACCCCAGCTCAATACAGGCTTTGCAATGTTAGATCACTTAATCTTCACAATAACTCTAGGCAGTATGTGCATTTATTGTTCTCTTTCTACAGATGCGTAAACTGAGGCTTAGAAAGGATATGAATTAACCAGAGTGCATGACAGAGCTGGGAGAGTAACTCACACATGTCTGATGTGGAAGCGCTAGTCCTTCATCCTACACTAAACTGCATCTCTCATTGGCTAACAACTCAATTTGTTTCTACAATGGTGTTACTGTCTTCTACACTACTTCTTAATTCTTCCTTTCCTCATTAAATGCAATATATGTATACTATTGCACAGAAAGCTAAGAATACTACAGATCACACTTTGATAAAACTTCCTTAATTGAATCAGGAGTCTATCAAAGTCTGTAGTTGCCTGAGCTTTTGATACCACATATGTGAGAATAAAAAATAATGTGTTTCTTTCCCCATTCCATTAATACCTATTGATGAACTTCCTATAGTAAATGCTGAGCAAACTGATGTGAGTATAGATTGAAACTGAGAGGTTGAATCACAGGATAAGAATATCCTGAGTCAAATTAGCCCCTTGAATTTGTTGCCTGTAACTTTTTAAATTGAGCAGGGATGGTACTCATTTAAATGTCTCTGTTTTTAATGGTGATACTCAGCTAAAAACAAACATTAGACAATTCACAATTCACTTGTAATGGGCACATGGAGGGAGAAAGTGCTTGAGAAATGGTATCTGAATTTATAGCTCAACTTGTATGCAGAGTTGTTTGTTGTGTAGAAAAATGCAACAATTAAAAAGTCATTACATTATACATTTCTAATTGGAGCATCTCAAGATGTTCATTAAACAGCATAAAGGATCATCTGAGGCCATTGAATACCTGTAGTTGAGTGGCATAACTATCTATACACACTTTTAAGCCGTATGCTCTGTATGTTGTTAAAATATCTTCAGAGAAACTGTGAATACCTCTATCCATTGACTCATTTCTTTTTGACTAGCAAGTCTTTCAATTAGTGAAGACAGAAAACAGCTCGTCAAATTAGTTCATGTTTTTCTTAATGTATCTTTAAATTTATAGAAAAAAGTAAATATGCATGCACTTAAGTTGGATATCTGTCTTAAAGTTAGGCCTCCTTTGTTTGCAAATAACAGAAAATATCGCTAACGTGAATGAAAATGGGGAACTTTATTGTAAACAGAGATGGGATCCAGGGGTATCTCATGGAATCCAAAGGCAATTAATGTGATGGGGTATCACAAAGGACTGGGCAGGGCTGGAAATGTTTGGAAGCTAGGCAGCTATGTTTTCATCTCTTTCTCACTCTGTCAGGCCAGATGGTCTCTTGTTTCAGATTCTTTGTAGTGTCTGCTTTAAGCTTGTCTTTTCTGCTTCTCCATTTACATATTGGAATATGGCCTTCTCACAGCTCACCAGAGACTAAACAGTGTCCCAGTTCTCATTTCCTGGGAGACAGAATCTGTTTGGCTTAGCTTGGATCAGATGGCTGCTCTGGGGCCAATGAGCTGTGGCCAGGGATATAGCTCCCGTAGTTTAAACATGGCCATCAGAGACCACTCTTGGATTGAGGATAATTTTCAGGAAAAATAAATGTCAGTCCAGGCAGAGCCTCAGAAAGGTATTTATTATACTACCCTAATTGTTCATGTCAGACCAAAAATGCAGGGGCCGCTTATTAATCAGTTTTACTTTTCTTACTTAACTCGGAAAAACTTACTAAGGATATAGTTTTAGGTTTTTATATGTTCTTTTTATTTTCTACAAGTGCTAGAGCCACCCTGGAAGTTGGATGTTTGAAACTGAATGTTTGTAAAGCTCACTGATTGGCCTCCATCCAAGCCCTGTTCCGGATCACCTCTTCCCCTGGGCATCTGAGGGCCCTTTGCCTCTGCCTGGCTGACCCCAATGCTGTGTCACATGCCTGATTTTCCGTCTCCACTAGTGGGAAATTGTTAGTCTGTCCCTCTATGCTGGAGAATTTTGAAAGATGAGGAATCAGTATATTTACCTCACTTGTTAAATGTGACAGCATCAAATATATCTGAGGTGCCATTTCTCTTTACCAGCTCTGAAGAGCTTTTGCTCTCGACATCACTGGCAGCTCCTACTGCTGGAGATGATTTCCAGCAGCCTGTGTTGGGCCTCTTAGGCTTAGTTCAGTTCCTTATCTATCAGGTGGGTGCTCATGATACAGACAGGTAAGGCACTGACTTACATAATTAGGTAGGTATAATAATTAAAAAATGCCTAGGGTACTAAGGAGTGCAGAGGAAGGGCATTCAGATAAACTGCCAGGGTTGAAGGGATGCTTCTTACAAAAATCACGTTAAAGGCCAAGCCTGTGCCTCACACCTAACTGCTTTCTCAATTTGTTTGCCTCTGTCCTGCAGGACCACCTTTGCCATAAATCAGGCAGCTATATATGTGCACATCTGCTTCGGCCCTATCCACTCATCTCTTTGTGCATGGGTCAGTTCCATGATGTCTTTATTGGAACTAGATGATAAGTTTGATATCTTGATATCAAGTAATGTAAGTCTTCTAGTTTCCTTCTTTCCCTTCTTTTTTTTTTCTTCCTTCTCCTCTTGTTCTTTTTCTTCCTCCTCCTCTTATTCGTCCATTTCCCCTTCCTCTTCTCCTTCTTTTTTTCCTCTTCCTCCTTCTCTCCTTCTCTTTCTCTTTCTCTCTTTCCTTCTCCGTCTCCTCCTCCCTTCCCTTCTCCTTTTCTTATCCTCTTTCTTCTTCCCTCCTCTCCTCATCTCTTTTCCCTCTTCCTCCAGGACACCCAGCCCAAACTCTGCACAGACTTAGGGTTTTACCAAAGCTTTTGAATTTGAGCTTGTTCCACTTTCCAATCCCTTAAATGATGCATCAAAAAGCCTGGTGATTACCTGCTTAAGAATGGCATGGGGGTGGTGTAGAAAAGAAAGGGAATGAATCTAGGAAGAACAAAGACAAACTCATATTTCCATAATTATTTTGCTCTGCAGATATAAGCTGCTTGGATAGTAAAGTGCTATCCTCTCCCAGATGTATAAAGATTGAGCTTGTGAATTATATGCCTGGCAATTTTTCTAAAACACATTATTTTATGTGTTTTTTAAATAACTGACAATATTCATTGGCAAATGCAAAATTATAAATTTTGCAGTCCAGGCAGTGAACTTTCAAAGGCTGAAAAAAATAGTTGTTTTTTCCAGGAGGCTTGAAGCTTGGGATGTGCAGTTAGAGCCCAACAGCGGTGGGCCATTCATAAAGGGATGACCAGGCTTTCTAGCTCCACAGAGAGGAGAGCCCAGAAAACCTACATCACTCCAAACCTACACTCTTTCTAGAGCAATCCAGTGGACACACATTACTCCTTGAGAACTCCACAAAGCCAGGGATTGTGTGGGCTCCATCGTTACTGAGTTTCGAGCCCCAGCAAAGAGCAGGGTACAGCAGGTGCCCAACCATATTTATTAAGTGAATGAACTTGGTGTAGGTGTAAAGCAGAATTTCTTGTGTTTGAATCACTTTGAACTATAATTATTTTAACCTGAGGTTGGAGACAAGATGGTGGACTTTCTGCTTGTAGTCACTTCCCTTATATCCCAGAGCAGCAAACCCATCTAGGCTAATACAATATCATAATTCAGTTAACTTTCTTAATTTAGTTCAATCAAAAATATAAGGATTTCTCTAAGCCATAGGAGACTTTTCTTCAGAGAACACCAGTAGGATGACAAAACTCTCAAATCTCCTGGGTATATTTGTGTTTATGCAGAGTTGAAAACTTCCCAGAGCCAGCCCCTCAACCGAGATGGTCCTTTGGAGATAAGCCAGAAGTGTGAAAGTTGTTTCAATGATATTATTTGAATATGGAGAGATGTACCAATGTTATTAATATTGACCAGCCTGACCATTAACTCTGATTTTTTTTGTGATACTGAGGAATGTGCCAGCACAAAAAGTTCCCCTGGAAGAAGATAAACACCATGGCTTAATAATGTGGGAGAGAGTTGGTTTCTTAGTTTCTATTATTAAAGTCCTATTTACAGTAGGAGCAAATGGGGAGTTAGTGTTTATTGGGTACAGAGTTTCTGTTTGGGATGATGAAAAAGCTCCAGAGTTGGATGATGGTGATGGTCACACAGCAATGTGAATATACTTAATGCCACTAAACTGCACACTTAAAAGTGGTTAAAATGGGCAAATTTTATGTTATGTATATTAATCAGAAAAACAGTCCTACTTTGTAAGTTTTGGGAGGTGTCATATTTTGAAGCAGTTGTTATTATCTCCATAAAAAGATAGGTAGAGAGGAAGTTGGTAGTACCCAGGGAGCTGACTGGGACTCAAGTCTCGGATGATTCGTAGTCAGTGACTTCTCATAGGTCACCTCTGAAAGGGTCATTGCATTCAGCAATCCCTCCACTCCCTGTCCACTCCCCAAATCCCAGCAGCTCGAATGTTACATTGTGGTAAATAATGAGCCTCTGTTTCCAGACAAAACAGTTTCACAAACAGCATCCTTGTACCATTTTTAGCTGAACACATTTTATTCCTTTCTCTGTCCCCTAATGGGAAACCATCTCTGTACTGTCAAAGCATGCACTGTGCTTTCTGGAAGACTGTCACCAGTGGAGGAAGTGCTTTCCACTTGTAGCCTGTCAGATAATTTGGGATTCTTCTGCATGTGAAGTGGCATGTCTGGGAGAAAAGACCTCCTACTCAAAATAATTTTTGGTCCGATTGTCCTAGGTAGTTTTCATTTTGAGGCAGCTTTATCTCAAACATTTAATCTTGGGATGTTCTGAGGCCTCTTTGGTTCACCGAGGGAGTTTTAAAAATGGAAACTAGACTGTAATTTCTGAATTTATAAATGATTTGCTATTTTGTTAATTTTTTGTAAATTCTAAGTACAGTGTTTAAAGGTAAATATCCTAAAACTGGGAACAACTACTAAACTTAATGTTGGATTTAATTCATTTTTTCAGTGAATGGATATAAATTTATAGTTATAGTTTATAAGTAGAATAAAGTAAAGCAATGACTGGTGAAAGAATGCTAGTAAAGCTTTGGTATGCTTTAAGAAAAGGGAAAAAAACAAAGACTAGAGCAAAGCCTGTAACTTGATTTTCTAGCAAAGCCCTCACAGAAATATCAAGTTCATGTGGTCTGACAAGTAACAATGTTTTATCCATTTTGTAATTTTGCACTATGAATAAAACTATATATATGTGGTATATTTTTTGGTAGCAGAGCTGAGTCCAACTTAGCATATCGTCCTGACAGTGAAGCACCTAGATTCAGTATTTTCTTTCTGCTTGAATATCTGATTCCAAATGGCACCTGAGAGTTTTTATTTCCCTTGGTTAAAAGTTGCTAAGTGGATGGTTTCCATTTTAAGGGCACCTGAATTATTTAAAAATTAAAAAATATTAAAGGCATCAGGTGAAGATCCTTCATTCCAGTGTACTTCTGAATTTTACTGCAGAACTAGAATTCTGAATCCTGAGCTTTAGAGTCACAGTTATTTTATCTAGGAAATAACCAGACCTGTATACTAAGGAATTTCTGTCTCACGCTGGAGGCCATTGGGAAGTGTGAGTAGTTTTAGACAAGAATTTCACACTTAGGCTGTGTTTGCACCATATGCTTCTCCATCCTTTCTCCTCCCCAGTGAAATGTCTTCTCTGGTTTATCTGGTGGTAGATTTCCATGGAAGTTACTAGGTAACTGAAGAAGTATATTATTTCAATAATTTCAAAATTCAAAGAAGAAATAGGACATTCTGTTGTACAAAATAGTGCAGCTCAAGGCAACTCATCAATTGCTCCTTGCTTGCATTTGCATTGCAATTTGCATTTTACAGAGTGATTGCCTGTACACCAGCTCATTTGTTCTTAGAATTACTCTGTGAGCAAGTGCCTACTGGGTACTGAGTCCTGTGCTAGGTATCAGAAGGTATGTAAAAGAAGGTGGAGAAGAAGGCCTTTGTCCTTTTAAAATCAATTCTTGATTTTATGACGTGTTAGAGATTAGGGGTATTAATAGCAGAGAGGTTGTACAGAGAGATGAGAGAAGACCCAGACTCAGCTGGGGTGGCTGGTTTCTCTGTATTAGCTGCAGTTGGAGTGTTGGCTCCATCCACCAGTCTGCGGCTGGTTCTGCTGTAAGTCTTCATAAATGACTAGGTCTTAATGAGATTTGTTCAACTTTTGAGGATTAGTGGTACCATCCACCAAATATGAAAAAAGAGTGTAAAGTGAGTGGTTTGCCAGTTCTTAATTTTTTTCTGATTAGAAAACTAAGTGGGTATTCTGATTGCAGAATTTACTGAAAGTGCAACAAAGAAGAAAATAAAAATTATTTGTAACTGGGACCAGATCAAGATATTCAAGGTCGTGAAGCAATGGGTAGAATATAGTGCCCTCAACCCACATTTGTATTTCATAATGAAAACTGTACTAAATTGCATAGTAAATGTAAAGAAGTATAACTGTGATATGATTTTGTACATGATGACTAATTCATTGCTTTTAGTTTTTTTAATTTTGAAGTTCTTTCAGAAAAAAAAAATACTGCCTCTGCTCTGCTGGTGCCCTGGCCACCTACTGAGTAATCAAGTACTGCCTCTCCCTCCCACAATCCAAAGACAATCACTCTTCCTATTTTGGTTTATATACTTCTAGGGCTTTCTTATATAGATGAAAATAAATTTTGTAATTAAATTAGAGTACTGAACATGAAGTTTTTTTAAATCTTGATTTTTCACTTGCCATACCATGAAAACATTCTCATGCCTTTAAGAAATCTTTGAAGACATTTTCAATGGCTGAACCATGGTTATAGTTAACCAGTCTCCACGTGTTTCTAGTTTCATGTGCTTAAATAAGGTTTTATGAACAGCCTGCTGCATACGTCTTTTAATCCATTTCTGATTTTTATTTTTGTTCGTCACTTGGATCTGTTTTGTATGCCTGCTGGCAAGTCTGTCTCTTGGTACCTTTGACAATCCAAAGTAGTATGATTTTAACAAGGAATAAAAAACTTGTCTCACTTGATAGAAAATAGTATCTTGTTTTATTTTATACTTTTTTGGTTAGTACTGGGATACATTTTCAAAATATATGTAGTGACCACTTAAAAATGTCTCTGTTTGTGTCCAACTGAACATTTTTTTCTCATGATACCAAAATTTTTATAAGCTCTATCTCTATATTAAGGATATCAAATAATTTATTTTTGTTGGGAAAATTTTTTCTCTGTTTTTCTTTGCCTTTTAATGTTATGGCATATTTGATATAGAAAGATTTAAATTAATATAGCTAAGCTTATTAATATATTCTTTTCAATTTGTTCATTATGTAGAAAGCCTTTTCCCATCCTGAGATCTAATATTCAAGCAGATTTTTTTTCTAGGTTTACAAAAATTTTTTTCTTTCCTCTTTTCCATCTTTTTAACTTCTTGTATATTCTTTGATTTGTAATTGTTTTCTGTTTTACACAAAGTATTATTTACTTTCATTTATGAGATATTTAACATCATTGAATTTGTTCATTTCTTGAGTTTGGGAAATGAAAAAGGATGGTGTAAAAAAATCAACCAAAAATCGTTATGATTCTGTATTCTTTATTAATATTCTAAAATATCCTATACATTGGAGCAGATGTGAACTTCCCAACCACTCCTTTAGTATTCCCTCTCCCTATTTATTTCCTTTGCATTCTTGTCCTTCTTCGCCTCTTGTCTTCTCTCAGTTATCATTTGATAAACACGAAATCTATTCTTTGTCTCCTCAGCTAAGCAGGTATGAAGATCTTGGTCACAGAGAAGCCAAATTAGGAAGTTTGATTACTCTGTACATAATATGCCTTTCTGACTGAGAGAAATTGCTGACTTTTGTAGACATTAGAAATACTTCCTATTCAGCTCCATTTATTTCTCTATGAGAGAGATTTTTAATGGAATGGCTTATAATTATTTTTAAAGTGCCATGAAGAAATAGAGTGAAAGTTTTTTAAAGCTAGAATAGTGCAGAGAGAAATTCAATTCCTTATTTTGAAATTAATTGATAGACTTTCCAGCAGTCATCAGTATCTCTGAAGAGTACTTTAGTTTCATTAGCTTCACCCCTCTACAATATCTATCAGAAAGATAGGAATTTTGCAGATGGCATTGGGCCATGCTTCATTTCTGGTCAAATCACACCATAATGATGCCACTTATTCATCCATAAAAGCTTGTGGAAGTGCACTGAACATCTGCACATAATGCAACCATTCATGCAAAGAAAGCCACAGACCCCGTTTATCACAAGGGATCTGGGAGCTCTCTCTTCCTGCTCAGTCAGCCTCAGAAGTTTCAACTGCCCTGGGAGAGAAGTGCCAACAGCCCATTAGCCTAATGAGCCAATCCATAGAAACATGCTCTTTCTGCCCTCATGGGTGCCTGGCCAGAGCTGGGGCATAGCCAGCATGCATTTAGCTCTTCTGGAGCCTGAACAGCAGCATCCTTCTTTAACCCCCTACTCTCGAATCACTGCTTGGACATGTGGCTTCCTATGGTAATGTTTACCCTTAACCACATGGTCTTCATAATCTTTAGCCAAAATAAATTTGAATTTTTTGAAATTATAGTCATTCCTTTAGCTGATATTTTTACAGAAGTACCAGTTTAAGAAAAAACATAATAATAGTTTCCTATTTTCAGTCATTGTAAATATTCGTTCATTTAAACAATTAATAGATTTTTATTGAGCAGTTACTGTGTGGCAGGTACTATGGATATAGCAGTGAGCAAGAAGGAAGCCTTTTTATATCTTTCAGCTTAATTCAAGTACAACAAATGAGTGTGGACTAATCCTTTGAGAACTTTTCTGTATTCCCCGAGAACAACTCAGCTTTCACCTGTTCATAGTTATAGCATAATTTAGATCCTAGCCTGAAGAAAACTCTAGAAATCTGAGCAGTCTTACTCTGACAGTTGTCTTCCTGCTTCTTTGCCTTTAATTGATTTCTTGTTTCCTTAGCAGAAATGAATTTTATATTTATCCATGACATATCCTCAATTCAGGTTTGCTGTAAATAAAGGTGGCACAAAGGGCAGGCAGCTCCAGCTCTGGGGCAAGTCCAAATGCAAGTGTGTTCATTTTCTATCACTGCCATAGCAAATTACCACATACTTAGTGACTTGAAACAATGCAAATTTGTTATTTCACGGTTCTTCAGGTCAGAAGTCTGAGTGGGCTTAGATGGTTTCTCTTTACTGGGTCTCAAGAGACAGAAATCAAAGTGTCAGATGGCCTGAGCTCTTCTCTGCAGGCGCTAGGGGAGAATCCACTTCTAAGCTTGTTCAGCTTAATTCTAAGCAGAATTAAGTTCCCTGTGGTTGTAGGACTCAGGTCCCTGTTTCCTTGCTGCCTATAAGCCAGGACCCTCTCTCAGCTCCTGAAGGCCACCTGCATTTCTTATCACATTGCCCCCCCCATCCTCAACAGCAATGTCACATTGCTGAGAACATTATACTTTAAATCTCTTTAACTTTCCTTTCTGCTGCATCTCTCTGGCTCCAGCTAGAGAAAATTCTCTTAAGAGCTCCTGTGATTAGGCTGGGTTCACCTGGATCACCCAGGATAACCTCCCAATTTTAAGATACATAACCATCATTCCATTTGCAAAGTCCCTTTTGCCATATAACATAACATATTCCAGGGATTAGGATATGGACAGCTTTGGGAAGCCATTTTGCCTTCCACAGCTTTCATAGACCTCCTCACAAGAGCTATTTCCAGACTCTTCAAATCCTTACTACAACCCTATGAGACAGGTACTATTAATTAGTAGCCCTATTTTATAAGTGAAGAAACTAAATCCCAGAGGGCAAGGTATATTTTCAAAGCCTTGTGGCTGATATTTTTGGCACTGGGATTTGAATTCAGTCTGTCTCCAAAGGTACTATGCTTCATCTGTGAAAAAATGTTAGCATAAAATATTGTTGACTGGTGGAATGTCTGTCCACTGACATGAATAATTTGGTGGGTTAAATTTCATCAGAATGCTTAGGGATCCCCAAAAAGCTATGACAGATAAGTACATATATATATATCTTATTGAATCATTTCTGTGTCCAAAATTTACATGCCTATTTTTTTCAATTTTCAAGCAAACCAATTAATACAATTTAAAATGTTATTGCGAAGTAAATGCCAATGCCTTATCACTCATGTAACTGACATTTCAATCTGTAAGTAAAATTTCATATCAGCACTCCTTGAATTACAATACATGTTGGGGACCTTCTCTCCTGACTTCTCAACTAATGTAGGAATCTCCTATGCAGTATTTTGGCTTCCCAATATCCTCCAGCTTGAGTTTTCTCTTACTACTAGAATAATAACAGAGTCACAGAATTTACTATTTTGCAAGGTAACTATTTTTAACTGGTGAATAGCTTCAATACTTGTGGGTTCCTTCATTAAACAAAAATTTTGCTTCTGCCATTTTCTACCACTGAAATGTATTATAAAGCTGAGCATGTATTTTCCCATTAGAAAAGTAAGTTGGACAAATATATCCAAATGTTTTGCTAAATACCAATGAGAGCCTTCATGAATTCCACCCAGAGTTAAGTTCAATGAGGTAGGGATGTTGTCTTGTATACCTGACACCTAGGACCAGACATATGGCAAATGCTAAATAAATATTTATTGAATGAATGAAGCCATGAATGAACTTAGATTTTCCATATATACAAAGGGCATGTAATCCCAGCACTTTAGGAGGCCGAGGCGGGCGGATCATGAGGTCAGGAGTTTGAGACCTGCCTGGCCAACATGGTGAAACCCCGTCTCTACTAAAAATACAAAAATTAGCTGGGTGTGGTCGTGGGCACCTGTAATCCCAGCTGCTCGAGAGGCTGAGGCAGGAGAATTGCTTGAACCCGGGAGCTGGAAGTTGCAGTGAGCCTAGATTGCACCACTGCACTCCAGCCTGGGTTACAGAGCAAGACTCTGTCTCGAAAAAATAAATAAATGAAATAAATAAATAAAAATTAAAAAAAGGGCAGTCATATTCAAAGTTCTGTTTAAGAAATGGCCAAATCCATTTTAATTGGACATAGATTGGATGGATTATATGGTATCGTAAATCATCATAGTATTCTTTATTTGAAAGTGAGAAAAGAAAATGCATATTTTCTGTTTTTCACAAGAGCAAATTACTATTGAATAAATTGTCAATGAAATAAAATTACAGCAGAGGGGAAGATTCATTAATGCCATTTCCCATCTTTGTGGAAATAAGTGCTCTCCATGGCTGATGGAACATTACAAAGAGTATCATGCACATTTAATTTCTTCATATTTTTTGTATATAAATAATTGTCTATTTAATATGATTACTTCTTCTGAAATACCCACATTTAAGAGAAGAATATTAAAACTTTACATTTATAAATTTTAAGGTAAAAATCTCAAAAACAAACTTTAGTGTTAAGATTCTGCAGTGACTTTAGCACAAACTTTTGAAATCCTAGGGTACTAGATTAGTACAAAAGGAAAAACTTGCACAATTGTGCTAAATAAGAATTTCTTGAGTGGCAGCCAAGGTGGCCGAATAGGAACAGCTCCGGTCTACAGCTCCCAGCCTGAGTGATGCAAAAGACAGGTGATTTCTGCATTTCCGTCTGAGCTTTGAAGAGAGCAGTGCTTCTCCCAGCATGCAGCTGGAGATCTGAGAACGGGCAGACTGCCTCCTCAAGTGGGTCCCTGACCCCTGATCCCTGAGCAGCCTAACTGGGAGGCACCCCCCAGTAGGGGCAGACTGACACCTCACACGGCCGGGTACTCCTCTGAGACAAAACTTCCAGAGGAACAATCAGACAGCAGCATTCGCGGTTCATGAAAATCTGCTGTTCTGCAGCCACAGCTGCTGATACCCAGGCACACAGGGTCTGGAGTGGACCTCTAGCAAACTCCAACAGACCTGCAGCTGAGGGTCCTGTGTGTTAGAAGGAAAACTAACAAACAGAAAGGACATCCACACCAAAAACCCATCTGTACATCACCATCATCAAAGTAGATAAAACCACAAAGATGGGGAAAAAACAGAGCAGAAAAACTGGAAACTCTAAAAAGCAGAGTGCCTCTCCTCCTCCAAAGGAACACAGTTCCTCACCAGCAACGAAACAAAGCTGGACGGAGAATGACTTTGACGAGTTGAGAGAAGAAGGCTTCAGACGATCAAACTACTCCGAGCTACAGGAGGAAATTCAAACCAAAGGCAAAGAAGTTAAAAACTTTGAAAAAAATTTAGATGAATGTATAACTAGAATAACCAATACAGAGAAGTGCTTAAAGGAGCTGATGGAGCTGAAAGCCAAGGCTCGAGAACTACGTGAAGAATGCAGAAGCCTCAGCAGCTGATGCGATCAACTGGAAGAAAGGGTATCAGTGATGGAAGATGAAATGAATGAAATGAAGCAAGAAGGGAAGTTTAGAGAAAAAAGAATAAAAAGAAACAAACAAAGCCTCCAAGAAATATGGGACTATGTGAAAAGATCAAATCTACGTCTGATTGGTGTACCTGAAAGTGACTGGGAGAATGGAACCAAGTTGGAAAACACTCTGCAGGATATTATCCAGGAGAACTTCCCCCATCTAGCAAGGCAGGCCAACATTCAGATTCAGGAAATACAGAGAACGCCACAAAGATACTCCTCGAGAAGAGCAACTCCAAGACACATAACTGTCAGATTCACCAAAGTTGAAATGAAGGAAAAAATGTTAAGGGCAGCCAGAGAGAAATGTCAGGTTACCCACAAAGGGAAGCCCATCAGACTAACAGTGGATCTCTCAGCAGAAACTCTACAAGCCGGAAGAGAGTGGGGGCCAATATTCAACATTCTTAAAGAAAAGAATTTTCAACCCAGAATTTCATATCCAGCCAAGCTAAGCTTCATAACTGAAGGAGAAAGAAAATCCTTTACAGACAAGCAAATGCTGAGAGATTTTGTCACCACCAGGCCTGCCCTAAAACAGCTCCTGAAGGAAGTACTAAACATGGAAAGGAACAACCGGTACCAGCCACTGCAAAATCATACCAAATTGTAAAGACCATCAAGGCTAGGAAGAAACTGCATCAACTAACGAGCAAAATAACCAGCTAACATCATAATGACAGGATCAAATTCACACACAACAATATTAACTTTAAATGTAAATGGACTAAATGCTCCAATTAAAAGACACAGACTGGCAAATTGGATAAAGAGTCAAGACCCATCAGTGTGCTGTATTCAGGAAACCCATCTCACGTGCAGAGACACACATAGGCTCAAAATAAAAGGATGGAGGAAGATCTACCAAGCAAATGGAAAACAAAAAAAGGCAGGGGTTGCAATCCTATTCTCTGATAAAACAGACTTTAAACCAACAAAGATCAAAAGAGACAAAGAAGGCCATTACATAATGGTAAAGGGATCAATTCAACAAGAAGAGCTAACTATCCTAAATATATATGCACCCAATACAGGAGCACCCAGATTCATAAAGCAAGTCCTGAGTGACCTACAAAGAGACTTAGACTCCCACACAATAATAATGGGAGACTTTAACACCCCACTGTCAACATTAGACAGATCAACGAGACAGAAAGTTAACAAGGATACCCAGGAATTGAACTCAGCTCTGCACCAAGTGGACCTAATAGACATCTAAAGAACTCTCCACCCCAAATCAACAGAATATACATTTTTTTCAGCACCACACCACACCTATTCCAAAATTGACCACATACTTGGAAGTAAAGCTGTCCTCAGCAAATGTAAAAGATCAGAAATTATAACAAACTATCTCTCAGACCACAGTGCAATCCAACTAGAACTCAGGATTCAGAAACTCACTCAAAACCACTCAACTACATGGAAACTGAACAACCTGCTCCTGAATGACTACTGGATACATAAGGAAATGAAGGCAGAAATAAAGATGTTCTTTGAAACCAATGAGAACAAAGACACAACAGACCAGAATCTCTGGGACACATTCAAAGCAGTGTGTAGAGGGAAATTTATAGCACTATATGCCCACAAGAGAAAGCAGGAAAGATCCAAAATTGACACCCTAACATCACAATTAAAAGAACTAGAAAAGCAAGAGCAAACACATTCAAAAGCTAGCAGAAGGCAAGAAATACCTAAAATCAGCTCTTCCGGTTCTAGGCACTTCGGGAGCCGCGGCTTATGGTGCAGACATGGCCAAGTCCAAGAACCACACCACACACAACCAGTCCCGAAAATGGCACAGAAATGGTATCAAGAAACCCCGATCACAAAGATACGAATCTCTTAAGGGGGTGGACCCCAAGTTCCTGAGGAACATGCGCTTTGCCAAGAAGCACAACAAAAAGGGCCTAAAGAAGATGCAGGCCAACAATGCCAAGGCCATGAGTGCACGTGCCGAGGCTATCAAGGCCCTCGTAAAGCCCAAGGAGGTTAAGCCCAAGATCCCAAAGGGAGTCAGCTGCAAGCTCGATCGACATGCCTACGTTGCCCACCCCAAGCTTGGGAAGCGTGCTCTTGCCCGTATTGCCAAGGGGCTCAGGCTGTGCCGGCCAAAGGCCAAGGCCAAGGCCAAGGATCAAACCAAGGCCCAGGCTGCAGCTCCAGCTTCAGTTCCAGCTCAGGCTCCCAAAGGTACCCAGGCCCCTACAAAGGCTTCAGAGTAGATATCTCTGCCAACATGAGGACAGAAGGACTGGTGCGACCCCCCACCCCCACCCCTGGGCTATCATCTGCATGGGGCTGGGGTCCTCCTGTGCTATTTGTACAAATAAACCTGAGGCAGGAAAAAAAAAAAAAAGAAATACCTAAAATCAGAGCAGAACTGAAGGAAATAGAGACCCAAAAAAACCCTTCAGAAAATTAATGAATCCAGGAGCTGGTTTTTTGAAAGGATCAACAAAATTGATAGACCACTAGCAAGACTAATAAAGAAGAAAAGAGAGAAGAATCAAATAGACACAATAAAAAATGATAAAGGGGATATCACCACCGATCCCACAGAAATACAAACTACCATCAGAGAATACTACAAACACCTCTACGCAAATAAACTAGAAAATCTAGAAGAAATGGATAAATTCCTCGACACATATACCCTCCCAAGACTAAACCAGGAAGAAGTTGAATCTCTGAATAGACCAATAACAGGCTCTGAAATTGTGGCAATAATCAATAGCTTACCAACCAAAAAGAGTCCAGGACCAGATGGATTCACAGCCGAATTCTACCAGAGGTACAAGGAGGAACTGGTACCATTCCTTCTGAAACTATTCCAATCAATAGAAAAAGAGGGAATCCTCCCTAACTCATTTTACGAGGCCAGCATCATCCTGATACCAAAGCCTGGCAGAGATACAACCAAAAAAGAGAATTTTAGACCAATATCCTTGATGAACATTGATGCAAAAATCCTCAATAAAATACTGGCAAACGGAATCCAGCAGCACATCAAAAAGCTTATCTACCATGATCAAGGGGGCTTCATCCCTGTGATGCAAGGCTGGTTCAATATATGCAAATCAATAAATGTAATCCAGCATATAAACAGAACCAAAGACAAAACCACATGATTATCTCAATAGATGCAGAAAAGGCCTTTGACAAAATTCAACAACGCTTCATGCTAAAAGCTCTCAATAAATTAGGCATTGATGGGACATATCTCAAAATAATAAGAGCTATCTATGACAAACCCACGGCCAATATCATACTGAATGGGCAAAAACTGGAAGCATTCCCTTTGAAAACTGGCACAAGACAGGGATTCCCTCTCTCACCACTCCTATTCAACATAGTGTTGGAAGTTCTGTCCAGGGCAATTAGGTAGGAGAAGGAAATAAAGGGTATTCGATTAGGAAAAGAGGAAGTCAAATTGTCCCTGTTTGCAGATGACATGATAGTATATCTAGAAAACCCCATTGTCTCAGCTCAAAATCTCCTTAAGCTGATAAGCAACTTCAGCTAAGTCTCAGGATACAAAATCAATGTACAAAAATCACAAGCATTCTTATACACCAGTAACAGACAAACAGAGAGCCAAATCATGAGTGAACTCCCATTCACAATTGCTTCAAAGAGAATAAAATACCTAGGAATCCAACTTACAGGGGACATGAATGACCTCTTCAAGGAGAACTACAAACCACTGCTCAATGAAATAAAAGAGGATACAAACAAATGGAAGAACATTCCATGCTCATCGGTAGGAAGAATCAATATTGTGAAAATGGCCATACTGCCCAAGGTAATTTATAGATTCAATGCCATCCCCATCAAGCTACCAATGACTTTCTTCACAGAATTGGAAAAAACTATTTTAAAGTTCATATGGAACCAAAAAAGAGCCTGCATCGCCAAGTCAATCCTAAGCCAAAAGAACAAAGCTGGAGGCATCACACTACCTGACTTCAAACTATACTTCAAGGCTACAGTAACCAAAACAGCATGGTACTTGTTTCAAAATAGAGATATAGATCAATGGAACAGAGCAGAGCCCTCAGAAATAACGCCACATATCTACAACTATCTGATCTTTGACAAACCTGACAAAAACAAGCAATGGGGAAAGGATTCCCCATTTAATAAATGGTGCTGGGAAAACTGGCTAGCCATATGTAGAAAGCTGAAACTGGATCCCTTCCTTACACCTTATACAAAAAGTAATTCAAGATGGATTAAAGACTTAAACGTCAGATCTAAAACCATAAAAATCCTAGAAGAAAACCCAGGCATTACCATTCAGGACATAGGCATGGGCAAGGACTTCATGTCTAAAACACCAAAAGCAATGGCAACAAAAGCCAAAATTGACAAATGGGATCTAATTAAACTAAAGAGCTTCTGCACAGCAAAAGAAACTACCATCAGAGTGAACAGGCAACCTACAAAATGGAAGAAAATTTTCACATCCTACTTATCTGACAAAGGGCTAATATCCAGAATGTACAATGAACTCAAACAAATTTACAAGAAAAAAACAAACAACCCCATCAAAAAGTGGGCGAAGGATATGAACAGACGCTTCTCAAAAGAAGACATTTATGCAGCCAAAAAACATATGAAAAAATGCTCACTATCACTGGCCATCAGAGAAATGCAAATCAAAACCACAATGAGATACCATCTCACACCAGTTAGAATGGCAATCATTAAAAAGTCAGGAAACAACAGGTGCTGGAGAGGATGTGGAGAAATAGGAACACTTTTACACTGTTGGTGGGACTGTAAACTAGTTCAACCATTGTGGAAGTCAGTGTGGCGATTCCTCAGGGATCTAGAACTAGAAATACCATTTGACCCAGCCATCCCATTACTGGGTATATACCCAAAGGACTATAAATCATGCTGCTATAAAGACACATGCACACGTATGTTTATTGCGGCACTATTCACAATAGCAAAGACTTGGAACCAACCCAAATGTCCAACATTGATAGACTGGATTAAGAAAATGTGGCACATATACACCATGGAATACTATGCAGCCATAAAAAATGAAGAGTTTGTGTCCTTTGTAGGGACATGGATGAAATTGGAAATCATCATTCTCAGCATACTATCGCAAGGACAAAAAACCAAACACCGCATGTTCTCACTCATAGGTGGGAACTGAACAATGAGAACACATGGACACAGGAAGGGGAACGTCAAACTCTGGGGATTGTTGTGGGGTAGGGGGAGGGGGAGGGATAGCATTAGGAGATATACCTAATGTTAAATGACGAGTTAATGGGTGCAGCACACCAGCATGGCACATGTATACATATGTAACTAACCTGCACATTGTGCACATGTACCCTAAAACTTAAAGTATAATAATAATAATAAAATTTAAAAAAAGAAGATAAAAAAAGAATTTCTTTCTTTCTAGTTTAAATAATAATTTTTTCAAGGTCATATCGACCCTTTCTCAGGTGACTGTTTGCTATCAGAGATAATTTTCAGACATATGCAAAAACTTAACCTTTTTAATGATATGAGAATTTCTAACCTGTCTGGAAGAAAAGGCATAAGAGATCAGTAAAAGTGGAATTATTAAAAAGAAACCCAACATTATTTTTGAGAATTAAAAAAATTGACAATCATTCATAGAACTCCAACCATGCTATTATCAGATCAGTTTTATATTATTTCAGTTATATGTGCATTCTCAAGGGTTACTTCACCTCTTTACACCTCCCTGTGGCTATGAAGTCAGTCTTATGCAGTATTGTTATCTCTGCACACAATATCTAGATTGTGCTCAGTAAATCAAATAGCATATACATATATTGCACTACTTATTTAGGAGGAAACAGAATAATGAATGAACTGACAATAAGTGTGTCTTAAATTACATCCAGAAAGGTTTAGTTATAAAATATCATTGAAATCTCAGGATAAAATAGTTCAGGATATGTGGGCTCTCAAGGCTCCAGCATGTCAGAATTTCTTTTGCTGTGGCATGGCTGAGTCCTCATGTGTACAGGCTTAGGACTGTCTGAAGAGGTTAAGATAACTCTTCCAGCAAATCCAAAATAATGAAAGAGGATTGTTTATGAGATTCTATAAACATAGTTAACTCTGTAGTTACCAGGATAACATCATGGAATGCATAAGTCTAGGTGCAGCAGGTTCTGGTTGGTTCTGGTCCTGGTTCCCATGGCAACCTGCCGGCTGTGGTCTTCGGATGGGTCACATCAATGATGCATGGTGAGCTAGGTAGGTTGTCCTTATTGAGGTCTGGGCACTAATGTGCCCTTTGAGGGGCATTTCTGGATATAAGCTAAGAGTGTGCTGTTCAGATGTTGAGGGAGAATAATGGAAAGAGAAAGTTTAAATTATAATTCAGTTTTCTCATCGGTAAATGGAGATCATCCCAGTTCCTGTTACAAACATGAGGTTGTTCTGAAGATAACATGACTTAATATATGTGAAGGTTTAAAGTTACATTTCATACCTAATTTTATATTAATGATTTTACATTTTTTTTTAAAAGAGAGCACTCAAAATTATATAAAGCTTCAGATCTCACAGAACATGGATCTGCCCTTCCTGGCAGAGAGAAATGAGGAAAGCAAAATCAAAAAGAAAGCAGAGTTACTGCTCACATGAGGGAGATGAGGTAAGAGGAGAGATTCAGAACTGGTTCAGTCTCAGTATCCTTATTCATGAAGTAGGGATAGTGATATCTTGGCTATCCTTATTTTGTGATATAGTGATATCTCAACAGGGATATTGTAAGACTCAAATGCAAAATGCAAGTGAAAGTAACTTACCAATGTAAGTCACTAAGATATTGTTATTATTTATCAGTCTTTGTATGGAGGTCCTGTATTTTGCAAATTCAGTAATTAATCTGGATAAATATGCACCAGGCCACCTTCAATTTGTTAAATTTTTACTAAGCTTATATTTCTTCTTGGAAGTTGATGATTGCACAGGATGATTTAGGTGTCTGAGAGTGCTCTTTTGAAGTTTTCATTTTTATTCATTTCAAATCCTGAAATTGAGTAATCTCTAAATGTTCTTATGGAGAAATATCCACAAAAACGTTTGGGGTTACATTTAATATCCAGAATGTCTGTTTTATCACTGAGAGTTTTAGTGATGACTGAAAGTGCTAAGTTAAATTGTGTATATTTTGCTTATTGTCTGAAACTTAAATCCTATGTAAACAATGTACTAACCATTGTTTTGGAAAACAAAGTTCTAATCCTACTAGATTCTGTCCTACCATCACCTAAAATTCAGAAAAACTCAGTTTAAAATTTATTCAACAATCTTGTTTTCAATTTTTTTATTTTTTATTTTTTAAAAACAGGGTCTCATGCTGTAGCCCAGGCTGGAATGCAGCAGCCTGATCATAGCTCACTGCAGCCTCAAACTTCTGGGTTCAAGTGATCCTCCCACTTGAGCCTCCTGAGTAGCTGAGACTACAGGTCCATGCCACCAAGCCTGGCTCATTTTTTAATTTCCTTGTAGAGATGAAGTCTTGATATTTTTCCTGGGCTGGCCTCAAGTGATCCTCCCGCCTTGGCCTCTCAAAGTGCTGAGGAATACAGGCAAGCCAATATCGTACCTGGCCTCAACAAATACTTATTGAGTGTCTGTTAGGTGCTAGAGATAGATCTAGTTGCTGGTCATACAAAATCAAATAAGGGAATATACAGTCTCAGGCAGAGAAACAGACAAACACATAAAAACACATGCCTACAACATGGTGGATGTCATGACAGAGGTATTTAGTCACAGGCATGCTAGGATATGAAAAGGAAAAGGTTATCTCAGTTAGACTCGTCATTCTGAGAAGAGTTTCCAGAGGAGGTCTTACAGAAAGACAATGTGATGTATAGCTAGAAGAAAGCAAGAAGAGGAGAAAAGGTATGGAGGAGTGGAACTGCCTGATGTGTTCAGAGGTCCCCTGGTAGTATGGTCCCTATGCGTGTGTGCCTGCTCACATGCATACAGGTTGTGGAGAAGAGAGAAAACTGGCCAAGTCACAAGGAAGCCTTCAGTGTGACACTTAGGAGCTTGACCATTACTCTAGAAATTGTGGGGGCCATTGAACAGCATTGTCCCTGTTTCTTTCAATGAAACCACTGTTCTCCCAGTCATGTAGACTTGAAACCATAGTGTCTTCTTTATTTATTTTTTCTCTGATGTTACCCAAACTGTTTAATAACTACCCTTTTAATTCATCCTTTAGGGTGACTCTAGACATTCCCTATTCTTCCTAGTCTTATGATTTTGCCCAATTTTAGTCTCATCTTCTCCATGCTGAAACCACAGCTGTGTTTCCCTGAATGTTCTCCTTCCCTCCTTCTCTCCTGTCCTCCACCCTGTTCTCCCCCTCCTTGAGAAGTTAACCTACTTAAACCACTTTAGCATCAGAAACTTTTAGCAGCTTTCTGTTACTCACAGTATTTCCCCCCAATACAATAAATAAGTATGCATTTGGATTGGAATGCTTCCTTTGGCTATCCAAGTCCATGATCTAGCACTAACCAATTACCTGACCCACCGTCTGATACAGCCAAACTGGTTTCTGCTGATCCTCCAGCTCCTCTATGAATCCTCCTCTGTGCCTCCTTCCCATAGGATCACTTCTTCCTCTGAATTTCACTTACTGCTTCTACAACTTACATCCCAGCCTACCTTGGCACATAGATGCTGCCTAGAATTGTTAATTATTTTTGTTAATTATATAAGTTTATAACTTAGAATTATATTTGATTTTATAATTTTACAATTATAATTACAATTGATTTATTCAAATAAATTTTGAGCTCCCTGAGGGAAAAATCTATGAGATAATATGTCAAGTACTTAGCATAATCCATGATGCATAGTAGATTAAGTTAGAATTATTGCTATTATCATTTTTTGGTTTGTTTTTAGGATATTGCTTCTTTGCATTCATAAAGTATCTAGTAAAATAGATCCTCAAAAAGACATGCCTTCCTAATTGAGTGGCATAATCATCATTACTACAAATGTCTGAAAAAATGTCGAGAGTAATGATAAGAAGGCTTTCTCCTGCAGTGTTAAACTTTAAAAAGTATCTGATTTGGCCAGGTGTGGTGGCACATACCTGTAATCCCAGCACGTTGGGAAGCCAAGGGGAGAGGATTGTTTGAGACCAGGTGTTCAAGATCAGCCTGGACAACATGATGAGACCCCATCTCTACAAAAAATTTTTAAAAATTATCTGGGCATGGTGATGCATACCTGTAGTCCTAGCTATTTGGGAGGCTGAGGCAGGAAGATCACTTGAGCCTAGGGGTTGGAAGCTATAGTAAACTGTGACCACGCTACTGCACTCCAGTCTGGGTGATAGAGCAAGACTCTGTCTCTAAAAATAACTAAATTAAAAATAAATAAATAAAGTGTGTGATTCCAGGCATGCTTTTAGATCTTTCTATTCTTAAAGTATATCCTCTTATCATTAAAAAATTGACATTTAATGCAAAAATTTCCAAGTATGTAAAGTACACACAATAAAAAGTAAATGTCCTTCCATACACACCCCCCTGAATTCACTCCCAGAAGTAGCTCATGAGATGAGTAGTTCTTTAACCACTTGTTAACATGTATGTGAATATGTTACATGCATGTTACACACATGCTACATGTGTGTAAATGTTAATAACTTTAGACTACAAATTATAAAGAAATATGTTCACCATTTTCTTAATTTTTCAGAAAACATGTTATATATTAATAAATGTATTTATTCAGTGTTTATTAATTTGACAACACATGTTGTTTTTTTTTTTTACCACTGTCTTAATTCATTTTCTGTTGCTTATAACAATACTTGAAATTGGGTAGTTTGTAAAGAAAAGGAATTTATCTCTTGTAATTATGGAGGCTGAGCAGTCAAATGCCAAGACACTGCATCTGATGAAGGCCTTCTTGCTGAAGCGGGGACTCTCTACACACGGTGGGGGAGCTGAGGTCACTCTCCTCTTAGAAAGTCACTGGTGCCACTCCTGTGATAACCTCTTAATCCGCTATTCATGACCCAGTCACCTCTTAAAGACCCCCACCTTTCAATACTGTCACATTGGGAATTAAATTTTAACATGAGTTTTGGAGGGGAGAAATATTCAAACCACAGCAACCACCTACTATGTGCCGGACATTGTGCTAGGCAATGGAGGGCATGTGGTCTTCCACCAAGCTGTAATCCCCATGGTTGTAGTGACTTCAGGGGTGCACTCTTTATTATGTGATGGCTCATGTTCCAAGCATACCCCTGAGTTCAATCATTGTAAACTGGAGTTTATCCTTTCAAAGAAAGTAAACTGGATTTCACTTACCTTATCAATCCACTCATTCATAAAATTTTATAATATGCTCATTATTCTTTATCTGATTTATTAGAATTTTTTTGCTGTGTAACACATGACCACAAATTTGAAACAAACACCCATTTATTATCTCACATTTCTGTGGGTCAGGAGTCCAGGTATGGGCTAATTGGGTCCTCTGCTCAGGTTGGGCTGCAGTTCTTACATCTGGAGCTCAGGGTCTTCTTGGCTCATGTTGGAGAATTCAGTTTTAGGTTGAGCTGCAGTTCTTGTCTGCAGGTGGGGCTGCATTTCTTTTCTGGAGCTTCAGGTCTTCTTCTCAGCTCATGTTGGAGAATTCGGTTCCTTGCAGCCATACGACTCACATCCCATTTTTCTTGCTAGCTGTTGGCGGGGGGCTACTTCCAGCAATTGGAGACCAACTCTAGTTCCTGTGGTCTCCATAGGCCCTTTCAACACATGGATATTTGCTCTTTCCAGGACCAGTGCATATCTCTGACTTTTAATCCTCCTCTGGTCAGCTACAACAGAGTCTTCTATAATCGTAAGCTAGATAAATGTTTGAGATGATGTATATCCCAATTACCCTGATTTGATCACTAGACATTGTATACATGTATCAAAATATCATATGTGCCCCCAAAATATGTACAACTGTTATATACCAATAAAATAATTTTTAAGTAGTACACAGCAAAAAAGAAAAAAAAAAAGCAGCGACTATCACATTGTATTTATAGGCTCCACCTGCCTGCAAGGGAAGAAGATTATGTAGGGTGTGCACAGCAGGGGGCTTGAATTTGGAGGAGCAACTGAGAAATCTGCCTACCATGCCCATGCATGACATTGATATGTTGGGGTCAATATTTAAATTAATTTCAGGTTTGATGTTTACAAACAGTGCAGAAGCTGGACTCTGAGGAAGTTCGTAATAAAAGTTACAGCATGTGGCTGCCATCACTCACAGAATATTGGGCTAGACGGTCCATGGGCCTGACCTTATGGAGCCATTTAATAATATTCTTGCTGAAATAGCCCAAGAATGAAAATTTAGCTCACAATTCAGGATAAGAGAACCTTTTCTGGAATTTACTTAGAAAAACAGAATTTTAACCTATATTTAATGCTAGTGACAGACCAGATTAGACCTAAGCAGATGGTCAGTGACAACTGCAGATGGCAACAGCCTCTGTTTAAAAGTCTATCCATTGCTTTGGGGAATAACAATCTTTAATATTTTGCTTCCACTGTCTAAACTCCCTCTGGAGTTTGTTTCTTTGTACTTTCCCTCAGAATATGGCTCTTCTGCTCATGTTTTCATTTCTGTTAATATAAACTAAAGACCTATATGAAGGATTTCAGATGGTACTATTATAATTATTGAACATATCACGTTGGAGAACTTAAAATAGTTACAGCCCTTAGAAATATCTTTTGTGTTGATACTCGTGTACTGTCGTGAAGTGTCATTTATCACTTTCTGTATCTATGTCCAGTTAACGAGCAACAAATCAAGATACTCTGGTGATTTTGGTGTGTCGAATTATTCATTTATTCTACAAATATTTGCTGGGTGCCTGCCACGTGTCAGGCACTGTGCTCACACTTGGGATACCATAGGGAGAACACAACAGATCTGGCTTCTGCCTTCATGGATAGAGGATAAAGGGATTAGGCAGATTAAGGAGATCCTAAAGATGGTGGTACTCTTTAATTTTCCAAAATTAGACATTAGGTTTATTTTACAGGTGGTTAAATGGCAGTTCACTGTGGAATCAAAGATGCCTGAGGTCAGGACATAGGCAATGTCACATTGCTCAGTAAATCCCAGAATGCCACCTGGTCCGGCTTGTCACATATCTCCCCATTTTTAAATCTAAGGAAATCTAAGTAGAACTGTTTTGAGAGAACAAATAAGTATAAGAAAACAGAAAACACTGATTTGCTCTTCACCTTCAGGTCCCTGTGCCTCCACATTAATGCAAGTGGACAGTTTTGCCCAGGGTCACAGAGCTAATTAGAGGCAAGGCAGCAATTTGAATCCTACACATCCAATCATCTTTTGACTACAACTCTGTAAAGTACATTAACACCCTCTATTCTTTTGTCTTGTGTTGCCATTTTCTAGTGTGCTTGTAATTATGCACTCAGTAAAACTGAGTGCACAAAATGACAACCTCAGTTCCTTAGTATAAATTTTATTCTCATTTTCTTAAAAGATTTCTAGTTCAAATTTGTCCAATCCTGTTTTCAGATATTTTCTCTTAGATTTATGTTCCACCTATGCCTACTTAAGAAAAAATTTTTCTGATGTCGAGTGTCCACCTTCCTGACAAAGAAGTTTCGTTGTTAGCTTACAAGGAAATTTGCATGCCAGGGAAGTAATGACTTGGGAATTTATTGACTACGTATTTTACAGTTAACCTCTGAAGATAGAAACTGTGTGCATATTTGATGCTAATATTGTTATTTAGGATTCTTTTAAACGTAAGATACACTTCTATAGGTGGGAGTTGACTAAAATATTCTTAACTAAATGTATTTTGATAGCACATAGAGGAACTTTAGTATTTAGATCTCTAATTCCAGAATCTGTCATGGTAAATATTCCTCTGTGGTCCAAGAAGGTCTTTATATCCCAGACCTAAGTATAAATCTGGGATTTACTGATGGTTTGACACAAATGTTCCATTTAAGAGCCTCTAATTAGTTTGAATCATTACAGAACAGTAAAGTCTCTTGTTTTTATATCTGTCTGCTCAGTTAGAGATGACCATTCCTTCAATATTAATGCACTGCAAGGATTAATTAATTGCTTGTTGAAAGCTCTTGAATATATTTTCAGAGCTGACTAATACATCCTTGAGGTAAGGACAAATACAAGAGAAAATAAAAGTGGTTTATGATATTCCAAGAATGAACTCCTATTCTTGGTAATTTTTGACCCTTTTTAAGGCTATATCAATACATAAATGCCAGAAAATATTAACACATACAAAAAATGTTAACACGTACAAAAGGTAGACAATGCATACTGGTTCTGTTAGGCACAGTCCACTCATGTTGTATAAAATGTATGTTATGCTTCAGTGCTTTTATTATTGTTTTGGGGGTTTTATTTTTCCTCCCAGAAACTCAAAATTCTTTAACCAATCTTGTTGTGTTTACAGAATTTCTCTCAAGACCATTGCGAAGTGAGTAGACATTAGAGAAAATAATCTCTCACCTCACTGATCTCAAGCCTACCTCAAGAATGACACAGGCTAAACCCAGAATAACCTCCTTCCTTTTCTAACTCTCTCTCTCACACAGAGACAACCAGGCAGTATGATCTAGACAAGTGCTTCTCAATTGTGGATGATTTTGTCCCCAGGGAACATTTGGCAATATTTGGAGACATTTTTGGTTGTTAGAGCCTTGGCAGATGGATTGATATTGACATCTAGTGGGTAGAGGCCAGGGGTGCTGCAAAACATCCAATAGTACAGTGGTCCCCAACCTTTTTGGCACTAGGGACAGTTTTGTGGTAGACAGTTTTTCCACGGATGGTGGGGGAATGGTCTTGGGATGAAACTGTTCCACCTTAGATCATCAGACATTAGATTCTTATAAGGAATGCGTTATTAGTCCATTCTCACACTGCTATAAAGAACTACCTGAGACTGGGTAATTTATAAAGAAAATAGGTTTAATTGGCTCACAGTTTCACAGGCTGTACAGGAAGCATGGTTGGAGACAGCTCAGGAAACTTACAATCATGGAGGAAGGTGAAGGGGAAGCAGGTACATCTTCACATGGCTGGCGGGAGAGAGAGAGAGTTAAGTGGGAAGTACTACATGGTTTCAAACAACCAGATCTCATGAGAACTCATTTACTATCACAAGAACAGCAAGGGGGAAGTCTGCCTCCATGATCTAGTCACCTCCCACCAGGCCCCTCCTCCAACCTTGGGGATTACAATTCAATGAGATTTGGTTGGGGACACAGAGCCAAACCATATCAATTGCGGAACCAAGATTTCTCACATGTGCAGTTCACAATAGGGTTGTGCTCCTATAAGAATCTGATGCTGCTGCTAATCTGACGGGAGGCAGAGCTCAGACTGTAATGCTCACTCACCCACCACTCACCTCCTGCTGTGCTGCCCAATTCCAAACAGGCCACCAACCAGTACCAGTTCATGGCTTGGGGATTGAGGAGCCCTACAGTAGTACACAGGACAGCCCTGCTCAACACAGAATTATCCAGCTCAAATTGTCAATAGTCCTGTAGTTGAAAAGCCTAATATTGAGACAGAAGCACTGGTCTGAGGGACAAGAGACAGATATCTTTATTTGTCTCTGCTTCTTAGAGGTCAATCAGAAAAAGAAAGAAAAAGTGCTTTGAATTCTCAGAATGATCACCTTATACATATCCTGACATTTTAAAAAATGATATTAATATTTGTAATGTTGTTAACAACAGGGTTAATGGCATGCATAGATCTTTAAGCAAAAGAAAGAAACCTGGAAGGAAAGGATTAAGGAAAAAAAATCTTTTATATTAATGACCAAGATGGAGAGAAGGAAAAAGCAGGAGGTAAAGGAATAGGAGAGGAAAATGACAGGGACATTTGTAGTTACTTGTTTATTTAACTACATTTGTGATACTTTTTACCTTGTAGTAAACTTAGCAACTGTCATTTTATTCATCTTTTTCTTGAACTTGGAGCTATTGTAGGAAACAGCATGCAGGGACAATAAATGGGGAAAAAAAAAAAAAAGAAAAACTAAATGGAAGAAAAAGACCCTCTGGATACGTGACTGTGAGAGTCTTCATAGTGGCAGCAGCAGGAAGGATCAGCAAGCTGTTGCTTCTGCCCCCTTGTTTCTAGAGTTCCATACTTATTAGGAAACCTGGGCTGAGATGCCATGCTTTGAGAGCCATGCTTGGTGTGTGGACCCAATTTTATTAAAGGATCCTGCTGCTTCCTTCCATATTTATGCTTGCTAACTTGCTAAGTGTCTCCTGGCAAATCACTTAACCTCCCTGAAGTGAGAATATGCTTCACTTTATTTGCTTTCTGTAATTCAATGAGAATGGTGAGATGAAGTGAGAGCTCTGATTTCAGAGCTATGTGCCATTTTATAGATGTCATACTTAACATCATCATTCATTAATAACATGTTCAAGCACTGAAATGGAAATGGGGGCTACTGTTTATTACAAACCATTAAGTACTCTGCTTAGATATAAAGTCTTTTATGTGATCCACAGCAGTAGCTGCAAATTTTCCAAGCAACATCTTTTGCCAACACTAGCCTTCTATGGTGGTTACTTGGAATTTGGATAGATGTGATTTTTTTTTTCTTTTTGAGCAATTTGTTCATGATTGCAGCAGTAATCATGAAAGTAGGTCAGAGCCCTCTTCGAGTTGGGTTCTTATTCCCCCCTACCCCCACCAGAGAACAGCACTTAAATATTAATAGCATCACTGGGAAAACACGACAGCTATTTCCCTGTTTTCTGCAGCTCAATGAAGAGTTGTTCAGTGCAGACCCCAGTGCTCTTGCCTCATGAATGGACGTGATTGTGGGGACATCATCTCCTACTAAGGCAAAACGTGACACTGAGAACAAAGGCTGGTTTTTAGCCTGATGTGATGAGCTCACCCCAGTGCCCATGTGGGGACTTTGAAGCTCGTCCAGGTGCCAGTTTTCTGTGTATATGACATTCTTGGTTGGGGAGGGTGTGGACTGGGCAGCAGGCTTTTAAACATTGATCTGCAGTGTATGAATTACAAGGTCAGATGGGGTGAGATGTCATAATTTCTATTTAGTCTGAATTTCCCCCAGAGGAAACATATTTCCCTTACTCTTAGTAAAGAGAAACCACAATATTTTCAATTTAGCCAAACCAATAAGGGCTTTTAAAAAGTAAATTTATATAAATTATTTTCTCTGTGATTATGTTTGTGAATAGGAAAGTGCATTTCTCCTTTTCAATATCTACCCCACCTTTTGTGAGGCTATGCTAATGCTCAGGAGAAATACAAGTAGGAAAGTATTCTTAGCATAGCCGATTGAAATGGGAAAACCTGAAGCAATCGGTTTTTGATTCATGTGATGTCTTAAAACTACTCTACTTGGATTGTTATTTTTTTTCATTGAATTGACTGATTTGATTGTTTTAGCATGCTCTAGTCATAGCTTATTATATTGGCTCTGGGGTGGACAAATCCATCCAACTATTTGTGGATCAAAGTGAAATTAATTGACATCATGCTTTTTTTCCCCCACTTACATAGAGAATTTCTAGTCACACTACATGCTGTGTGCACAATAGTTAATTAGGCACTTACAATACACCTAATACAGTGTTGGGTGTTATACAAATTCAGAATAAGATAGTTTACAGTCGTGGCTTATTAGAAAAAATACAGAATAATCTAAGTCTGCTATTGCTACATAGTGGTAAAAAAGGACAGCTTTTGCATCAGACTTGCATTCGAATCAGTGTTTATTAGCTAAGTTATCTCAGGCAAGTTAGTTGACCTCTGAGTTTCATTTTCCTTACTTGCAAAATGGGTATAATAATATTTACTTTGAAGGCACATAATCAGGATAAAATAAGACATCGTATATAAAACACCCAGCACATAGTGAACACTTAGTACATATAACCTACTACTATAAAGATCTCAAAATGTATATTGTAGTTTGTAGGCTCTCAAGATTCAGGAAAGGTTGTTCTCTTCATGGGTTGGAGGCATTTGGGAGTAATTCTTCATGATAATTAAATGGGGCTCTTGATGGCCTGTGAGAAATGGTGGGCTCTACATGGTTAAGAAATCCACAAAGGATGCTAGGACTTATGAACCACAGGAACATGCTAAAAACAAGGATTGGTACAGACAGAAAGTGTACACTGGGAATAAATTGTGGTATTCAGATTTTGAAACCCAAGCTCACATTTGTCACTTCTCTACAACTCTTTAAAACCCAATTGTAATCAGATATCTTCTTGGGGGTTGGTGTGGTCATGACAGGAGGCAGCTTTGGATTTCTCAGGAGCTGTGGAGAACTCTGGGAGCAGAAGTTGGAGGTTAACTGAAAGCCAAAGGAGAGAAATGCCATCTTCTCAAGGAGATTCAGAGACACCAAATTTTAAGGAAGCAGAAATGGAGATGTAAATAAATGTCATAGAGCAAGTGTTCAGAGGCACAGACACAATAAAAACAGACTAAGAACAAGCCGGAGGACATCCTCAGTGCATTAGGCAATAGCCATCCTCTGAGGCTCACCTATATGGGCTGGCAGGTAAATTGGACTGGCTTAGTGATATGGTTTGGCTGTGTCCCCACCCAAATCTCATCTTGAATTGTACTCCTATAATTTCCACGTGTTGTGGGAGGGACCCAGCTAAAGATAATTGAATCACAGGGGCAGTTCCCCCATACTGTTCTCATGGTCGTGAATAAGTCTCATGACATCTCATGGTTTTATAAGGGGAAACCCCTTTTGCTTGGCTCTCATTCTCTCTTCCCTGTTGCCACGTAAGACATGCTTTTCGCCTTCTGCCAGATTGTGAGGCCTCCCAGCCATGTGGAACTGTGAGTTCATTAAACCTCTTTTTCCTTATAAATTACCCAGTCTCAGGTATGTCTTTATCAGCAGCATGAAGATGGACTAATACACTTAGGAGCTGGTCTTGGTTGATCCTCCGGAGAGATTGTTTTTTAACTTTTATTTTAGGTTCAGGGGTACATATGCAGGTTTGTTATATAGGTAAACTTGTGTCATGAGGGTTTGTGGTACAGATTATTTTGTCACCCAGGTAATAAGCCTAGTACCCAATAGTTATTTTTTCTGCTCCTCTCCTTCCTTGTACCCTTTATCCTCAAGTAGGCCCCAGTATCTGTTGTTCCCCTTTTTGTGTCCATGAGTTCTCATCATTTAGCTCCCACAGAGAACATGCGGTGTTTGGGTTTCTGTTCCTGCATTACTTTGTTAAGGATAATGGCCTCCAGCTCCATCCATGTTCCTGCAAAAGACATGATGTCTTTTTAATCTCTCCTTACTTCTTTTCACCCATTCTGAAAACAGCTGTTCTCTAAACAGAGTTTTCTAAATACACTTCTTTTCTCCATTTTTGACCACAACCATCAAAGACCAGACTAAATGAAAAGTCTTTGTTTTCCCAGCAGGAAATACTCATACTACACTTCTAAATTTTTTTATGACCTCACCCTTACCCCATGCCACACTTCTTTACCAGACTAAAAGCTCCTTAAGGACAAGGACTATAGTGGTAAATCCTTGTATTTGGCACAGTTTCTCAGAAATAGACAGTGTCTCTTATAGTGCTATGAACAGCTAAGAAATCCAGTTATTTGCTAAATAAATTGGTATGTATCCTCTTGGAAGATCATTTATAAAATTAATCTAATTCCCTGGAGATGATTTTATTTCAAAACAAACTCTATCAAATTTGAATGATCACACCTGCTTTTTGACATAACACACTTCCCAAACAGGCACCCATTCTCTAGTTTTCTTACTCAGTGAGTTCTACTTCTTGAGAATTCAGCTCAACCTTTGCTGTTTCCCACACCTTCATCTTGGAATCGGTTTGCTGTATTTTATAGGAGTTCTTCTCTAACCCATGCATTAATGTTTTCTCCTCTAGAATGTTTCTAAGTCAGCCTCAAGGAGTCAGCACAGTCTGGTATCACCACTCATGCTTCTTTGGTGTCATTTTGATGCTTGGGGCAAACGGCATGCCAAATATTTACTGTTTCATGCTGAATACAGAAAAAAGAAAAACATCCCCCATGTAACATTGTTTCCCACAAAAATGCTAACTTAAAGAAAGGCCAAGAAATCTGAATTCTGTAAGCACTTTATACATATGAAAACATTTGTCATGTCTAGTTCATCAGCAAGGGTGGGAGGGAAAGTAGCATGATTTATGTCCCATTTCTTTTAAAAGGCATAGAATTCATTTCTGAAATCAATATTTTAGGGTAGAACTGCAAATATTCTTTGTTCAGGAACTTTTATTTTTATAGACAACTTTGGTTCCAAGCTACTGTGTGAATATGATTCTGTGGAATCAGTGCCTGTACCATGCCTGGTAGTTAATATTTGCTTAGCGCTTGAATTAGTCAGCACTGGATTCTTTGCTGCTGTCCTTGGTTCTTCTCATCCAAAAGCTTCTTTTTAAAGACTCACAGTAGCACTTTTGAGGCTAAAAGGCATAGTTTCTAATGAATATTTTCAAAAGGAAAAGGCTCCAAGCCATCCTGTCTCTTCCCCACAATTTCCCTTCCAAATTTCTACCACCCTCGACATCAATAACAAAAAATCCTCTTGTGGTGAAATTGCAGGATGATTTTCCTTCCACATGTAACTGGTTCAAGCTATCAGGCATGTTGCTACCAACACAGGTTTGCTGGGAGAATAGGATCTGCGGAATCTCCTGTCTTTCCATCCCCGGAATATTTCTGGAAAAGTTACTGTTGCTTTAAGAACCAATCTAGGAGAGGAAAGATAGACCCAATGTCTTGAATGGACTCTAGAACCAATATAAACTGGTGGTGTTCTGAATGTTGCCTCACTTAGGCCTGGATTACATCCAGTGGCTACATTAGGACTAATCCCTGGGGACTTCCCGATCCTAGAGTAAACCTGCAAGCGGGCTGTGACCTGGGGTGTGGAATAAGGGGCAAGCAAATCCATACTGGACTGGGTGCTTCTGCATTTCCCAAGACAGGAAAACTTTTTTTTGTCCTTTTTTCACATGCTGAGTCCTAGGCAAGCCAAGGTGGCTGCTCAATAGGGACTTATCAGCAATATTTAGTATTGGCTGTTAGCAGCTAATGAAATCCCCTAGAATTTACAGCAGGATCATCTGCTCTTGGGCTACCATTCTTCAGTTTCTGCTGACTGTGATATTCAGTGGGTAGTAAAAGCTCAACTTCAAGTAGAGAGTGCTCTTCTAAATAATGGCAACTTGGCAACTGCATGAGCTCGTACTAATTATGTTTCTGTCACTCATCTGTGGTAGATCTTTTGTGGCTCTTGTATAAAATAGCTCCAGCGTATTATTTCTGCACACTTATGTAAGCCCTGCTCATTAAATAAAGTGCTCTAAGTTAAGTTCCCTTTTAATTTTGTTTTCTAAGATCATTATAATAAGAGAGAGACTGGACTGTAGTGAGCCTTTTTTTGTAGAATAGTTAATGGCAAGTTGATATAAGATCAAATTTTAAAAAATGCATAAAGAAGTCAATGGACCTTATCGTTACTTTACACTTTGCTTTTAAAGTCCTCCAGCATTAGTCCAAACTGGCATAGTAACAGTTCATATGGTGCCTCATAAGTGATCATTATCAGAATCTGGATTCTTTAAGTGGAAGGAGTGTTAGACTTTGAAAATCAAAGGACAAACTTTATTTCTAGCACTTAGTAGCTGCATAAGTTCCTCAGTTTGTCTCAACATGTCTCTTACCACTTAAAAATGGGCATAATAGGCCGGGCACGGTGGCTCATGCCTGTAATCCCAGCACTTTGGGAGGCTGAGGGAGGCAGATCATGAGGTCAGGAGTTTGAGACCTGCCTGGCCAACATGGTGAAACCTCATCTTTACGAAAAATACAAAAATTAGCAGGGCGCAGTGGCAGGCACCTGTAATCCCAGCTACTCGGGAGGTTGAGGCAGGAGAATTGCTTGAACCCGGGAGGCGGAGGTTGCAGTGAGCTGAGATCGCGCCACTGCATTCTAGCCTGGATGACACAGAAAGACTCTGTCTCGGAAAAAAAAAGAAAAAAGAAAAAAAGGCATAATAATTCCTACCTTACAGGGTTATTATGAGGTTAAATGATCAATTCTTTTATGTACATATATATTCCTTTATATATATCGAAAGCATTTTGTAGATTGGCAAATTATGTACATCTTTGTTATTGTTATTATTATTATTGTTGTTGTTAGTGCCATACTGCTTCAGATAGGGATAGTTTAAATATGCCTTGCCTTTCTATGTAACCTAAGTGTTTTATGCTTAGAGGTCTATATATAAGACTTTACTGGAATCTTTGAATATTTTTCTTAGTAAGAATAACAATAATATGTAGGAAAATCTCATCCAAAAACTGCATGATCTGCTACTGCCCCCATAGAGCTAGCTGGGGATGTGTGGCTAATGGGACCAGTTGCAGTGGTATGCAGTCCAGATTTATATTATTAGGCCACACAATGTACATCCTGACATCCTGGGTTGATTGACCTTTACTGACTTTTTCTCAACTTGGGAGCTTTGAGGACACTCCAATACACGTGCCATGACAGAGAATTCCAGTTTTGCTTTGTGGCAATAGTGCTTGATGAAGACTGTCAGAATAGACTGAAAATCATTTGAAATAATTTGAGCTCTTTAAGTTGAATGGGTCAGTTCAAACAAGATCAGTGGAGTTGCTATTCTTCACGTATCTTTTCTCTTATCCTGAAAGACAATGGTTTTAAACTTTTGCATGTATAAATTTATAATATGATTTTCATAATGTGAAACTAAGTTTTTTGCTTCCTAGTACTGGATTTGAATAAATATAATTGTAATTTTAGAATAAATATATTAAAATATATAGTATATTTGGTATTTTACAAGACATCTTTATATCCACCTATCTATATATATTTTATATAGTAGATAAATACATTTTTACCTGATATTTTCAGAGCCAAAAAATGAAGCATGTTTATGGTGTGGCCATTTGAATGCATCTTCTATGTAAGTGTGAATAAACAGTACTAAGATATTGATATACGCTGAGGTGGGCGAATCACTTGAGGTCAGAAGTTCAAGACTAGCCTGGCCAACATGGTGAAACCTTGTTTATACTAAAAATACAAAAATTAGCCGGGCGTGGTGGTGTATGCCTATAGTCGCAGCTACTGGGAAGGCTGAGGCAGGAGAATCGCTTGAACCTGGGAGGCAGAGGGTGCAGTGAGCCAAGATCACGCTACTGCACTCCAGCCTGGGTGACAGAGCAAGACTTCGTCTCAAAAAAAAAAAGAAATGGGTAGTTGAAGCAAGTTAAGTTAAAAGATTTCTTTTTACTTTGGATAGATGTATTTCATTAGCATTATCAGAAGATAATTAGTACCCACTATTGATGAAACATTCTTGCGAATATATTAAGGAGGGAGAAGAGGGAAGAAAGAGAAACTTCTAAAAATTTGGCATTGTTTTTTAGTTTTTAGCCATAAATAACCCTTATATATACCTTTCTAGTAGTTCTGTGGTCCCTATTTCAGCTTATGTAATGTATAGAATAACATATTATTCTAAAAACACTAACCTCATCCACTTTAACTCCTCTATTTCAGATTGAACCCCTTGGTCAATGCTAGTGGGGAAAATGTAGTTTATGTAATACTTGGACAGTGGTGATACTCTTCAGATAAGTTGCTATTTGTTTGTGGTGCAGTCATTTTAACAAAATGTTCATATTATTTTTGTTGTACCCTTTATTATCATGGAACTAATTCACCATAATGTATTTTTTTCTCAGTAGGAGTGTTTTTAAAAGTGTTACACAAATGCCACAGGATTTGAAACAATATCAGAGGCTGGCCTTTGACACATCTGAAGATTCAATGAAAACAGACATGATATTCTTCATCTTTTAAACTAGCCTAATGAGTCCCTTATAGTGTCTCCAGTTCTGCTCCCTTTCTCAGAGACACCATTATTAGGACATACTGTGCTGTACTTATTATACAGAAGTAAAGCTGAACACCGATCACACTGTCGAGGCTGCACAGTCAGTGTGGTATCAGCTTATAACCAACCAGTTTGAAAGTTGGAGTCTTCTGACTGATAATTGTATGCAAAGTGTTATAGATTATCTGAATGGGATATGACATGGTGCCCACACTCAAAAAGTGTTTGATTGGAAAGTGAAGGCAAATGATCACAAATGAAACATTTAGAACACAAATGCTTGACCAGGATGGAAAGGGCTTGATCTGGATGAGAGACTTGGAAGAATTATTGATTTCTCAAATGTGACAGCTGGAAGATTCAATCCCCTTATAGTACAGATGCAGAAACTGAAGTCATTCATCTGGCTTCAAATAACTCCTTGGAGCAGAGCAAGGATTAGCATCATGTCTCTGATTTAAGGTTCAGGGAGTTGAAGAGTTGGGCTTGAGTAGGTTCCCCAAGGATGGATTAGAGAGAGTAAAATATAGATGGAATGTTTTTGACTATAGGAGCAGGGTGAATATGACTGAGCACTTTGTAGTTATCTGAGAAAATTGACTGGTGTGGTGAAGGAATACTGGGAAATAAGTTTTGGTAGACTTAGTAGGGGAGAATTATAGGGGTCCTTGAAAATATAATAGAATGTATTGGCTCAGTAAAGTGGGAAATAAGGAATTATCACAGGCTTTTACATGGGGACATAATTAAAGGAAGTTTGTTTAGAAGATTAGTCTGAATTCTATACTTAAATGTTTGAAAGGCACAAGAATAGAGCCTGGAGACTAGCCATGGGACTGCTGCTGTAACTCAGTTGGGGACCTCGCCTCAGGGGAGGGGAAGGCTCTGGGGATTGAGATAAAAGGGCAGATCAGAGACATCTTGCAACAAGCAGTAATTGGATTTTAGAGATTGAGTAGAGTAAAGGGTCAAAGATAACTCATAGTGTCCTAATCCATGATGCTGTAGACTGGTACTGAAATGGGAAAACCATTTTGACAATTAGGGATCAAGTAAAGCCTTTCATCTAGTGCTTTGGTTAGGCATAGAGGAATTTCTTCAGACACCAATACAGAGCATCCTAAGTGACTTTAGTAACATGCATGTCCCTATGGCCTTCTGTATTGGGAAAGGGTGACTGTCAGTAGCACAGGCTTGTTCTTGGCAGACCTGGAAGAGCATTGTCACAGTGAACAGCTACATAGCAGCAGAACTCAGGGCTTGTGTTGTTCTCATCTATTCAATATGTGTAATTATTCTGTACTTGCTAAGGATGGTTAGTGTCTGTGATAACAACACAGAGATCATGCCTCCATTTATGCCCATGGAATTCTGCACACACAATTCTGTTGTCCCATAACAAACCATCCCAAGACATAATGGCTTAAGACAACAACAATTTTATTGGCGCATGATTTTGTGGGTCAGCAATTTGGCTGGAATTAGCTGAGCAATTCTTCCACTGGTCTCACAGGGGGCCACTCGTCTGGCTGCAGTTGTTTGGTGGCTCCGCTATGGCTAGATAATCTAAGATGGTCTCTCTTCCATGTGTGGAATTTGGTGCTGGTTGTCACTGGGGCCTCTGTCTTTAGGGGAGTGAGGTGGTGCGGAGAGTGGGGAATTTGCCAGATCTCTGGAACCTGAGTTCAGAATTCTTGCAGTGTCAAACTTCTGCCACATTTTGTTGGTCAGAGCAAATCAAAAGGCTACCCACATTCCAGGGGGAAAAGAAACAGAGTCTACTTCTTGAAGAGAGGATTGCCAAAACCACATTGCAAATGGGCATACATACAGGAGTGGAAAGAATCTGTGGCAACTAAAAAAAGTTTGCAGTATATCACAGAACATGATCAGAGTTTTGTTACAAAGTCTTTCTGACTACAGCATCAAAATGAAATTGGTGATCGGGAAGAAAATTTAGACTGGAAACCTGAGGACTAATCCGGAAGTTTTGGTAGCAAACCAAGAGTAATTATTGGTGTATTAGTGACCACAATTGCAAAGTGATGAACACATGTGAACAGACTCAAAATCAATATTAAGATGGTAAAACTCGGAAATGGATTTGATGTAGGGAAGGGTCAAGAAGGAAGACCAAGTGTCTGGTTTGGACAAGTGGGGAGCAAAGTGATGACATTGACCAACACAAGGAAGACTGAAGAAGGACCAGGCTTGGATGGCAAGTTGAGGGCTGCTGGAATATTGAGTCTGAGAGGCCTGCAGAGAGGCAGAGCTCTCACCTGAGGCAGAGCTCTCACCTGAGGAGAAAAGGAAGTTGATGGGGTTTAAGGAAACTGCTGAAATAGCTGTCACTGGGAATGGAGACTACAGGACACTGGGAAACTGGAATTATGGACAGTGCTGAGCACTTGTCAGGGAATAGAAATCATGAATGCAAGTGACTCAAGGCTACAAGCTTGGACAATTTTTTTTTTTTTTTTTTTTTTTGAGAGAGTCTGACTCTGTCGCCCAGGCTGGAGTGCAGTGGTGCGATCTCGGCTCACTGCAAGCTCCGCCTCCTGGGTTCGCGCCATTCTCCTGCCTCAGCCTCCTGAGTAGCTGGGACTACAGGCGTGTACCACTACGCCGGGCTAATTCTTTTTTTTCTTGTATTTTTAGTAGAGACGGGGTTTCACCGTGTTAGCCATGATGGTCTCGATCTCCTGATCTCATGATCCGCCCACCTCAGCCTCCCAAAGTGCTGCGATTACAGGCGTGAGCCACCATGCCCGGCCGGGCAATTTTTTCATAATGCTCAGCCACCCTTATACAGGAATAGAGAATGCAGCGAATAGATCCTGTCATTTAATATGTGGGCTTGGTAAAATTTCTTTGCTCAAGGTAAGGATAAGAAGTTTAGGTGGAGATTTCTGAAGATCAAAGTAAGGTATCTTAAAAGTCAGTGAAGGAGACCAGCTGCATAATTTGCTGGACACAAATGCAAAACGAAAATGCTGACCCCCTTGTTAAAATATTGTGTAGAGTTCAAGATGGTGACAACAAAGCATTAAGCCAAGCTGAGACCCCTCTGAGAGTGTGGCCCTGTGTGGCTCCATAGGACCCAGGCCTGTGAAGCTGGTTTGGCAATAGGGAATCCTTATGGGGATTGGCAGAATATAATCACTGAGAGAAAATTTGGATACTTCTCTTTGAACATCTTTTTCCTTTCCCCTCTTCTTTTCTCAAATATATAAATAACTAAGGTAATAAAGATGATGATATATGCTAGGGAAATGGTGGGCATGGAAGGGATTTGGTGGCATGATATATTTAAGGACTGGCCCTCACTATTCATCTGTGCCTATTTAAATGGAAAAACTGATGTCTCTGGCCTCAAGTCCTATATCACAGTGTCTGCTCCGTGACAGTTGGGTGAGTTCCCAAGCCATATTAATATTAAGGTTATCATCTTAAGCACAGTATTCCTAAAATCTTCTGTTTTCTTATAAACCTGGAGCCTTCAGCTCCATTGTCTTTGAGTCTGTCTGAATGCCGACTTCTTTGTGCTGTAAAAAAGGAAACTGCTCTCTAGCTTATTGAAGACTATTCCCGGAATCAAGGGAATAAGAAACCAATTTTGAAATCAATGTTGAGTTAGGTCTGCTGGGCCCCAGTGAGTCATATCTACTGAAGCACAATTTCTGTTGCAGAGACATTAACTCCCATCCCCATTTCCATTAATTTTGAAGAGTCTTCTTGAGAGGCTGTGGGATTACTAGGGAATTAGGCTCACTGTAGTTACTATACTCGGACTTTATAGCTGGAATTAATTTAGAGATAAGTGATTATGCATTATAATCTTTTCATTTTATAAGTGAGAAATCTGAGGCCCAGATTTGTGATTTGTTCCAAATCAGTTAGCTAGACAGGGAGGAGTTGTGAGCCTCTAGGAAACCACTCCTACGGCATCCCAACATACTCTGTTAACTTCCCGTCATAAGAAACAACTAACTAAACAAACAAAAAAATCCTTTCCCAGTTCTTCCTACTACATTTTCTCCAACATAGTGCTAATTTATGTAAAGAAGAGAAGCTCATTAAGATGAAAAGAAAAGCATATAATTTTAGCAATGGAGAATGACTTAAGATCTTAGCAGTGTCCAATTTCTTTGCAACTTCTTTTGGAAGGATGGTTGTGAAAATTAAGAACATAAAACCCTTTTTCTTTCTAATAGTGAAATATAATGTCCCTTCACTTGGAAGAGAGAAGAATTTAAGAAAAATCAGCCATTGTTTCAGGTCTTCAGTCATATTTTATTTTAGGTAAAGCTGACCACAGAGTGAATTTCTGTAAATAAATTTATATAGTTTTCAATAGTTTTCAGCATAAAATTGCATTTCCTTTTTGTGAACCCAAAATAAAGGAAATCACATGAAATATTAAGGCAATTATTTAAAATGATAACATTTGAAAGCAACAATCTTAGAACAAATATTAAAAGTATGAATTTTACTTGTATTAGAAACTTCATCTGCAACTCTTACCCTGGACAAAAATATGCCTAGGGATGTCTTTATCTATAGGGAGAATCTCATATAACTGAAATCAATATGGCCAAGTAAAGTTTTATGCTTCATGATAACTTTTTAACATTTGAAATTTCTGTATTTTTTAAATAAGACTTTTATTTTAGATAGATTTGGCTTTATAGAAAAATTACAAAGATAGTACAGAGTTCTCATATACTCCCCACCTAGGTTCCCCTATTGTTAACATCCTACATGAGTACAATTAATTGAACCAATAATGATACACTATTATTAACTAAACCCCACACTTTATTCAGATTTGCTTAATTTTTTCTAACTCCCTTTTTCTGTTTCAGAGTCCTGTATTAGGTTAGCACATTAAATGTAGTTGTATATCTCCTTAGGCCCCTCTTGGCTGTGACTTTTTCTAAGACTTTACTTGTTTTTGATGATCTTGCCAGTTTTGAGGAGCACAAGTTAGATATTTTGTAGAAGGTCTCTTGATGAGATTTTTCTGATGTGTTTCTCAGGATTAGACTGAGTTTATGTGTTTTGGGGAGGAAAAGTACCCTTTTTGTCACATTATACCAAGGGTACATGCTATCAATATAACTCATCGTCGTTGATACTAACCTTGATCACCTGGCTGAGATATAGTATTTGTCAGATTTTACCAGAAAGTTATTCCCCTGTGGTTTCCATGCTGTGCTCTTTGGAAGGAAGTCACCATGTACAGTCCACAATTGAGTGGGGAGTGATGTTCCATCTCCTTGAGGGATGATTATCTGTGTAAATTACTTGGAATTTCTCTAGTGTGAGAGATTTGTCTATTCTCCCACATTTATTTATTTATGATATATTTTGTGAGGATAGATTCATGGTTATATACATATATTTTATTTTTGATTATAATCCCACACCATTTTAGTTTGTTGCTCAAAGTGTTTTAGATTTGGCCTTTGAGAACTCTTTCAATTGCATTTATGTATATTTTAGTTGATAGTTTTCAAACACATATGAATCACTTCTAAGAGACACCAGAATATATCTTATATTTAACATAAATCTATTACCTTGAAATAAAATAGAGGTCAGTAACACTTTCAAATGGGTCAATATTCTGTGATTGCACCAGGTAACTGTGGTTGCACCAAATAAAGAGCAAATTTAATATTCATTCAACACATGCTTTTGGGTACCTATTACTTCAAGGCACTCTGCTAGGTGCTGTGGGAGATTCGAGGATGATTCACACCGTCTCCAGCCTTTGTCAGCCTCCAAGCTAGTAGGTTAATTAAGGCATTACTTATAGTAATGAAGTTAGGCAGTACAGAAGTTAGGAGTCATAAGAGAGATGTAGATAAAGGCTGTGGAAATAAAGGGAGGATGTTTGAAAGGATACTGAATATTTGGCGTATGAGCTAAACCTGAAAGGACAGCAAAGATTCAGATGTGATGAGATGGGGGAGGATGGCATGTGCGCAGAACACAGTGAGGAGGACTTGGAGGTGGGAGAAGAAAGGCCACTATGGGAGAAGTCAGGTGGTTCAGTTTGACTGGAATTACTGTTTTCTTTTTGTGTGAATTTACAGATAATACATTTAGTTTAAGTGACTGGCTGTACTTTTACAGATGGTGTTTAACTATTGTTTTGTTTTTAAATGGAAAAAAGACTATTCTGACTTTAGGATGTGTTAATAAGAATATTGACATCACTCTTGGTTCTCTGCTTAATGCCTTATTTTGTTAATACTCTCTTTGGGAATCCCAGCGTTGTTGAAATTTTGCAGTTTAAATTTTTACTTCTGTTTTGTTTGCAAAGGAGACTTTTACATTCAATCTTAAACTTGTTTTTATTATTCAAAGGATTTTAAAGTGTCATTAAGCTGGTATTGAGAAGTTATTTTCAGCATGAAGACGGTTGAGAACAAAAGTTAATGAGTTTGGGATGAAAAAACTAAAAGATTTTTATTCCTTTTTTCTGGTTTTTAAAAAGAAGCCTTGGTTTTTTTAAAGTTATGTTTATTGAGATATAATTTATGTACAGTAAAATTTACCCCTTTTAGGTGTAAAGTTCAGTGAGTCTTGGCAAATGCACTTAATTCTGTAATCACCATCACAGTTAAGACAGATAGTACATTTGTCTCTCCAAAAAGTTTTCTGGTCCCTTTTGTTGTCATTGCCTTCTCCTACTGCCAGCCCAGATGACCAGTGATTTGGGTTCTGTCTTTGTCTTTTCCAGAATGTCATAAATGGATGATAAACTATGTAGCCATTTGTGTCTGGGTTCTTTTACTTAGCCTAATGCTTTGAGGTTCATCCTTGTTGATGCATGTATTAGTAATTTATTTATTTTTATCACTGAAATATTCCATTTTATTTGCTTATCTTTTCTCCAGGTGATGGACATTTGGAATGTTCCCAGCTTTTGGCAGTTGTGTAAAAGCTGCTATAAACATTCATGTGCAGGCCTTTGCATGGACATATGTTTTCTTTTCTCTCTGGTAAATACCTAGGAGTGTGATTGCTGTGTCATATAGCAAATGTTTGTATAACTCTGTAAGAAACTGCCAAACTGTTTCCACAGTGGCTGTACCCTTTTGTATTCTCACCAGCAGTGTATGAGAGTTTAGTTCCACCACATTCTCACCAATACTAGGTATGGTCAGTCTTTTTAATTTTAGCCCTTCTAATAGGCTTGTAATGGTATCTCACTGTAGTTTTACTTGCATTTTCTTAATGACTTAATGATAGTAAACATTTTTTTCATGTCCTTATTGACCATCTTTATCTCTGGCAAAGTAACTGTCAAATCTCCCCTCACCTCGCCCTGCCAAGCTTTTAAAAAAAGTTTGGATGGTTTATCTTCTTATTGATTGGATTGTAAGAGCTCTTCATATATTCTAGATACAAGCACCTTGTCAGATACTGTTTACAATTTTTTCTTCCCCATCTGAGGCTGTCTTTTTATTTTATTTATGGTGTATTTCAAAGAGCAAAAGATTTTGGTTTGATGAAGTCCAATTTGTATTGTTTCTTTTATGGTTCACACTTTTTGAGAGACAAGATCGGGCATGTTCAGGGTGGTATGGCAGTAGACAGTTCACACTTTTTGTATCCTATCTAAGAGTTCTTTCCCTAACCCAAGGGGATTACAAATATTTTCTCCTTTTTCTTCTAGAAGCTTTATACCTTTAGGCTTAGGAGTTGCATTTAGGCCTGGGGTTCATTTTTAAGTTAATTTTGTTTAATATGGAGCAAAGTTATGGGTTTATTTTAAAAATGCTTTTGGAATTCCAAGACTTTATCTTCAAATGCAAAATCCAAAATAGATACCTGAATTTTTTATTGTCTTATATACATTGTCCTGTTTTATTCTGTTAATGCATCTAGGGGAGAGTTAACTGTAATAGATGGATTGAGAGACTCCTTAAGAGGTAAGTTTCTCTGTTTCCGCTTTCTCCTGTGTTCTTCTTCCACACTATAATGAACATCAGTGAATATTGTTTCCAGTTTTTATCTGCAGCCTTTTTCAAAAGACTGGGAGGCTCTGGAGAGGATCTAGTAAGATCAATGAAAATGAGTAGGGAGGGATAATAGGGCTATGTGGAAAACTGGAGGAAATAGAGATGGTAAAGATAGTAAACAGGTAAGTGAGGGAGTGAATCATATACTTTGAAAGGTGTAGCTTGAATATACAGGGCAAATTAGGAAGGATGAATGACTGGTTTAGAGCGACCATATTGAGGAAATGGGTGGATAGTGTTGAGTTTTAGAGTTCACAGGTGGAAGAAAAGAAGGCTGAAGGATGGGGGAGGATCCACAGAACAAAGTAACCATTCAAGAGAATGTGTACCTGATGAAATAACACTAAATGATGAGAATTGGGAAGGGCATAGGGAAAGAAAATCAGGCATTAAAGATAATTCCAACATTTAGAGCCTTGTAGACAGGGAAAATAGTACGTCCCAGGGAAATAGGGGAGTTTGGGATGAAAATCCACTTGAAGATGATAAAGATAGTGGTTTTTAAACTATGTGCTTTTGCAAAAGATAGCAATTGACCCTATCCAAGTTGCTCTTTGGAAATATAATCCTGGGTTTGGGTTAGAGTCATGAGGATCATTATAGAAATGAAAGCTGCAAATAAGAATAGTCTCTCCAAGAACAAGAAAAGTGAAAGAAGAAAAGTAATACAAAGATTTATCTTATGAAGGCACATGCAGTTAAACATTTCAAATTAAAGGCCAGATAAGAAACAACTGAAGGATACAGAGAAAGAGTGTCCAGAGAACTAGTTGAGGACACAGAAGAGGTAGCATGTAAACAGATGAAGAAGCTTCAGGAAGGACCTCATTATCCTCTAGATGTAGAGCATGGAGATCAAGCAGAATAAACATACAGAAAAAGCAACTATATTTCCTTAGAAAAAGTCATTGGTGATCTTGAAGAACAGTGGGGAAGAAAGGAAAAATACAGTAGCCCTCCTTATCTGAGGTTTCACTTTCTGAGGTTTCAGTTACCCACAGTCTACCATGGTTGTAAAATAGGTGAGTACAGTACAATAAGATATTTTGAGAGAGAGAGAGAGACAGAGAGACCATGTTCACATAACTTTTATTACCATGTATTGCTAGAATTGTTCTATTTTATTATAAGTTATTGTTGTTAATCTCTTACTGTGCCTGATTTATAAATTAAACTTTATCATGTTTGTGTCAGGTATGTTGTATATACAGGAAAAATCATAGTATATATTGAGTATATTTGGTTTGTTACTATCTGTGGTTTCAGGCATCCACTGGGGGTCTTGGAACATATTTCTCAAGGATAAGGGGGGATTACTGTACAAGAGAAGGGAAACATGGACACTATCTCTTAGCAGTGTTCCCCAACTTGTGTTCTCTGACAGTTATTAGTAATGCTACAAAATTTTATACTGTTTACAAAAGTTGAATGAAGTTAAAAACATTTCTTTACTAAAAAAGTATGAATTTTTTTTTCCAATACTTTCCACCCTTCACTACGCTAATGTGAATTACTAAGCCCTAAAGAGGGGAACTATAGTATGCCACAGTTTCCTACTTACTAGGCTTTGCATCCCTTTCCTTTCTTTTACTTACAGAATGTCTTCTTGGAGAGGACATTCCAACAAGGGAAGAGAGAAGTAATGTCAGTAAACTTTATCCTGTGCATTAATTGTGCCATGATAAGTATTGTGGATAAAAGTAAAGTAGGGAAAGGAGATACAAGGTGTCGAAGTGGTCAATTGTAAGGCTGATCAGCGAGAGATGACATATTAAAGACTTGAAGGAGGCGAGGAAGCAAACAATGCTTCCCTCTGGGGGAATCACATTCCATGTGCAAAGTTGCTGGTTAGAGCAGCCTAGTGTGTATGCAAGGCAAGAAGGATAGTAAGGCTGAACTGGGAGTGGGAGGAGATGTGGTCAGAGGTTTGTGTCTGAGTTTGTTTCTGGCAGCACTTGAACAGAGTGTAGCTCCTAGCACTGGGGCATTGACTTGAGATTGTATAGAGTCGGTTTCTGCTTTTGTGTCTCCCATCAGTGACAGCACATTATCATCTGTTGTTGCTCCTTCCCACTACTTTGGCCAATCACTCATAGACACAGGAGGAACTGTGGTCAGAGTAGTTTCTCATCTGACCCATTCTGGAAGAGCAAAGCTTGATTCTGTGTGGCTTTGGAGAAACAAGAAGATAAGTAGAGCATACTACAGATTGGCTTAGGATCTCTTAAAAAGGAGAAAGTTGTTGAGTTTCATCCAGGAGTCTGGGGGCAATAAAGGAAGAGTGTAAAGATCTTTGGGGGTGGGGAGATGGGAGAGAGGAGATGGAAAACACAATCATCCCCCTATGTTTATGGGTTTCACACCAAATAATCAAACATGGATTTGTTGGAGATCTTTCTGCTAGGGATTCTCTCAAATGTAATTTATAAAATTAAAGATCCTTGGTGATTTATAGCTGTTCTCTCTTTGAAGCTTTCTTCATATATGTAATTTTAAGAAATAGTCTATTATCTTTAACAGCAGAGGGTCATTTTATATTCCTATCTCACTCTTGAGAAATAAATGTCCTCTAAGTAGGTCTTAATTTTTTTCATAATAATATGTAAAACATTCAAATCTTTGGAATTTATTTTTTTAATGAATAAACTGTAGTTTTTGAGCAGTTTTAGGTTCACAGCAAGCCTGAGTGGAAAATACATAGTTCCTACATACCCCTCTCCCCACACAGGCACAGCCTCCCTCACTATCAACATCTCACACTAGAATGATACATTTGTTAAAATCAATGTGAAATTTATTTTTTAATCAGATGAAATGAGAAGTGAAAAATCAGTATCTTTTTGAGGCAGATGTGATTTGGAATGGACCTGTTCACTCTTAGTATTTTTTTTAAAGCCTGGTTTCTTTATCCCTTACATCTGAACTTATTAGTAATTTTTAAGTAAATGTATGTCTTAAACGATAAGTTATTTCTGCATGAAATACTACTTTCAAGGGCAGGTATGAGGTCTACTGTGATTTTAGCTAATTTGGAGATGAGTAATTTTAGCAAAGGATTCACACAGCTCTGAGTTGAAGGAGATTCCAGATTCTCATTTGTTCACATGGACCTGCTGGAAGTTCTACTGCAGTGAAGGATTTTTGTGGCAGCTGGTGAGTCTGAGGCTAGTTCTAAGGGGTACATGAAGAGCGAGTACTCTAAAATCCTAGTGATGCAGGACAGGGGAGCCCCAAAGTGGGGCTTAGCCTGTGAGGGTTCTTAGCTTCACCCAAGAAATAATTCAAGGGTGAGCTGGAGTTAGGGTAGAAGAAAACGGCTTTATTGAAGCGACAGTGTTACTGCTCCATGACTGCTCCTGCAGAGTAGGGCAACCCCATAGGGAGTGTGCTGCGAGTAGCAGCACAGGGCAGCTTTGCAGTCATATTTATACCTATTTTTAATTCCATTAGAGTAAGGGGCAGTTTATGCAGAAATCTCTAGGAAAAGAGTGGTAGCTTTTGGGTCATCGGGTCATTGCTATGGAAAGGGGTGGTAACTCCCAGGTGTTGCCGTGGCAATGGTAAACTGACATGGCACACTGGTGGCCATGTCTAATGGGAAGCTGCTTCTGCCCTGTCCCTGTTTTCCCTAGTCCTCAATTTGGTTTGGTATTCAATCCCGCCTCTGGAGTTGAGTCCTGCCTCCTCCCTCACTAGTGTAAATATAAACAAAGCATGAAGTTCTTATGCAGATAGCTATTTAGGAGGATGTGTGTGTATGTGTATAAAATATTTCACAGTATATTAACAATGATGCTTAAATTAGCTCAATAAACCCAGACATATTTTCTCCAGATACATTTTCTTTCTTTGGTTATTCATCTTTTGAATTCATCTGAGAAAATACTTTTTATTTATATTTTATAGTCTGATTTCTGTAATCACAGATTTTTTTAAAGCAGAAAAAATGAGGGTGGACATGGAAGGCACGAGAACAGGGTCCGTTTACAGATATAAGGACACAAAGCAAAGCAGAGATTTGTCAATTTTTATTAATTTAGTTAGTGTATTCATTTAGAAAACTTCGATTAATCATTTATGTCAGTCACTGCACTTGGGGCTAGACACATGAGGTTGAATAACTCACAGTCTCTGCCTTCAAGGAAGTGGAATGCATAGAGATGCCTTGAGAGAAAACATCTCCTCTGCCCTTTTTTCTGCCTTCCATCTTTCTTTTGTCTCCTCCTCTTTGGAGTAGAAAAAATAATAGTAATGTAGCCTTAAATAGATTATACACAATATGCTGTTTCTCTTCCAACTTGATTTAACTGTTACAGGTAATTCCAGTGTGATAAAAATGATTCTTAGAAATGTTATAGTTGGTGTTTTTAAAAGCTATTTGATATTATACAGTCTATTTCTTTTCCTTAGCCTGTAATTTGTCATCATGCTCTCCTGTAACCTAGAAAAGCTATTGGCATTTAAGGTCTTTACTTATTTAATACCTTTCATGAGCCAACTCAGTTTATTAACCTGGATTTTTTTTCTATCTATATTTTAGGTAGTTTAAAATCCTTTCCTTCAACTAAGTTCTTGAGTTTTATAATCATTCTTCTTTGTCTTTTCTCACCTTTTGCAAATTTGTGCATTTCTCTTGGGAACTGAAGCGTGCAGGTGATGTGCCATTAATCTTGCATCTTTTTTCTTTTGATGACATCTTTTCTTCAAGTCTAAGTTATTATGATTATTTTGGCCACCATATTGCCTTATCAACATAATTATTTTATTCAGCCTTCTCACATATATGTTCCCTCTGGTAGGGCTTCCCTCCACCAAGTTTTTCTATTTCATGAAATAAATAAATAAATGATTCCAAGCATTTTTCCAGGAAAATATGCTCATTTGCATTTTATTGAATGGCATTTTATTGAATGGCATTTTATTTTCTTCCAATATTAATACTGCCCTTGACTCCTTTTTATAATCTTTCTTACATGCTCTGGATTTAGAACTCAAATTATTATCAGTGGCTCAGTAAATGTTAGCTAATGCTTTTTAAAACATTAAGATGCATATTCCTTGGATTTGGAGATTTTTACATTAACTTTAAAATAAGGAGTTATTTTTGGGTGCATTAATAAAACCTCTGAGGCATTATCTTTCCTTACTATTCAACTATGTTAGTTTTTATTTTACATATGATGAGATTCAAGAAGAAACTTAAATTTGAGAGGATTGACAATTTTAAAACATCCCATTGAGGAAACAACAGGGCCACAATAATATATGTTTGCATTTGTATACATTCACACTAGTTTTTTTTTTTTTTCATCTTTTATCCTGAAGTGTGTTATTTCTCTATATTGTAATGATGAGAAACCTCAGGTCCAGAGAAGCATGGCACTTGGTATGGAGTGCATATTCAGCCACAGCAGCAAGAAGAGGGGGAAGACGTGCTAGGCTTACATAATCAGTGTTACCCACATGGTCAAGATAAAACTATGCTGGAGTGATTGATTTACTCAGTGAATAAGCATTTAGATCTCTTCTGTGAACCTGTAGGCTCATTGAGATCTGTGCTGGCCACCTTGTTCATCGTTATATTTCAGATTTAGTGGTACAGTGACTGAAATATAATAGGACTCTCTTACGTATTTATTGAATCAATCAATTAGTTAACAGGAGGCAGCAGCTAAATGGAGGGAAGAGGTCAGAATGGCTGCAGATGTACTACTGTCAGAATATTTTGTGAACCCACTTCAGATAGTAGAATAGTAAAATGACTTTTTAGTACTTTTTGCCATAAACTTGTTATCCTAGCAAGGATAGCAATTTTTTTTGTGTAAAGACAGAGTGTAAATATTTTAGGCTTTGTGGGCCACATATGGTCACTGTTACTTTTTTTTAAAACATCTTAAAAATATAAAACCTGTTCTTAGCATACAAAAATATGTTCAGGCAACACAAAAACAGGCCTGGCTGGGTATGGTGGCTCAAACCTGTAATCCCAGCACTTTGGGAGGCTGAGGCAGGCAGATCACTTGAGGTCAGGAGTTCGAGACCAGCCTGGCCAATATGGTAAAATCCCGTCTCTACTGAAAATACAAAAAGTAGCCAGGCATTGTGGCACATGCCTGTAATCCCAGCTATTCAGGAGGCTGAGGAAGAAGAATCGCTTGAACCTGGGAGATGGAGGTTGCAGTGAGGAGAGATTGCGACACTGCACTCCAGCCTGGGTGACAGAGTGAGACTCTATCACAAAATAAATAAATAAATAAATAAATAATCAATCAATAAAATGAAAATACTAAATCAGGCCTGAACTGGAGTGGGCCTGTGGTCTGTAGTTTCTCTGCTATAGAACAAAATCATTAGAAAATTACCCTTGGAGTTCATGTTATGCTTTGTTTCACCTGTGACTGTATTATAACAAGTTCCTTGAGATCTTTCTTTAACTAACATCATTTATATAATCCTCCCAGACTCTTTATTTCAGGGATTCATAGTAATAGGGCTCTGCTTCCTCTTTTTTCCTACAACTTTATTAAGGTATAATTTATAATGTTCTTACTCAAGTTTTGATGTTGGGTTATACTGGCCTTGTAAAACTAGTTGAGTAGTGTTTCTTACTCTTGTTTTCTGTAAATATTTGTGTTAGACTGGTTTTCTTCCTTGAATCTTTGTTAGAATTTACTGGCAAAACCACCTGGGCTTGGAATTCCCTTTTGAGGACAATTTTGATAAAGAATTTGATTTCTTTAATAGATACAGGGCTCTTTAGTTTCTGTTTCTTCTTGTGTCAATTTTGCTGAGTTTTATTTTTCAATATTTTTGTCTGTTGCATCTCAGTTATCAAATTAATTGGCATAAAATTGTTCTTAGTATTCTCTTATCTTTTAATGTCTGTAAAATCTGTGTGGATACACCTTTCTTGATATTGGTGCTTTCTACCAGTTCTCCTTTTCCTTAATCAATGTACTCGGGGGTTTATGCATTTTGTTCAACTTTTCAAAGGACCAACATTTGGGCCAGGTGCAGTGGCTCATGCCTGTAATTCCAGCACTTTGAGATGCCAAGGTGAGCAGATCACCTGAGGTCAGGAGTTCAACACCAGCCTGCTTAACATGATGAAACCCCATTTCTACTAAAAAAAAAAACCCAAAAAATTAGCTGGGCATGGTGGCACATGCCCGTAATCCCAGCTACTCGGGAGGCTGAGGCAGAAGAATTGCTTGAACCTGGGAGGCAGAGGTTGCAGTGAGCTGAGATCGTGCCAGTGCACTCCAGTTTAGGCAACAAGAGTGAAACTCCGTCTCACAAAAAAAAAACAACAACAACAAAACAAAACAAAACCAAAAAAACCCCCAACATTTGGCTTTGTTAATTTTTTTTTTTTTTTTTTTTTTTTTGAGACGGAGTCTCGCTCTGTCACCCAGGCTGGAGTGCAGTGATGTGATCTCGGCTCACTGCAAGCTCCACCTCCCAGGTTCATGCCATTCTCCTGCCTCAGCCCCCACATAGCTGGGACTACAGGCGCCCCCCCAACCACGCCCGGCTAATTTTTTTGTATTTTTTAGTAGAGACAGTGTTTCACCATGTTAGCCAGGATGGTCTTGATCTCCTGACCTCATGATCCGCCCGCCTCGGCCTCCCAAAGTGCTGGAATTACAGGCGTGAGCCACCGCACCCAGACAAGGCTTTGTTAATTTTTTAAAATTATTTTTCTATCATTTATCCCATTTATTTCTGCTGTTACTTTTGCTGTTTCCTAACTTCTATTTATTTTAAGTTTACATTGTTTTTATGTGTATAGCTTCTTGAGGTAGAACTTCAGGTTATTGGGGTTTTTTTCTTACCTAATACATGTACATAAATTTCCCTGAAAACACCGCTTTAGGTGTATCCCACAAATTTTGATATGTTATAGTTTTGTTGTCACTTAGGTAAATGTATTTCATGATTTCTCTTGTGATTTTAGTCCATACATTACTTAGAAATGTGGTTTAATTTTCAGATATTTGAGGAATTCCTGATATCTCAATACTATTGATTTCTAATTAAATTCAGTTGTTAGAGAACAAATTTTGTAGATTTTGATCCTTTTAAATTTCTTAAGACTTGTTTTAAATCCAAGTCTATGATCTCTCTTGGTAAATACAATTGAAAAAAGGGAATATTCTGCAGTCGTAAGATGTAGTATTCTATAAATGTCAATTAGATCAAGTTGGTTGATAGTGTTCTTCAGAACTTTTATGTTTTCACTGATTTCTTTTTTTTAAGACAAGGTCTCACTCTGCCACCTAGGCTGGAGTGCAGTGGCATGATCATGGCTCACTGCAGCCTCCACCTCCTGGGCTCAAGCAATCCTCTCACCTCAGCCTCCCAAGTAGCTGGGACTACAGGTGCATGCCACCATACCAGGCTAATTTTTAAACTTCTTTTGGTAGGGATGAAGTCTCACTATGTTGCCAAGGCTGGTCTTGAACTCCTGGCCTCAAGTGATCCTCCTGCCTTGGCCTCCCAATATGCTGGGATTACAGGTGTAAGCCACCATGGCAGGGCTGGATTATTAAAAATCAGGCTGTTCTATCAATTTCTGAAAGAGGGGTGTTATGACCTCTAACTGTGATTTTGGAATGGTCTGATTCTTGTTAATTCTGTTAATTTTTGTAACATATATATTTGAGGGTCTATTATCAAACACATGTCTCTACTCTGTTTTCTGATGAATTGTCCTTTTATCATTATGAAACATCTCTCTTTATGTCTGGTAATACATGTTGTCTTGAAATATATTTTATCTGATATTAATATAGCAACTTTGCCTTTGTAAAATTAAGTTTTGTATCTTATACCTTTTTCCATCCATTTTATTTCAACATCTCTATGTCATTATATTTAAAGTGTATCTTTTTATTTAAATCTTTTTATTTAAAGTGTATCTTTTTAAGACAATATATAATTGAGTCTAGCTTTGTGTCTGCTCTGACAGTCTCTGCCTTTTAATTGGGAAGTTTAGACCACTATCATTAACATAATGTTTAGCATTTTTTGGATATGGGTTTACATTTTTATCATTTTTTTATCTGTGTTAATTTTCTCTGCTTTTTGTTCTTTTGTTCCCCCTTACCTGCCTTTTTTGGGGTTATTTAAATATGCTTTGGTATTAGATTTTAAATTATTTATTGGCTTTTGGCTATAACAATTTGAATTTTGGGGGGGTTACTTTGAGTTAATATTTTACCATTCTCCTATAAAGACACATGCACACGTATGTTTATTGCAGCACTATTTACAATAGCAAAGACTTGAAACCAACCCAAATGCCCATCAGTGATAGGCTGGATAAAGAAAATGTGGTACGTATACACCATGGAATACTATGCAGCCATAAAAAAGAATGAGTTCATGTCCTTTGCAGGGACATGGATGAAGCTGAAAACCATCATTCTCAGCAAACTAACACAGGAAAAGAAAACCAAACACTGCATATTCTCACTCATAAACGGGAATTGAACAATGAGAACACATGGACACAGGGAGGGGAACATCACACACTGGGGCCTGTTGGGGGGTGGGGGGCAAGAGGAGGGAGACCATTAGGACAAATACCTAATGCATGCAGGTCTTAAAACCTAGAAGATGGGTTGATGGGTGCAGCAAACTACCATGGCACATGTACACCTATGTAACAAACCTGCGCATTCTGCACATGTATCCCAGAACTTAAAGTAAAATAAAAAAAATACTATTTCAGGTAAAATGTAGCTATCTTGCAGCCATATAGATCCCATTAACAAGCCCTTCTGCTATCTTTTTATATTATGGTTGTCATATGAGTTATATCTACATACATTAAAAGCCTACTGAAAAATGCTATAATTTTTACTTAAAGCAGTAAGTAACTTAAACCATTTTAAATAGTTTAAGTGGAAAAACCCATAGTCTTTTATATTACTGTAGATATTTCCCATTTCTGATTTTTTTCTTCATTATTCAGTCATAGATTTTTTTCTCATATTATTTCTCTTTGGCCTAAACAACTTTGTTTAGCATTTCCTGTAAAGCAGGACTCCTGGCAATAATGATAATAATAATAATAATTTAGTTTATCTGAAACTGTCTTTATTTTGGTAGGGATTGTGTCAAGTCTGTAGATCAATTTGAGGAGTGCTATATATATCTTAACAATGTTAAATCTCCAATCAAAGAACATGAGGTGTCTTTCCATTTATTTATGTATTCTTTAATTTATTTTAATCTGCTTTGTAGTTTTCAGTGTACCTGTCTTTTCTTTTGTTAAATTTACTTCTAAATATTTTATTATTATTATTATTATTTGAGATAAGATCTTGAACTGTTGCCCAGGCTGGAGTGCAGTGGTGCCATCTTGGCTCACTGCAACCTCTGCCTCCTGGAGTCAAGTGTGTCTTCTGCCTCAGCCTCCTGAGCAGCTAAGACTACAGTTGTGAGCAACCATTCATGGTTAATTTTTAATTTTTTTGTAGATACAAGGTCTTGCTTTGTTGCCCAGGCCGGTCTTCAACTCCTGGCCTTAAGCAATCCTCCTGCCTCAGCCTCCCAAATCACTGGGATTATAGTATTTTTGGTGCTATTAGAAATTGAATCATTTTCTTCATTTTATTTTTTGTATTATTCATTGCTAGTACACAGAAATAAAATTAATTTTTGTATATTGATGTTGTATCCTGCAACATCAGGTAATATTGCTGAACTCATTTATTAACTGTAATAGATTTTTTAAGATTCCTTAGAGTTTTGAAGAAAATGTCTTTATTTTGCCTTTATTACAGAATAAGTTTTTGGGATGTAGAATTTTGTTTCAACAGCTTTTTTCTTTCAGCGCTTTCAAGATGTTGTCTTACTGTCTTCTGACCTACATGGTTTCTGATGAGAATTCTGTGATTATTAGAATGTTTTATATGTAACATATCATTTTTCTCTAGTTCATGTCAAGATTTTTTTTTCTTTACGTTTAGTTTTCAGCAGCTTATGATGTATTTAAGAATGGTTACCTTTTAATTAGTCTGTTTGGTGTTCACTGAGTTTAATGAATCTATAAGTCTGTGTCTTTTACATAATCTGAGACGTGCTTAGCTATTATTTCTTTAAATATATTTTTTTCTATTTCAATATCTTTCTCCTCCCTCTAATTAAAAATATATTAGGTCATTTATATTGTTTCAAAGGTCTCTGAGGTTTGTTCATTCTTTTTTCATTTTGTTTTCTTTCTCTTTTTCAGATTGGATAATTTCTATTGGTCTATTTTCAATTTCCTTGCCTTTTTCATCTACTATTAAGTTCATCCAGTAGTCTTTTTTTAAAAAATTGCATGCATTGTATTTTTTTAGTTTAAAATATCTGGTTTGGTCTCCTGAGATTTCCTTTTTTCATTCAGATTTTCTGTTCTTCTTGTAGCAAAATTGTAGTAGCTGCTTCAATATGTTTGATAATTTTAACATCTAAGCATCTCAGGATTGTTTTTTTTGTTTTTTTTTTTTGCTTCAGACTGGCTTACTTATTTCTACTTCTTTGTATGTGTATGCTGGACACTAAATGTTATGTTATATAGACTTTGGGTTCTGTTATAATCTTCTGAAGAATGTTTGGTTTTAAACAACTAACTTGTTTGGGTTTCAGTAGACAATCAACTTGATTAATTCTGTCTTGCTTTCTGTTGGCAGTGGTTCAAATCTCAGTTCAGTTCTCTCAGCCTTTGGTATGCTGCTTTGGGTCTGTCTCACATATGTGTATTATTTTCAGTTAGGCTAAGACCTGTGTGGTCTTATACAGAATTAAATGTTTCCTTCTCTGTCTCTTTACCCTCTGGGATTTCTCTCCCACCCTCTAGCTGCAGAGACTCCTTTTCCTGTGCCTCTAGCTAGAAGGATGGCAAAGAATCAGAGTTTTAGCTACCTACACTGTAAGGCTGCTCTATGGCTGGGTTCCACCTCTGGGCAAAGGTACAAGAGGAAAATATAACTGGGAAACTAATCCCCATACTGAGTGTTTCTCCAGGTTTTGTCTGCCTGCCCTAGTCGTTAGGTAGTGTTGTTGCTTTTCTAGAATTTGTAGGCATAATCAGCGAAAAGGGATGGATTATAGGAAAATTACACTGCTATGGTAGAACTGGAAATTATCCAGTATCCTTTTATTAATAAAGACGAAAGTTACTTCTGTAAAGAACAAAACAGTGATAGGATAGCATGAGTACCAAGCCTACTTCTAGAAGTATTTAAATTTCTTTTATCATAGTGGGAGACAGTGTTTCCATAGTCAAATTAATTATTCTAGGCATCTGCATAGGATAGAATCTTAGAAATCTGGGGTGGAGGGACATTAAAGGTTAGTAGTTTAACCTCATCCTCATCGTTTTACATATCATGCCCCAAAGTGAGAATTGAGGCCTCAGTTAACTCAGTCCACTGTTCAGATTCACCATCTAGTTGCTGTATGTGCCATATATTTTCCCATAAGTATATGTCCTGAAGTCATAGTGTCTGTGTCTGGAGTGTGAACACTTTTACATCTCCCTAACCCCCAAACCTAAACTTTAGACACAATTGTATAAAAGAGGGAACCCAAACAAATAAACATTTGTTGCACTAAATTTAACCAGTTAGGTTTATTTTAAAATTACACTTATTTTGGTCCAGGGGCATAAATACAAGTTAAGATTTAATAGTTGTCTTTCTGATTTTTTCTAGTATTATAAGAAATATGAAAAAGACTTAAATGTTCTGTACTTTTATAAGAATATAACAAAACTGACTTTAAAAAATAATGAATGATTCAATCTAGAATCTGCAAGACTTGATGCAAGTGATGGTGGTGGAAGTAGCCAAATTGGCTATTTAAAAATGTTTTTAGCAAATTTATTAAAATATGAAGATTTATAAAGGAGGTTGAATATTTGGGGGTTTCTCAGAATCCTTTTCCAGTATCTCCCTGTCTTGAAAGTATTTTATATATTTACTTAAAGATATCTTATAAATTTACATCTTTGGTAATGTTACTTCCATGTAAAATACGTGCAGTACACATACTCCAACCCTCCTATAAAATTTAGTTCAGAGCGCTTCACTGCCTGTCAACCCTGATGGCCAGCCTCATCTAACACTTCTGTCATTCAAATAATACTTATTATTAATAAATGCCTACTATTGTGCCAGACAGTATCCTAGATATTGGAGATATAGTGGTGGGATGGGGGTGGGGAGACATTTAGACAAAAATCAAGTAAATAAGTAAGTAAACATCAAAATGCAATGTTTGGTACAAAGGAATAAAGCAGGTTTTCTAATCAAGAGGGTGGGTTGAAGGTGCATTAAAGAGGGAGATAGAGAAAGGCCCCTTTGACAGATCATATTTTAACTCAATAGTAACCGCCCTTCAGAGATCTTGCAAGCAAAGGGATCAGCAATGGAAAAACGCCCTGAGGCAGAAACAAGCTTGGTGTATCAGAAAGACAGAAGGAAGGTGGAGTGGGTAGAGTGGAGTCAGGGATTGGAAAGGCAGCGGGTTAGAGAAGTTGTCATGCTTGAGTAATTGGGACCTTATCTACTGGATGAGGACTTCAGATGTTATTCATGGTCATTTGCTACAGCCAAACAGACCATCTTCTTTAAAAAAAAAAAGCATCATCTGTACTTAAACTTTTATGCTATTGCACACATAGCTGTCCCCATATGGACACTCTCTGCCTCATTTCTTCCTGTTGAACTCTTAGCCCATTTTAAAAAATAAAGCTAAAATCCAATATCATCCATAAAGTCTTTCCTGATTGCTCTTACATGATATATATATTTTTCCTTTTCTATGTAGCCATCCATTCATTCTTGGAAACTCAATTAGTCACTGAGAATGCACTATGTTCCAGGCACTGTGCTAGACACTAGGAATACAAAGATAAATAAGACACTGTCCTAGCCTTTGTAAAGCCCATTATTTGGTGAAGAAGATAGCCATATGTGAGCAGATCATTATGGTTAAGCATGATGAATGCTCTAATCAATTAAAAATGAAGCACGTTGGGTGGTGGCACAAAGCATGAAACAACTAACTCTACCTGCATAGAGTTTCAAAGGATGAGTAGGAGTTCAGTGTCTGGGGAGCATGAAGAAGGTCATCTCAGACCCTGGGTCTGAATATGCAAAGACATCAAGACATGAGTGTGCCTTGTGAGTTTGAGTAATGGTGGAAGATCCAAGATGAACGTCAGAAACTTGAACATTAAGTTGCAGATGATTGTACAGGGCCTTCCACATCTTGCCAAGGAGTTTGGACTTGATAGGTTAGAGGGAATGTTACCTGGTGGCAGTATGGAGGATGATCTTGAATAGGGAGAGAAGATGAGGGATCATGTTGGTCTGTTGCAATAGTCCAGATGAATGATGGCAAGTATTTAAGCATACATTTCAGCAATGGCAGAATGAATGAACAGGAAGGGCTCGATCTAAGAGACAATTCTGCCTTAGAAGCTACCAGTATTGGTGACCAATTGAATGTGGAACATATGGGAAAAGGAGAGCTTTTGGAAGGGCTGGCTTGGGTGAATGATGTTCCCATTAACTAAAATAGAAAACAGAGGTGGAGGAACATGGTTAAAGGAAAGAAAATTAGTTCCATTTTTAACAGGTCATGTTGGAAATTCCTGCAGCGCACCCCAGACACATATTTTGTTTATTGCATTTACAGCCCAATGGGTACTTAGCAGCAGCTGCTGTGTGTACTGTGCGGTTAGGATTCTATTTATAAAGATGACTTATCTCACTGGGTAGACTGTTCGCCATAAGAAAACAGAATCATGCATTTCACTTCTCCATATGCTCCTTAGCAGTATACACATGATCTGTCCCTAACAGGTACTCAATAAATATATATTACAGAATAAATAAAAATCACTTTAACATTGATGATTCTGTTTTACGAGTTGTTTAACTGTTCTTTTGAGTCCCCATGCACCAATAGAATATTAAGCTCATTGGTTAAGTGCCAGCCTGGTTTTCTTGTGTCCACCTTTATTCTGGAGTTAGAATGTCTTAGCATCAAATCTGTCACAGAGAAGAGTTTTGAATAAGGATTTATATTTTTCTTAAATGGACTTTTTTTTTTTGCAATTTATGTAGTAGAAGGGGAAGGCATTTCATGGCATGTAAATGGTACCTTTTCAAGGCTTCATGTAGAAAAAAGGAGGGGCTATGTCTATCTTATTTTCAACTGTTTACCTGGTATCTAGAGTTAGAATTGGTACATAGTAAAAGTTCAATACATATTTAACAGATGAGTGAGCTAATATAGATTTCCCCACGTTTGTATATTTCACTGGGCATTTTCATATGTCTGGGATGGGGAGTGTTAGACATACGCCCTCACACTCAATCCTCTTTAAATTCTACAAGTACTTTAAATGTATTGTACGCTTATGCACTTTTAGAAAATTTACCTTTTTGACCTTTGTCAATTTTGCCAGACAGGCAGTGTGAAGAAATGTTCTAAAGTTTTTGCTCAGATCTACAGGTAAATAAATTGTTTTTCTCTCTGCCACCATTTTCAAAATTGCTTTTAAATCAGGCCTTTTAGAGGAATCTGATTTTCCCTATTGTCTGTACAGGATGTGACCTATTCCCCTTGGTTTTGACAAGTCTGTGGTGATTACTGACAGAGGAAGGCAAAAGGGACTGCCAACAAATCTCTTGATTGAGTGGAATGCAGTGAACTGGCAGCACTTTATAGATGCCAGGATGCAACCTGCAGGTGCAGGCCAGTGCCTTGGGATGGAGGGTGGGGAGAAAGAACAGTGCAGCCCCAAAGCCAGTACCTTCTTGGCCCCTTCCCCTTCAGTTTAGTCTACATACTTCTGGAACAGATGGCTTATTCAGGTTCTCATTGCACCCATCATCCATAGGAGCTGTGGACTGCTTCCCCTGTGTGGGGAAACCTCTTCTATCACACTGGAGTTTCATTCAAGGGCATTCATTCTTTCTGCAACCCTATCCCTGTCTGCCATCGCCCTTTCCTCCCACCTGGGCTTCCTGTCTTTCTTCCTGTGGTTAAGTAATTTTTTTCCTCTCTCTCCGTTTCTCTGAACTCTTGGCATCTGTTATATCTGCATGAAATCATTCTCCAGGGTTCTTCACTTTGGGTGGAGTTGCAGGGAGGGTGTTTCCTGAAGTATGCCTTCACTGGGGCCACCATGGCTCAGAGGCTGTGACTGGGAGGCCCTGGCAGTATTTCTGTTTTTTCCTGAGGTCCTTATGTCCAGGAATGTGGGGTCCAGCCTCAGAGTGGTCAGTTGCATAGCTGAATAGCCAAAATAATTACCAATTAATAGCCAAAATAATTAAGAATTATTCCAGCCTTTTGAAGGGTTTCGAAGAGGAAAAAAAAATGACATAGTCTATAGCTGCACCTACAAAATCTTCTTTCTCCTCCTGTCCACATTCCTCAAACTCCAAATGGCTGTCCTCTTGGATCCAACTGAACTCTGTTTACTGCTTAGCCTCCCACATTCTTTCCTAGCACTTCATCGTGGCTCAGAATTAACCTCTGTCTCTATGAGATGCAATCCTTCTAATTTAGGAAGGGGAGAGGGAATTAGAAACAATAGGAGAAAGGAAGTTTGGGAACACTCTTCCTGTGATAATTTTTGTACTATTATGTTATATAGTATGAAAATGTATTTTAAACGCTTCCAAATGAAGTCTTACATATACTAGTAGGTATGATGAGAAGTTTTTAAAATACATTTAAAATTATTTTGATATGCCATTTCTTTCAAAGACAAAATACTAGCTTTTCAGGAAACAACTCTTTGTTTGACAAATGTATTCTTAAATAATTGACTTTGTGATGTCAGAATGGGTAAATTTTTGCAATCTGGGGTTGTGTCTTCCATCAGAGGTTGTATCACTTGCAGTAAAGAGATTTTGAAATTAGACCTGCTTTGCAACCAGAAAGGAAGAACATTTAACAAAGTGTTCCTAGGCTGTTAGCTATGAACATACTTGTCAGTTGCCAGAGTTAAGAAGGTCTCAGGTCAAGTTCACTAGATATATGCTGTTTATGGACAGGGAGGTCTCAAGGGCACAGCACAGAGCCTAGCTTATAGGAAGCTCTTGATAGATGATCTCTGAACTGAGCTGCTACAGAAGCTCTGAAGTCCAGAACTTTACTTTTGGACATTTATCTCCCACAGCTGTGTGTCTTAATTTCTGAACTTGCCTCTCACACTCCTTTCTCTTCCCAGTCACATGCACATAAAAGCCCTCGCAACTGATTCCCGTGTCTTTGGGATTTACTGGGGATCTTCTGCCTGTGCATCAGGGTGATTATGAGGTTCTGGAAGGAGGATGGAAGGGACAGTATCAAAATGCACAGGCCTACCTCAGAAGTTTAGATAGATCACCTTTTATACTTGCTTTTAGATGACGCTGATGAAGTTATTATAGTGAGTCTTATTGCGGGGATGGGAGAAGGATGCTATGGTATTCTCACATGCTTTGGATAATTTTTCTCCTTTCTTTTACATTGTCACATTGTTACATTTACTCCTTTCTTTTACGTTTGTTTTTCCAGATACTGCTAATCTCTGGGTTGACCCCAAGATCAGTTTGCTGATGAGGAAAGTAGGTGAACAGGCAGAATACCTTTTTTTCATGGAGTTGTCACTCAACCAGATGGATAGAAACCTGTTATATTGGAAAGTACACCAATTACTTACAGCCAAATACTTAATGCGCAAAGGCATTTAAAGAAATCTGTGAACACTATCCTAAAATAATGCAAGGATCTAGGGACATTTGTCCTTTTAGAAAGTGAACTGGCTTTGTAGGCAAAGTCTTACATCTTTAAAACTAGACTAAATGAATACCTTTTCATATACTATTCATTACCAAGTGAAATTTGGCTTCTGTCTTAGATCTGCCCCTACTCAAAATTCAGTAACGACAGTGGCATAACACCAGTGAAGCTGTGATAGTGGCCAAAAATTCATGGTGCCATAAAGCCAGTATCAGTTCTATTATTGAGGCTCCTTTACATACTTGTCTATTCTGTCTTTCTGAAAATAAGAGATGAATTAGATAATGCTTCAAATGTGAGATTCATAATGTTGATACTTATTACCGAGTGCTCTTGCAAAGAGAAGCATGGAAATTTGGGTATGGGCTTTGAAATTGAACAGCTTTCGTTTGAGTTTCAGATCTAACACTTCACAGCTTTGAGGTGAATGTACATAAGTGTCTAAGGCTGTCTAGCTTCAGTTTCTTTATCTGAAAAACTAGGTTGATAGCAAGCAGTCTCAAAGTTGTGAGAATTAAATGAGAAAATGTTTGTATAGCTCCTAGGATAGTGTCTGGGATATTGCAAGCACTCCATATATGATAACTATTATAAACATCAGTTCATTTCATCTTTACAAAAACCCAGTGAGACAGGTAAAGCAGGGATTATTGTTATACCTATTTCTCAGACAAGAAAACAAAGTCCCAGGGAGTTGAAGCTACTTGCCAAAAGTTACACAGTAATTTACGTAGTGAAAATGGGACTCCAGCCTGTTTTCTGACTAAAATTTCTCAATTTTAACATATATCAAGCTTGATTTTATCCACAGTTTTCAATTACTGATAGATTTTTGAGATATAAAAAAATCATATTTAGTCTTCTGATTTCACTGAGCCTGGAGGCTCTGAAATGTTTTTCTAAGTGAGCTTAGTATAAATCCAAGAAGAGACATACTCTCAGAGATTCCAATAATTATCACACACCTTTTGCTTCCAGCAGAATATAAGAAGACAAGAAGCTATGGATAAAAGAAAACTCTGTTTTGGTTACTGAAACTTTCTGCTGTTTCCTACGCCATCAATTCCAACTGATTGGTAGTTCTATGGTAGATGTGTCAAGGTGGGATGTGGCAATTTTTATTCTGTTGTTCTTATCTTCACAAATTTTAGGTACAAAGAATTTATAACCTCCTTTCCAAGTTCAAAGGGAATTGTGTTTGTAGACATAAAACTTAGGGCATTCCCGTCACAAATTTGGTGCCCTCAGTATAGGTTTTGAGCCCTTGAGTGATGGCTACAATTACTAAGTGTTTCTAGGGTATTAGGTTTCATTTGAAGCACTTGAACAATTTTAGTAGATATGAACTTTTTTTAGTCAGCTTTATACTATTGTGGATAAAACAGTAATGTTGGTTGAGCAAACTTCTTAAAACATTTCTTCCAAGGCTGAGCTGTGCCTCTTTGAAATCAAATGATTTTTCCCTGAACTTTATTAGAAAATACACATGTTGATTTCCACTCTAACATCCATCTTTGTAATAACGGGAATTTACTTACCTTAGTGTCCTTAACTTTGGATAACTCTAGTAATCAAAATTTAAAACTGGCTCTGGAAATAATAGCAATACACAAGATGGTAACTGTCCTCAAGGAATTTACTACTTAGTGGTGGTTGGGCCTGTTGGGGCGCATGTTGGGAGTGGATAAAGACAAAGAACTGAAAAAGTAAAACAATTTGACTTCCTCTTTTCCTAATTGAATACCCTTTATTTCCTTCTCCTGCCTAATTGCCCTGGCCAGAACTTCCAACACTATGTTGAATAGGAGTGGTGAGAGAGGGAATCCCTGTCTTGTGCCAGTTTTCAAAGGGAATGCTTCCAGTTTTTGCCCATTCAGTATGATATTGGCTGTGGGTTTGTCATAGATAGCTCTCATTATTTTGAGATACATCCCATCAATACCTAATTTATTGAGAGTTTTTAGCATGAAGCGTTGTTGATTTTTGTCAAAGGCCTTTTCTGCATCTATTGAGATAATCATGTGGTTTTTGTCTTTAGTTCTATTTATATGCTGGATTACATTTATTGATTTGCGTATGTTAAACCAGCCTTGCATCCCAGGGATGAAGCCCACTTGATCATGGTGGATAAGCTTTTTGATGTGCTGCTGGATTCGGTTTGCCAGTATTTTATTGAGGATTTTTGCATCAATGTTCATCAAGGATATTGGTCTAAAATTCTCTTTTTTGGTTGTATCTCTGCCAGGCTTTGGTATCAGGATGATGCTGGCCTCATAAAATGAGTAAAGAGGAAGTCAAATTGTCCCTGTTTGCAGATGACATGATTGTATATTTAGAAAACCCCATTGTCTCAGCCCAAAATCTCCTTAAGCTGATAAGCAACTTCAGCAAAGTCGTAGGATACAAAATCAATGTACAAAAATCACAAGCATTCTTATACACCAATAACAGACAAACAGAGAGCCAAATCATGAGTGAACTCCCATTCACAATTGCTTCAAAGAGAATAAAATACCTAGGAATCCAACTTACAAGGGATGTGAAGGACCTCTTCAAGGAGAACTACAAAGCACTGCTCAAAGAAATAAAAGAGGATACAAACAAATGGAAGAACATTCCATGCTCATGAGTAGGAAGAATCAATATCGTGAAAATGGCCATACTGCCCAAGGCAATTTATAGATTCAATGCCATCCCCATCAAGCTACCAATGTCTTTCTTCACAGAATTGGAAAAAACTACTTTAAAGTTCATATGGAACCAAAAAAGAGCCCGCATCGCCAAGTCAATCCTAAGCCAAAAGAACAAAGCTGGAGGCCTCACGCTACCTGACTTCAAACCTTACTACAAGGCTACAGTAACCAAAACAGCATAGTACTGGTACCAAAACAGAGATATAGATCAATGGAACAGAACAGAGCCCTCAGAAATAATGCCGCATATCTACAACCATCTGATCTTTGACAAACCTGACAAAAACAAGCAATGGGGAAAGGATTCCCTATTTAATAAATGGTGCTGGGAAAACAGGCTAGCCAAACGTAGAAAGCTGAAACTAGATCCCTTCCTTACACCTTATACAAAAATTAATTCAAGATGGATTAAAGACTTAAATGTTAGACCTAAAACCATAAAAACCCTAGAAGAAAACCTAGGCAACACCATTCAGGACATAGGCATGGGCAAGGACTTCATGGCTAAAACACCAAAAGCAATGGCAACAAAAGCCAAAATTGACAAATGGGATCTAATTAAACTAAAGAGCTTCTGCACAGCAAAAGAAACTACCATCAGAGTGAACAGGCAACCCACAAAATGGGAAAAAATTTTTGCAACCTACTCATTTGACAAAGGGCTAATATCCAGAATCTACAATGAACTCAAACAAATTTACAAGAAAAAAACAAACAACCCCATCAAAAAGTGGGCAAAGGATATGAACAGACACTTCTCAAAAGAAGACATTTATGCAGCCAAAAAACACATGAAAAAATGCTCACTATCACTGGCCATCAGAGAAATGCAAATCAAAACCACAATGAGACACCATCTCACACCAGTTAGAATGGCGATCATTAAAAAGTCAGGAAACAACAGGTGCTGGAGAGGATGTGGAGAAATAGGAACACTTTTACACTGTTGGTGGGACTGTAAACTAATTCAACCATTGTGGAAGTCAGTGTGGCGATTCCTCAGGGATCTAGAACTAGAAATACCATTTGACCCAGCCATCCCATTACTGGGTATATACCCAAAGGATTATAAATCATGCTGCTATAAAGACACATGCACACGTATGTTTATTGTGGCACTATTCACAGTAGCAAAGACTTGGAACCAACCCAAATGTCCAACAACGATAGACTGGATTAAGAAAATGTGGCACATATACACCATGGAATACTATGCAGCCATAAAAAATGATGAGTTCATGTCCTTTGTAGGGACATAGATGAAACTGGAAACCATCATTCTCAGCAAACTATCACAAGGACAAAAAACCAAACACCACATGTTCTCACTCATAGGTGGGAATTGAACAATGAGAACACTTGGACACAGGAAGGGGAACATCACACTCCAGGGACTGTTGTGGGGTGGGAGGAGGGGGGAGGGATAGCATTAGGAGATATACCTAATGCTAAATGACAAGTTAGTGGGTGCAGCACACCAACATGGCACATGTATACATATGTAACTAACCTGCACATTGTGCGCATGTACCCTAAAACTTAAAGTATAATAATAATAAAATTTCAAAAAAAAAAAAGGAAAACAAAACCAAAAAGCAAAATAGTATTACAGTGCAATAAGGGCAGTAACAGAATAGCAGAGAGAATGAAAGCCTAAAAGAGGAGTGGCTAACTTTGACTGTGAGAAAGAGGCACAGGAGCAGAGAAGAATTATTGAAGTGATAGCTAAGGAAGAACAGAAACTATCCAGGCAAAGCAAAAAGGAGAGAAAGAGAGTTTTAGGCAGGGAGAACAACACACTTGAAGGACTGGAGGAGAGTGAGCACAAGGTCTGAGGAACTGAAAGAAATTCCCTGTTGAATCCTAGGTGAGAAGGGGAATGGGGACTAGCAGAAGCTGAAGAGGAAGGTGGGACCAGGCAGGCCAGGTTTTGTTGTAAACCATATTTAAGGAACTTGACCTTCATCCTAGGAAGAGTGGGTAGACATCAAAGTAAGGATATTGCAGGCAGAGTATGACTTCAATCATTTGTTAGCTGTTGACCTTGACTGGACAGATGGAGAGGGAACACAAGGAGTAGGGGGCTCCTGGTAGCTGTAGGGTGGAGAAAACATCTTAAGCTGATGAAATCTCATGGAACTGCATGTTCTCCAGCATGTAACTAACTTTAAAGATGAGGACATTGACATCCCCTTCTGCTATCAAATAAAGATATACAAAAATTGTACATACTTCATTAAAGGACATATGTTAAGAATTTGTGCATCCTCTCCTGCTAAATAAGTGTAGGAAATGAAGAAAAAAAGAATTTCTGCATTATAGATTTGAAATTTACTTCAAAGTCAGTTTCCTAGTTATCTGGATTGTCGACTTTTACCATTTATCAAGCATTGCCTTTAAGTGTTGTACCTATTTAATTATCTCTTAGAAACATGGTATTTAATTTTCCAAAAAAGAAGCTCAAAGTGTATTTCCTTTTGTTCCTTTATTCAGTATGCATTGATTCTTACTAAGTACTCATTGTGGAGCCAGCTCTCTTGACAGCTTTGCACTTGACTATTGCTCAGTACCTCACTGAATAATTGGGTAATTTTCTAATTACATGTTGCAATGAGTGTGATTCTTGCATGCTACTTTTTCAAAAAGATAAATAAAAGAATTTTCTAAATACTATAGTTAGAAGAAAAATACATTAATCATAATTACAAGTTTGCCATTCACTTACTGTATATTTGTCACTGTTTAAGTCTTTGGGTAAGGGTGGGGTTATGAAAAAATGTAAAATAAATAATACTTACTCCCTAGAGATTCACAATATTGGTGAGGAACCGAACATATGTGAAAAAAATGGAGGATAATGCAAGGAAAATATTAGTAGGAACTCAGAGTTATGGTTGAAATTACAAAGTGCAAGAAAGATGAAAAGGAGGTTCTCAGTATTAACCATTAATGAAGTAAGTTTTCTTGCAGGAGGGATGCTGGAGCCCAGCTTGCAAGCTGACTTTGGATGTTAATGACTTGTCTTGCTGGGGAAGGATTTATGGGTGAAAATTATTTTGATGCTTAATACAGTGCCAGAAGAACCAGAGTGGTGATCAGGAAGTGCATGGCCTCAATACCTTCCCTTATAAGACCAAGCCCTAATGTCACTGCTTTGCATGACTCATGTTCCAAACTACCTTCCATGTCTTATCAAGACCCCATCATTCCAGGGCTTGTCTCCAACCAATGTGCTGTACTTCATGACTCCAGGTGGTAAATGCTGGCTCTTCTCATCTCACCCTTCTCCTTGGGCTGTTAGTCCAGTAGAGAATGGCCTTTCAACTCCAGATATGATGGTCAAAAATAACAACCTGCAGCCACCCCTTCCCAACCCCTCCTTGCCTAAAACCATTTGGTAGTAAACACCATCTGTAAACAACTCACCATGTAAAAAGAAATTTTTTCTTCCCCAGGTGTCGTTCACATACAATCTCAAACCACTAAAAGAATTTAAAAAGCAAGAAGTCCCTAAATGCTAATAGGAGACTGAGAAAGTGAAGCAATCTTTGACTCTGAGTTTGTACTATCCTTGACACTTTGCCTCATTTTCTGATGTATAAATAAGTGCAGTACCTAGTTACTATTGCACAAAGACAAAGCAAATTATGGATAGGAACATCTTAGAAAAGGTGAATTTAAAAGAAGTCTTAAAAATGTAATATATTCAAGTGGAAACCAGCACAGAATTTTAATCGAATTACTAGTTAGTATTATCAGATATTATCACCTTCTTTTCAAATCACTTTCGTGTCTGACCAGTGAGAAAAGCAAAAATAAAGTTTAAGGAAAAAGTGTGTCATCAATTAAGTATACCAATTTCTATATATTATCTCTATGCATTTTTTCCTAAATTAAGAGAAAAGCTGTTTATTTGTGAAAAAAATAACAGGATCTAATTATTTTCATCATGGAACAAGAATTAGAATTTTATGAGAGAACAGTTAATTCTGGGTTAACACAAAATATTAGTATTTTTTCTAGAAAAATGTAGTTTCTTTCCCTATTGTGTAATTGCAATGGGGTTCTCAGGAGCTAAACATTTACATGAGGTTGTTCTTTCCATAAACTGTCTGTTATGTTCAAAGAGTGTTTGTCCTGTTCTCAAAGCCCCTTGTCTGTATCAGTGGTGCACAAGAGTGATTATCATTAACTTTGATGAGGTGTTCCAGGTTGATCAGGCAATGTAAAGGACTTGAATCGATACTGTGAAGAGCCTCATTTTGAAAAAAAAAAATTATCTGGTAAGGAAATTTACCTAAAGGAGAAGATTTTGTTTAAGGGCTCCAAATTAAATTAAATGTTGATAATTTCAGATTTTTTAGGAATTAGAAATCCAGTTTATGAAAGTCCTCTGCCCTCTGGCACTCCAAACAGAGGATGTGTTACTTTGCTGCTTCTTAGGCATAGTAAGATTTAAGAAGACTAGAAATCTGGATTATTGTCTAAAAATGAGGGTATGTGATAATAATTCTATAGAGAGCAGGCCAGCACTTAGAATACCACAGAGATGAGTAAGACACACACCTGGCCTTTAAGACCATAACTCAAATATCCGTGGAGGAAAAAAATCTTATCTCCAATAATCTTAAATTGTAAAAATAGTATTATAACAATGTTAATACAGAAGGTCATTAAATAAACCCTCCCTAATCCTATTATCCTGATACATGTGATTACATTTCATATAGTCTGTCTCTCTCCACATGTTTATTTCACCAATTATAATCATAGTGAACATATAACTTAATATTTATTTTTCACTTAATGGTGTATGGTTAACATTTCCCATATTGTTTTGATAGTGTTCATATTTGTAATTTTAAATGGCTGCATTATATCCTATTTGAAGCACTAGCACTTACTTAAACATTTCCCTCTTTTTAGGGTTTTTATTTTTTGCACTGTAAATGTTTATTATGTAATAAACATCTTAATGTGCATATTATTTTTATGCCTGAGAGATTTTTAGGATGAATTTTATAATTACTGGGTCAAAGAGCAAGAACACTTTTATGATTCTGGATACATATTGCCATATTATTCTGCAAAAGAGTAAAATCTAGTTTTTACATTGTTATTAGCAATATATTTCTGTGTTATGCCACGTTGATAGCACTGAAATTTTCCGTTATTTTTTCTAATTTAACATATGCCAAATGGTACTTTATTGTTGTTTTAAAGTGCATTTCTTTGATAATTGGTAAGGCTGAAGATGTGTTTGTTGAATATTTGTTCTTTCTTTCATGATAATTACCATGTATTGTTTGGAGTCTTGATTTACATTAATTCATTTATCTTTTGGAGTCTTGATTTCTTTCTTATGGTCATTATAACTTTTTGCAATTGGTTAGCAATGAGCAAGGCTTTTTGGGCAGAAGAAGCACTTTGTAGACAATAAGGCATTCAGAGAGAGGGAGCCCTGGGAACAGAATTTATTTGGCTGGGGTGAGAAGGCATAGTAATAAAATTCTCTGCTATAAATGTCTGTCCATTGTGCGAATGGAAATAAAAAGGGTACTGTTTTAGTCATATATCATAATGCAATTTCAGAATGTTTATTGATTGTATGATTGAAATATTTACTTTGGGACAAAATATAAAGGTTATTTTCCATCTTGGAATATAATTCCCTGCTCTTGGCACAATTACAAACTGGGATTGGAGAAAGGACATCATTTTCAGGGTCTTGTATTCTCTATATGCCATTTTGGCAAAAAAAGGTGATGTGGGTTTGTGAGAGTTATTTCCCCACGTGTCTATGGTATTTCACATTACCTGTCACCTTCTTCCCTTTCTGACACTAACTCACCCTCTTCAGTTAGAACCGATGGGTAGCAGATTTAACATGCTGAAGGCTCTGTTTTCCCAACTGTTGGAGAGAAGCCTGCTGCTGGGTTGATTGTGTGAGTCTGTCTCTCATTCTTTTCTTTCTTTTTTTTTGACACGGAGTCTCGCTGTGTCACCAGGGTGGAGGCAGTGGCGCGATCTCAGCTCACTGCAACCTCCAACTCCCTGGTTCAAGCGATTCTCCTGCCTCAGCCTCCCGAGTAGCTAGGATTACAGGCATGCACCACCACACCCAGCTAATTTTTGTGTTTTTAGTGGAGACGGGGTTTCACCATGTTGGCCAGGATGGTCTCGATCTCCTGACCGCGTGATCCGCCTGCCTCGGCCTCCCATAGTGCTGGGATTACAGGTGCGAGCCACCGTGCCCATCCTCCCATTCTTTTCAGTCAGTTGATGAATGTATCCGAGTATTGAAAGAGTATTTGGATATTGATATCTAGTTTAAATATTAGTAGGTGTTACTTTATCAGTGTTTGGGGATTTATTTGTTGTTAGATTCTACTTTAAATTTTGAATGGATACATGCATTCTTGAGGATGTTATGTTTAAACAATAAATGTTAATAAGCATCTTAATGTAGTTAGTTGTATTTGGTTTATCAATGACTCGGTGACTAAATATTTACAATACAGATATTGTTTTTGATTCTTGGCAAATTATTTAGTCAGGTTTTGATTTAAGGAACCTGGCTCTGGTAGTATCATGAGCATTTGGAAGAAAAGCCTCTTTCTTGGCCTCTCATTATAACTCACAAAAAGAATTTTTCATTTTAGGAAGGGGCTTATTTTTAAAGTGGCAAATTATTTTGATTTTTCCAAGTTAATTTAGCAATCACAGCATAAGTCAAAGAACTGGGCTAAAGCTCATAACTCAAACCTAATGGAGGAGTCTCTTTTCTCCTAAACCCAAACCCTAACCTCAGGATCTGCCATCACTGTGTTAACCAGATGAGAGCCCCATGAGGTCTACAAGCAGAAAAGTTGTGAGAAAAGGAGAAAGGCAAAGCTGACTCCAGAACTGCCCCAGGAAAGGCCCAGAATGAGTTTTAACCCAACTGCAAGGAAGAAGTAGACAGGAGAGAGAGCCATGCTCACATGCGTAAGCTGCTACTACATTTATTGATGAGCCTGGCCTTGTCAGTATCCTGGAACCAATCCAGTGATTATCAGCACCTCCTGCTCCCTGCTAGGAGGGCAAAGAAGCATTGAGAAAAGGGACAGAGACCAGCATCTTCTGCCTGTAGTCAGCATTTCAGAAAGACAATTGTTGGTTATCTGTGAATCATCCATCTACCATTTAACACTTATTTATTTACCCTAGGTTTGGGTAATAGGTCTATCAACAAGACAGGTCATTTAAAACTGGAAATAGTCAATCACTTATTTGAACCATTTGTGAAACTTTTCTAAGTGTTTGTGTTGCCTCAGATACTGTAGAATCAGAAGTCATTATTTTTTCTTAAATCTCTTATCTCTAGCATATATGTTAGGTTTATTTTATTGTTAAAATGCCCTTTGTTTAAAATATAGCTTAAAAGTATAATTTAAATTTGTATATCATTCTTTAAAATAATTTTGTTTATTTCATATCTTTTCAACAATATCCTTTTATTTTCATTAAAAATTAATGTTTTTTCTAAGAATTAAATCCTGACATAGTGTAAGCAGATAAATATACATCTCAAAAGCAGTGCTAGTCTCATCATATTTATTTGATATTTCAGATTAACATAAAAGAAGACTTTTTGATATTTTAGTTCAATCGAACACAAATTGCCAGAAGAAGTAAGTCCCCTTTTATATTCTGGATAGTGCTTTGAAACTATAAATATTCAGCCAACACCAAATCAATCTATAAAGGCTTGATAGAGGCCAGACAGTTCTTCAACTCAAATCTGGTTGCCCTCTCAGGCAGACAAAATAACCACAGCCAACTCTATCATAATAAATGGTGAAGTTGATACCTTGTATTCTAGTTCGGTGAACCCAAGAATAGTGTGTATTCGAGTGTGGAACAGAAAAATCAGTTGTCTTTATACAAAGACTTTTTTATAGGCATTTCCATGAGCCTGATAATCATTATCTTGGTAATTAATGCCCCAGGGTAGTAGGGAATTGGTCTTTATCTTATACCTGCTTTGCATTTGGGAAAACTAAGAAACAAAAAGGTTAAGAATGATTTGTCCTTGTTTTGATTATTAGACCATCTTGTTTGGCAGCGCTGACAAGTAGGAAAACTTTTTTTTTTTTACTTTGTCAGTAATAGCTGCTTAAAAAGAACAAGCAAACAAGGATAGTAAGAAATTAAAGGTGAAAAGTGTTCTGGTCCTAATTTAGTTCTCCACATATAGATTTGGTAGTAATGAGATAATTGCATTTGGGAGTGATTACCTCTGCCCCATGTAAATTTAAACTCCAGAGTCTATGAGAAGGCTGTCTTGAAGGTTGCCATATCACGTGAGCCATTTAGCAGAAGCAAGTGAAATTAAGGACTGAATTAGTTTGATTAGTGTTTACTGCACTGTTGTACCAATGTCATGCTAGAGATGTTAATAACTTGCCATTCAAAGGCTTTGATATAGGCTTTAATAGTGAAATTAGATGGAAGTGCTGCACGGGCAAGGGATCCTACTTGGGCAGATATACACTTCTGCCAATCCCAGTCCCAGAGGATCCTTCTGATGGCCACAGTGACCTTGATGGTCCCAAGCAGGAGGAGGGGAGGCTGTGAAATTCAAAGGATAACATTGAACACTGAGATTCTTGCAGATGAGTTGTATGGTGAAATTTGAAGAATTATTGTAAATTAAGCATCTGAGGAAGTATAGTAAGAAGAAAAAAAAATTCTCTTCTAATTTGAGAAGAGATTAATCTGGCTAAAACGCTATTGTCTTAGTCTTTGGCCTTGATATTTGGGTTAATGAGGTTTTGAAGTGCAGTAAGAGGTTGCTATGGTGGAAGTAAAATACTGGACAAATCCTGATTTATCAAAAGATTCTGGGAAAAATCAAGAGTAGAGGAGGTCTGTTTTTTGTCTCCAGTATATCCTGTTGGTGGAACAAGTTTGTGATTTTTCATAGGAAAATCTTTGAGAAATGAAGACAACTAGTTACTAGAGAAGGAAAAGACATTTGAGGAATGGATTTCTGTTGTGTAGAGACAGAAGGCTTGTGGAAGACAACCTCCTTTGCTAAATGTGTGGAAGCTTTCAGATTAAAAGGCAGGCAGGGATGTTTGGGGAGGGTGAGGGATGAGATTATTCAGCAGCAGGAGATATTCCTTCCTTTGAGGGGCTAGGAAAGCATCCACGCACTTTCCTGTTATATCTTGGTGAGGTTGGTACACGGAAAATTATCCCCTGGGGTGAAGGAAGAAAGTAATACAATGTCTCTTATTCTATTTAATCTATTTTTATGTATTTTTAATGAATATAATATAATGGCACATATTTATACACATAGAATGTAGGAATAAATGCATAGAATATGAGGGGGTGCATTTTCAACTTTTTTAAGCGACTATGGTAAAAATATCTAAAAATTTTGGGTTTTTAGATTTCTCTTTCCTCCAGTAACTCAGCCCGGCCTCTCTGAACATACTCCATAAACTAGGAACCCAAGGAACTGGTTTGTTTTCAATAGAGAGCACCTGTGAATCTTGTAAATTATTGTTTTAACTTAAGAACTCATCTTATTTCTGTCTTATTTCCAGACATTTGTTTCTCAGAGTCCCTATTTTCTCATTTCTTTTTTTAATCCCATTGCTCTGTATGCCTTTCTGTATACCACCTTGAGATTTTTATAGAACAAGGTGGGAAATATAAATAAAGTTAGAAGTGCTTAGAGAATATATTATTCATCAAGCTCTTAGAACTTTCCAAAGCAACTTCATAGCTCTAGAATCTCTAGGTAGCTTGAAATAGTCAACTTATTTAAAGTGCTATTTGTCTTGATAAGTATATTTTTCTTTCTAATAAATCTTTGCTTTGCTGTTTTTCTGTTTTCCTCTGATATTATAAGTTGGAATTGTGAGAATAGTTCTTAAAATAGAATGTGATTCTTTTTCTATAATAAGATCTGCTTTAATTTAGTCTCAGTGCAATGAAAATATAATGGAAGTCTCAACTTCAGAACATACAATCTGGAGAAATTTGCTGTCAGTAGCAAGATGCAATTCATAACCTTTTCAAGATATAACAAAACATTTCATTTTCTACTGAAATTTTTTGTGGGGCTTTAAAAATATTCTCTGATAATAAAAGGTGTCACAAAGCTAACCTCAGCGAGATGATTTTATTGCAATTCATCATTTTAAGAATAATTTAATTAGTTATTCAGGATATGGAAAGACATATACCACGGTATTTAATTATTAAGGCCAGTAAAAATGCATTCCACACATTTGAGTTACTTCTTGTATTCACTGCAACAGAACAGATAATGCACCTTAGCTGGTAATTTTCTCAACCTTTTATTTTCTTACAAAAAACACTAAATATCACATCATGTTATTCAGTACACTGAGTTCATGTAGAAGAATGGCTTCTGTACTGTGTCAACTACAGCTTCCCACTGTAACCCACTTCATGCCTGGGTAGTACAAAGGGGAAAATGGCAGAAGAATACAATTTAAGAAAGATTGATTTGGTGGGCTGTCACTCTGTAAATTGTCATAAAATGCTACGGTAAGCTTTCTTTTCTATATTCTTTTCAAGAAGTTGCCCTTTTTAAGTAGATGGGATCTTAAGGTAAATGCCAAGTTGGTTACATTCCAAGGTGCTGTATCAGTCAGTACAAACCAGGTTATGTTGTGGTAACAAACAATTCCAAAACCTCAGTGGCTTACAATAACCATGTTTATATCTTGCCCACTCTACATGTCCATCGCAAGTCGGCATCATAGTTTCTGAGAAACCCAGGTGTGGGAAGTACCATCACCACCCATGACTTCACAATTCCTGAGGCAGGGAAAAAGAGGCATGGACAGTCATGTGCTGGTTTTAAAAGCTGGAAGCAAAATTCACCACTTCCACTTATGGCCACACTGCTTTCAAGGAAACAGAGAATCTCAAAATTTTACCACATGCCCAGAGCAAGAGATCCAGCATTTGTAAACAGTCCTAATCACAATCATGGAGGCCACTGATTGAAAGATCTACTACTGATCTAATGATACCATTTTTATAGAGGTAGGAGAAGAAACACTATACAACATTATGTACCCATAGTGTTTATAAAATACGCTTTAGGGCTTTGTATTAGAAATAAGCATGGTTTGTATCTTCAAAGAGAAGTTAAGTATATAATTGTATGAAGCTGGATAATGGTATCTAATTAGAGAGAAAATATCTTCTATTATAAAGATCAAAGCCACATAACAAGCAAGGAAAAACATGGACTTTAGCACCAGACTTGAGGTTTTGTATGCTTCCTCCTCATTAGTAGCCTCTTTAGGTCTGTAAACAGCTAACAATATCTTTACCATTGGCTTATTGTGAGGACTAATAGATGCCAAATACAAAGTGCCTGCTACATAGTAGGCACTTGATTAATGATAATAATTATCAGAGCACTTTAATCTACAAAGTATTATGCTTCAACATAGTATACATGTAGCTAGGTATTTAGTGAATGAGTGTGACCATATATGACAAGTTTTTATTCCTAGCGAATGTAAATTTGAGTCTACATCTGATGTCATCATTTAAATATGTATATAAATATATTAATTCAATAATATTATATTTTTTCAAATGATTTAAAATTATCCCTTTATCACTACACAAAGGATACCCACATTTCTGTTAGGTTTGTTATTTTGTAGTGGTTGTTGTTAGTTATCATCTAGATTTTCTCTAAAACATTCAGAAACCTCAAATATTAGGTTCACTTGATGAGATGTGGTCATTTTAATTAGCACAAGTATAGAATCAGAAAATACAAAATGTATGAATGAATGAACGAATCATTAAAAAACTAAATTTTTCTGAAATAGGACACAACTCTGTATTATTTTTGTCAGCCTGAATGGAAGATATTTAGTAAAGCAGGAACAATATGTTAGCTAACATGCTTTGACTCATTTAATCCTCATAAGACAGGGCTGCTCTTTTACACGTTCTACAGATGTGGACATTGAGGCTCAGACAAATTAAATAGCTTGTCCATAGTTGCCCAATTGAGAGTAGATCCAGGAGTAAAGCCACACAGTGTGGTCCTAAAGCCCAAGCTCAGGCACCATAGCCCAGTCACTCACTCATTCAACTGTTCATTTATTTTCATTTTCTTTTTCTCTCTAGTAAAATTTTTGTGTCTCACAATTCCAAATGTATCTTGGAATATGAAATTCCAAGAGAATCCTCTTGATAAACTTATTGACAAGTTCTGGCCAAGTGACACTCACAGGATAGACAGTCATTAGTAGTTTCAACTGCCTTCCTGTACTAAGGTGAACATAAAAAGGAGGAGAATGGACCATCCATTCCCCGGAGAGGCTGGAGGCCACCACCATGGACTTGAAATTGCTTTTTACATGCATCAATTGAAATGGCCTCTGCATAGCAATTAGATTTAATGAAGGGAAGCTGCTGGTAACTAAAACAGGCTGTCAGACCTTCTGTTGGTTAGTTTTAGAGGAAATAGATGGTACAACCTATTTGGCCCCAGTTCCTGTCCTTCTAAAATTGCTTTTCTTGATGGATTTTTCTTTTCTTTCTGAATTAGAAAATCAGAATGAACTAAAGATTGTTTACTTGATAGCATCAAACAAACACTATCATTATAAAACTAGATATATGATTCTCAGACAACCTGTTAAACATAGCTGTAGGTATAAACATAGACATATTTTATGTGTATATATATATACATTTGTGTGTGTGTGTGTGTGTATATATATATATATGTTTGGTATCTTCTTATATGTTTTTATCTAGCTGTACATATGACTTGGGACTTCTCGTCATAGTTTAAACCAGCAGTCCCCAACCTTTGTGGCACCAGGGACTGGTTTTATGGAAGACAATTTTTCAATGGACTGGGCTGGGGATGGTTTTGGGATGAAACTGTTCCACCTCAGATCATCAGGCATTAGTTAGAGTCTCATAAGGAGCATGCAACCTAGATCCTTCGCATGCGCAGTTCACAATAGAGTCTGCACTCCTACGAGAATCTAATGCCGCCACTGATCTGAGAGGAGGTGGAAAAGCTCACTTGCCTGCCGCTCACCTCCTGCTATGCAGCCTGGTTCCTAACAGGCCACGGACTGGTACCGGTCTGAGAGTTGGCGACCCCTGGCTTAAACCATAGTTGAGCTGTAGTTTTACCCATATTCTAGTGGATACCTATTTTTTCTTAGTTTTAGAAAAAAAAATGATTATAAGTAAAGAATTCATATGTATATAACATTTGGGGTGTTTTTTGATAACTGAGCTGCCTACCAATTTGTCTGCAGAATCTGTCATTCTGGGAAGGTGCCAAAACTTCAATTAGAATAAATTTAATGTTATAAGAAAGCAAACCTGTTGTCAATGTTAACAGAGGGCTGATTGGCTATAATTTTTTTCTGAGGTCACATATTTTCAAAATGAGATCTAAAAAGATTAAATGGACTTTTAAAATGCCTTGTATTTGCATCTATTTCAAATTATTTCTTTTTTATTTGATTTTTTAAAATTTTGTGGCTACATAGTAGGTATATAGATTTATGGGGTACATGAGGTATTTTGATACAGGCATGCAATGCATAATAATTACATCATGGAGAATGGGATATCCACCCCCTCAAGCATTTATCCTTTGAGTTACAAATAATCCAATTATATTAAGTTATTATTGCAACAAAATGCTGAACTGACTGCACTAAGCTGAGCAAAATGTTTCCTTTTAAAAATAACGGCAACAGTCTTTAAATCCTTTTTGTTTTTCTAATAAGAAAATAAGAATGAGATTTTTTAGTACAGTACATGAAAATATGTGATTTTAAACCAAACACAGTAGTTCTATATGAAAATATATGAAATATTGAAAAAAACCCTTGTCTTATAAAAATCACATAAAAGATGTTCTGATTTTAATTAAGGGAGAAGTTGCTGAAGTTTAACTAATTGGATAAAAAGTGAAAATGAAAAACCAACTCCTAAAGTCTTACTACATAAATATTATTTGGCACTTTTCCTTAATTTTTTTAAAAAAGAAATAGAGCAAGATATAATTTTTTAGGGGGTGAGTAATATTTGCTTATAAAGGCATTTTATTTATCTCCTAATACTGGAATTTTGGGGGTATGTTATATCAGATAATTTTGCATCTCACATTTATATTATCGGGGAAAAGTAGCTAAGATTTGATGTCATGTGGTCACAAGAAGACTAGAAAGTTATTGTCTATAATCAGGAGAGGAGGGATCAATCTACTTTGGGTGAAAATTTGCATAGATTTACTGGTTTATCTTATACTTTCCCATATATTGTTTGTATTGAATTTATCAGATATCCACAGAAATATCCTAAATTTTTTTCACCACAAATTTATAATGGAGTAAGATTCATCACTTCATTATAGAGTTTTCTTAAACAAAGGCAAGAAAGTCTTAAGAGCAAGATTTTATTTCTTTCTTTTCTGTGTATGCTACTGTCCTCACCTAGTCTGATGCCTCTCAAGACTCATCTCTGTGAATTTCCTATGGTTAAGGCACCAGATAAAGGGGCAAAAAGTCTGTAAGGGAAATTACACAATATTTTCAGTGCAATATTAGGCAATGAAAAATGTATGCATTTTTTTCTCTATTTTTATTGACATACTTTTCAGTTATTCAGTGTATAAAAGAGTGATTGTTTCTGAAATTTAGAAATGGGTCAAAAGCCATCTTCCACCCCCAATCCCCACCCATATCAAAGCTGTGTATACAATTGGGCACTGCATTCTCATACAGTGAGAATTCTTCCTTTTCCTCAGTAATCACCAAGGATTACTGGGAGTAACTGATGTGCATAACCATAATCTTTTTAGATTTCATCCAGGAGAAGGAATCACAGCCTGGTGCTTCCAATATTGTTGATTTTACTCAGAAGAATTAGCCCGATTATGTTTTTAACAAATGCTTGAAAAAAAACTCAAGTAATTTTGGAATAATTTTGTTGAAAACTTAGTATCAATTGTTTCTTTTTAAATTTAATTATAGTGAAGGTGTGGTAATGCACAGGGAGTGATATGATTAATCATATAAAGAAGGTGCCTGCCTAGACTGCAGAAAGCAAACTGTATTAGTCTGTTTTCACACTGCTGATAAAGACATACCTGAGACTGGGCAATTTACAAAAGAAAGAGGTTTAATGGACTTAACAGTTTCACATGGCTGGGGAGGCCTCACAGTCATGGTGGAAGGCAAGGAGGAGCAAGTCACATCTTACATGGATGGTAGCAGGCAAAAAGAGAGCTTATGCAGGGAAACTCCCATTTTAAAAACCATCAGATCATGTGAGACTTATTCACTACCATGAGAACAGCATGGGAAAAACCTGCCTACATGATTCAGTTACATCCTACTGGGTCCCTCCCACAACACATGGAAATTCAAGATGAGATTTGGGTGGGGACACAGCCAAACTGTATGACAAACTGATAGTCTTAGTTCTTTTGCAGGCTGTGAGCATTTTAATTTAATGACACTTGAGGAATTGGGAATTACTTTTACATCATATCCTCACATAGGTAGTAGATTTTAGGTTCCAAACCACAGCACAATAGCCATTACACTTTGCAGTATCCCTTAGAATGGTCCCATTGTTTGGTCAGAGCTGCTAAACAGCTCTGCTCTATTTTGCAGATGACAGGACAACTGAAAGTCAAATGTAAGCAAAACCAGCTGGACTTTGGTGGACTCAGTGGGTTCATAGTGACTGTTTCTATTGGGAAGTCTCAGATCTCCTTGGATTTTGTCAGAGACTTAGGGTGCTTAGATTTCAGACTTAATTTTCTATGAATACAAATAATAAAGCCAAAATTCTGAGCTTGTATTCTAAACTTTGTAACAGCCCTAAGGAATTTATTACTATCTGCATTATGCCATATGTGTAATGGTTATCTGTGGTCATGCCTTTTCTCTCTCTCTGACTGCTAAGGGCTGTTATTTTGTGTTTATTTTAATCTTCCTCAGTATCTTGTACTTATTGGCTACTCCATATCAACCTGATGAATTGAACTACCCAAAACACAGGAAACCAATGCAAGGTTACACTCCCAACTGATATATTAGGGAAAAATCCTACAGCTAATCTACATAATTTGGGATGGAGGTGGTGAGGAAGGTCACCATAGATACCTGAATTAATTGGATTTACTCTGGAGAAGAATCCTAAATTATTGCATGATCTTCCACTAGAGGTTGATAACAGGGTACAAAGACATAGGAGTAAAATTCTGTGCCTCTAGCTTCTAGATTAGTGTTGCATCCATTAATGTGATCACATGGAACTTTCCAGGTAGGCTGAGTGGAGAAAAAATCCTGCTGTTGGATATTTTAATGCAGGATAATAAGCTAAAAACATGAACTCATATCCAATAATCTATAATCTGGTTTCTGCAAAAGCTAAGAGATACTTAAAGATAGGGCTGAATTAATTTTTAACACGATTTTATAGACTTTTTTCCTCCACTGGTTTTTGGTGGCTGATGGACTTATACTGTACTATACTGTGTTGCCTATGTCAGGCTGTACTCACAACAAAAAAGGCATTCTGAATATAAAGTAGAAAACTGTAAAAATTTGAGGTGATGGATATCCCAATTACCCTGACTTGATCATTACACATTGTATACATGTACCAACATATCACATGTACCCCAAAAAGATGTACAACTATGACATATCAATTTTTTTAAAAGCTGCATAAAAAACCTGTAAAAATAAAGGTACTGCTATCAAAAAAAGAAAAGATTGGACTAGTTCCTTATTGGAAGATTTACATGAAGCTGGCTGAAAACTTTTCAGCTAATTAAATTTAATGGAATTTTGTTTTTATAATGCAGATTACTTTCATAAAGATTAGGTAATGATCTGTCACCATAGACTGTCTTAGATTAGTAAAATTATGCTGTTAATTTGAACTACTCATTTTTGCATAATTTTTAAAGTAGATAAATCATCACTAGTGTAATTGATGGGATTTCCCTTGCATATGATTTTATAATTATGTTCAAAGACTTTTTTACTTTCTAAAATATTTCAACTTACTTATGTTTATTTTTTATTATATCTTATAGACAAGTGGCTACCAAAACATCATTCTTAGGACATATGAATTAGATTCAGTTAGGGTGCTTGTTAAATATTAAGATTTACTGAATCAGAAATTGGGGACTGACTGGAGCTCCAGAATGTGCACTTTTAACAAGCACCCTTTGGGATTTTTGCACAGAGAGTCACGGACATTGCAAATAATACATATTATTTAATCTTAGAAAAATACTTTTTTGTAACATTGGAATTTGGCTTATTTCTAATATTTAAATCATTTAACTGCCATGCAATTCAGTTGAAATATCATCAGAGTTACAGAATCTTCAAAAACCAAATCTCTATTATGTGATGTCAATAAAATGTCTAAGATAAAAGACAAAATTACGTCCTTTAACACTGCTTTAAATGCAAGTGGCAAGGAGTTTCAGGTGACCTCTAGGACCTGAAGGCATGCTCCAAGCTATGGTCAGTAAGAAGCGTCAGTCTTCAGTTGTACACCACAAGAAATGAATTCTGCCAACAACCTAAATGAGCTTGGAAGTAGATCCTTCCCTAGTTGAGCCTCCAGATAAGAATGCAGCCAGCCAATCCCTTAACTGCAGCCTTGAAAGACTCTGAGTAGAGAATCCAGATAAACTATGCCTGGGCTCTTGATCCAAGGAAACTGTGAGATAATAAATGTGTGTTGTTTTAAGCTACTAAATTGGAGGTAATTTGTTTTGCAGCAAGAGAAAGACTAATACAAAAACCAAGGAATAGAGTTCAGGTCAACAGTGATAGCTTATCTAAGGCAGTAGTTCTTTTTTTTTTTTTTTTTTTTCTTGAGACAGAGTCTCGCTCTGTCACCCAGGCTGGAATGCAATGGCGCGATCTCGGCTAAGGCAGTAGTTCTTAAAATTTGGTAGCATGAAACCCAACCAAGCTATTCACTTAAAATGCAGATTACCAGACCATGACTCCTTCACCCCGCCCCACTGAAAGTCAAATTCAGCTGAGTCTAACCAGATCTCAGGAATTTTTACAAGCACCATAGGTACCATAGGTGATTTTGGTCCACTGTTTAACATTGCTCTTTGAGAAACACTGAACTAGGGCTGCAGCTGGTGACACAGAGGAGAAGCTCTAAAGCAGTAAAGTTCAAACATATTTTAAAAATAGAATTGAAACAATTTGTGCACAATTATTTGTGAAAGATAAGGGTGAAAAAGAATCATGGATCACTGGGCAATGGAATGTCTGATAAGGTCAGATAAGGTCATAAAATGAGAAGAAATGCAAGAGGAACTGCAGATTTGTTGGGGTAAAGTTGGGGAGGATATATTAAATTTGAGGCCCAGATAGGAATACAAGTAGAGAGGTAGAACACAATTTAGAATTCAGGACTAGTGCAGAGAAATGGCTGGTGCTAGAGACGCAGATTAAGAGTCATCAAGGTTTAGGTTGAAACATGACTTGAGAGTAGGTGATATTGCCCAGGGAGAGTCAGAGGGAAAAGAGAAAAGGTTGCAGAACATACCACAAGAAAGCCCCATACATAAGGTGTGGATAAAGGAAGAACCACAAAATAGAAGTGAAGGTGTGCTTAGCGTGATGCAAGAAGACAGGTAGGAGCAATATCTTGGAAGCCAGGAGACAGAGAATTTCAAGAGGGGTAATGGTTAATAGTCTCAAATGATGATGAAAATTCAGATGGAATAAAGGCTAAAGACAGGTGATTCAAACAGGCAATTAGGTGATTTCAAGAGCAGGTGCAATTAATGGTGGGGGTTTAAATTAGATTAAAGCAGGACGACAAAGGGACAATGAGAAAGCAGAGGCAGGAAAGTATTGTGCAAACTTTAGCAAGCATCAGAATCACTGGGAGGACTTGTTAAAACAGACTGCTGTGCCCCACTCCTGAGTGTCTGATTCAGTAGACCTGGGTGGGAGTCAAGAATTAGCGTTTCTAACAAGTTCACGGTGGTATTAGCTTTCTATAGCTGCTGTAAAAATTATCACAAACTCACAAGCTTAAAACAACACAAATTTATTATCTAACGGTTATGGAGGTCATGGGAGGCAGGCGGTGCTGGTGCAAGTCCTGGAGTCCAAAGGCCAGAAAACCTAGAGTCCTGATTTCTGAGGGGAGGAGAAGAAGGTTCTCCTAGCTCCAGAAGAGAGAGAGTGAATTCACCTTTTTCCTGCCTTTTTGTTTTATTTGAGCCCTCAGTGTATTGGATGGTGCCCGCCCACAGTGAGGGCAGATCTTCCCCACTCAGTCCCCAGACTCACCAATCTTCTCCAGAAACACGTTCACAGACACACCTAAAAATAATGCCTTACCAGCTATCGAGTATCCCTTAATTCAGTCAAGCTGGCACCTAAAATTAACCACCACAAAGAATAAAGTTAGAGCAGCAGCCGCAGTATGGTTTCTGTGAAAGTTAGACATGTGTAAGAAGAATACATTTTTTTTTCTTCTTTGTGTCAGGGAAAGTAGAGGAGAATCAGATAGGAAGAGGTGAGGACAGAAGTCTCAATCAACTCTCCCCTTGCTACCTAATCCCAGCTGGAGGAAACAAATGGTTTTTCATTTTAATCCTTTTGTAAAACTTGGCAAAAAGAGTCTGATCTTTGCCTCTGGAAACTTCTTTTGGCAGTATATTTGCCACTTCTTAGTGGAAGAAAAGTTGAGGGAGATGAGATTTTTCCAGGGGAAACTTTTTTTCATTATCCCCCCTTAAGATGATTAGAGACAACCATAACCAAAGGGAAAATATACCATTGAAAATGGTCTTTAGTTACTAAGCGCCTATGTTAAGCATTCTGCGCATATTATCTTATCCAAACCTCATAACTGTTTTGTGAGGTTGGTGTTGATTGCAGACATCACTTTTTCATTCTATACCATAGACTTTACAAAGGAGGAATGCAAATACCACTAAATAGAAAACAAATTCCATTATTTTCTCTTTGAACAAGGCTTCAAGGTCACTATTTTAAGTTTAAAAGTCAATCAATTAAAAGAAAAATATTTTGTTAACCACAGAAATATAATATGTGCCAAAAGTCATATAGGTACTGGAATGACTGAAGTTTGGTAAGAAAGAAATTTTTTGACTCCCTGTGTTAGATTGAGATAGTTAAGAGAATAAAAAAATGATATAAAATGGTTTTCCTTTAACGTGGTTTTTAATTATTATTTCAAATTCTATCAGCATGAAACATAATAACGTGTTCATTTAATGCTTGCAGATATTAATTAACCACCTTATTTGTATAATATACAACTATTTCTTTGATCCCAATCAATTGTCAAATTGTTTTTGACAATTTCCTCATCATATGAAGGTAACACTAAATTTTTATTTCAGGACATATCGAATCTAAAGTCTTAACATCATTTTCAAAGTCCATCTTGGGGATAACCAAGGACATCCTTGAAGTTTTTAATTTGTTTTGATCTAAAGACCAGTATTTGCTTGAATATGAGAAAGAGAGAAGAATCAGATGTATTATTTAATATCTTTTTTTCCAGGCTCTTTCTCCTGGAATATGTCTAAGATCAGGCCCCTAAAGATAAGATGTTCTACTAAAGTTCCCTAGGCTGGTAAGAGTTATTTTCTCAAAGCTCTTGCTTACCACTCAAATTTGACAGTTTTATGAGACACATATAAAAATAAAGCAGAAGATTGTCAAAGCAATGATTAGCAAGCCTCATTGTTGGCTTCTCTAGCTAATATCTAGCTATTAAACTATTCTTTGCAGCAGAAATAATTATACTTATTTACCAGTTCTGAATGATTGAAAAATGGTTTGCTCAGTGTTAAGAACGTAAAAATGAACTTTGTCCCTTTTGTGTCTGAAAGAACAGAGACTCCCAGTACACAGCTACTTACCCAAAATGAGTTTGTTTCTGCAAGAATGTTCATTTAGGCCGGGCGCGGTGGCTCACGCCTGTAATCCCAGCACTTTGGGAGGCCGAGGCGGGTGGATCATGAGGTCAGGAGATCAAGACCATCCTGGCCAACAAGGTGAAACCCCGTCTCTACTAAAAATACAAAAAATTAGCCGGGCGCGGTGGCGGGCGCCTGTAGTCCCAGCTACTCGGGAGGCTGAGGCAGGAGAATGGCGTGAACCCGGGAAGCGGAGCTTGCAGTGAGCCGAGATTGCGCCACTGCAGTCCGCAGTCCGGCCTGGGCGACAGAGCGAGACTCCGTCTCAAAAAAAAAAAAAAAAAAAAAGAATGTTCATTTAATTAAAGATAAGTTGATGCATAATACATTATGCAGTGGAGGCTAAGAGAATCTAAGAGTAAAAAAGCAAACTGCTTCTCTCTTTTACCTTCAGATAGAGGTAAAACTTAAATTTTAGAGAAGCAGCAACCTGCAGTAAATCTTAACAAGTGAGTTTTATTTCCAAGTGGCAGTTATGTTTCCTCTGTGGCACAGTAGGTGTGAGCACATAAATCTTCTGTCAAGGAGCCGAAGTCTGCTTTAAACAATGACAGTAAATTCTACACTCTTGAATAGGACTTAAACACATGAACTATATAAATCTGATAAAAAGTATGCACATACACATACATAACTGAACACACATATGTATATAACGTAATAATTGAATACTATCAAATTTTTATAATTCCTTCCTATTGCACCACATCCTACCCAGCAGCACCCAGTCCTACTTCCCAGGTATTTAACTATTGTAGCTGTTTCTTCTTGTAGTTACCAGAATATTTCTAAATAATATGTCTTTCTTGCTATTTCTTTTTTTTAAATTTTAGACATCATCTACAGTACTAACTTCTTATGATAGATGAATACTTAGATTTTTTTACACTAGCCCATCTTCCATCTCCCAACCTCCCAATATAGTGATATTATATACTATATATACTATGTATACATATATTCTATGTATATATATACACATAGGATATATATACTATGTATATATATACATAGTAAATATATATACTATATATATATACATAGTAAATATATATACTATATATACATAGTATATATATACTGTGTATATATATACACATAGTATATATATTCTACGTGTGTGTATATATATACACGTAGTATATATATTCTACGTGTATATATATACACATAGTATATATATTCTACGTATATATACTATGTGTATATATACACATAGTATATATAGTATGTATATATATACATATATACATATATACATATATATACATTCTATGTATATACACACATAGAATATATATACTATGTGTGTATATACACACATAGTATATATATATACTATGTGTATATATTTTTGAAATGATCAGTACTGCTTACAGTATTGCTATATTGTTCACATGGTACTATACTATGCTAACATTTCTCTTTCTACACCACCTTTTGCTTTTCCTGGAGTTTCTAATTACTCTTCTTTGTTTCTTGCCCTGTTTTTTCATGGCCACATCAGTCTTATCTTCAAAGTCATATTAGAGGTTCCACCAAGAGCACCTTTTCCTGTTCTCCATCCCTCCATATTTCAGCTCCAATTATGGTTGTTCCTCTCTGGTCTCTGCTGCACAACTGCCATCTCTAGGACTTTCCTTCACCATCTCTTGGATTGTATCCAGGAATCATGACTCTTTTATCTTTCTTTTCCCCTTGTGTGGTTTATTCCCTTTTTCCCCCTAGAGCACATCACCAGAAAGGAGATAAATTTCCAGGACTCCTTTCATGGCTGCAAATCTGTTTATTTCACCCTGACAATGGATGATTTTGGCTCTACACTGTATTATATGGTAAGAATCATTGTTCCTAATAATATTTAAGAGCGTCTCCATTGTCTTTTAAGCACCTGCTATGGCTGAGGAGTCTGATGTCATCTAATTCTCATTCTGTTTTGGTATCCTGCTTCTCCAGTTCTTCCCCCAGAAGTGTCTCATATGTTTTGTCCAGAGATTCTGGAATTTCACAAGGATGTCACTTGCTGTGGGCTCTGTCCTCACTCATTGTTCTGGACACCTGCTGGGACCTTTCAACTTTGAGGTTCATATCCTTTAGCTCCGGAATATTTTTCTATATTATTGCTTTGCTAATTTATTTCTCTATTTCTCTGAAATTTATATTATTCAGATGTTGGAACCTCCTGGACTAATTATTTATGCATCTTACATTACCTTTTGCATTTTACATGTTTTTATCTTTTTATTTTGAGAGACTTCCTTGACTTTGTCCTCCAAAACTTCTATTTTTAAAAATTTGGAATACACAGATGGTTATGTTTAATTTCCAAGAGATTTTTATTTTTTTGTTCCTTTTACGAATATAGTACCTTCACAAATCTCTCTGAGCATAAAAATTAGAGGATTTTGACCAGGCACGGTGGCTCACGCCTGTAATCCCAGCACTTTGGGAGGCTGAGGCGGGTGGATCATGAGGTCAGGAGATCGAGACCATCCTGGCTAACATGGTGAAACCCCATCTCTACTAAAAATACAAAAAATTAGCCAGGCGTGGTGGCAGGCGCCTGTAGTCCCAGCTACTCGGGAGGCTGGAGCAGGAGAATGGCGTGAACCTGGGAGGTGGAGCTTGCAGTGAGCAGAGATCGTGCCACTGCACTCCAGCCTGGGCGACAGAGTGAGATTCTGCCTCAAAAAAAGAAAAAAAAAATTAGAGGATTTCTTTTTCTTAATCACATTTTTATTCTCTTTTTTTGTTTCCTACAGGATAATATTTCATTTTTTGTTCTAATATTGGAGGCTTCCTTTGGTTGTCTATAAATATTTAGGAATAATACATTTGAAAGCGAATTGGGAGTTCTGTGTATGTATGTTGAATGTGTTGTGTGGAGGGTTTTTATTTGAGGTGTTTGAGTGCAAAGTTCACTGATTCATTGAAAACACAGAATTCCAGAGTTTGGTTTCTTTTTCCATTCGTGACTGTTCAGTTTTTTCTTCAGAAGAAATCTTGCCTGGGATGAGTGGGTGAACAGCTCCTGGGCATCCTCTAATTGGAGGTGGAGTAGGGAAGATGGGGTTCCACATCTTCTGTATTCTAAAGAATCCTCTGACTTGTTATAATAGTATAACTACTCCCCATACAATTTCTGTTCTGGAAATTTGTTCACATTCCTTGTCCTCTGATAGCCCTTCTACTGTTTGCCCAGTTATTGCTTTCTACATTGTAATTCCTTTCCTAGCATTTAAATAATTATGTAAGGCTCTAGAAGGAGGGAGATGCAAAACGGAAGCCAGCTTCTACTGTGAAAGAGTCAAATCCTTAGTTACATCTCTGGATTTTATCCTCTATAGAAAAAAATGTATGAAATAGAGGCTAAAATATAGCCGAATGGTTAAGAGTTCTGATTTTGGTGTTGGGACAGCATAGATTTGAGTCTTGGTTCTACTGCTGTGAACTGAGTGACCTTTGGAAGCTGCCAAAACTCACCAAAGTTCAGTTGCTCATTTGTAAATAGGGTATACCTATTATAACTGCCTCATAGGGTTGTGATGGCAATGAAATGGAATAATACTTGCAAATAGTTTAGTATTGTGGTTGGCACATAGTAAACACTTATAAGTATTCACTGTTATTAGTTATTATTAAAGTAGCCATATCCTTACCTTGGCATTGCAAGAAACAAAGAACAAATAAAATGCTGTCTATATACTTAGGTATACCATGAGTAAGTCTGTAAATCCAAAATATTTAGTTATCTAACCCAAAATCAAAATGAGATTTATAAGTGAAATTTTATGTAACATGATTGAACAGATACATGTTATTTTTTATATCAATATTTGAAAAAAATTTCTGCCATTCATATTTAAATAATGAGTAATACATATTTTTATGTGTAACCTCATGTTGTATTTTAAGAATACCATTTACCACCTACTGATTTATCTAGCATAAGACAAATTAGTCTTTTATTTGTTAAATTGGTCCACACATTTTAAATTGATTTATAATATAAATGATGCAAAAATAATTTATCGTATCAAGATTTAAGGAAAGAAATATGGCCCATTTTTTATTGTTCTGATATCAGCAAATCCAGGGGAAAGCTGCTTGTCAAAATTGAAAAATGTTTCCTGTTGATTATATAAACTCAATTACTTTAGCTTTTCCCTATAGACTATATTTTTTTCCATTTGTTACAGCATGTTTTTATAATTATGCCCTGCAGTGGGGAAGAAACATTGCATTAAAAGTTGAGAAACTTGAGTTCCAGTTCACCTCTGTTGTAGATTATTAGTGCATCCCTTCTAGTCCCTGAAATGTGCAAAGCAGTGAGGCAATGATGTTTCTTTCAAATTCACTACAACCTTCTTAAGCTGTCGCACAGATAGTTACACCATTCCTACCTGTATAAAGAAAGTGGAGTAATTCAGGTTGTGCAAAACAATGTTTTTATGTTCCCAGCATGGAATATTGACTGAATTCACCTTGTGCAACCTGACTGTCAGGTCTGTAAAAGCCACTGTGTTTCTATATGACCTCCTCAAATCAGTGTGAGGAGGTCACACATTTCACCTCTATGTGACCTCCTCAAATCAAGCTCATATCATAAGCTTGACTTACCTGATATTATTTGTCTTCATTGATGATGCGGTTGTATGACATTCTCATGCTCAGTTCAGGATCTTCTTCAGGATTAAAATGTTTGTGGTTGTGGTGACTGAGTACAGTACAAAGTAAAGTGATGTGGTAATTATCCAGTTACTTTAAGACAGGTAGATTTTTCTTTTCTTTTTGAGATCGGATCCCACTCCATCATCCAGGCTAAATGCAGTGGCATGATCACAACTCACGGCAGCGTTGACCTCCTGGGCTCAAGTGACCCTCCACCTCAGCCTTCTGGTACCTGGGAGTAGAAGCACACACCACTATACCCAGCTAATGTATTTCTTGTAGAGATGGGGTCTCACTATATTGCCCAGGCTGGTCTCTAACTCCTGGACTCAAGCAATCTTCCATCCTTGGACTACCAAAGTGCTGGGATTACAGGCGTGAGCCACTGCTCCCAGTCGAGACACATAGATTTAAAAAGTAAACATTTGGGGGTCTGTGTGCTTCAATTTTGCTACACAAGTGCCAAAACTTTACTTTCCAATGCCTTTTTTATGCATCCCTGCTCTACGTGTGTTCAGTCTAAATGAAGAATGATGAAGCCATGTTCTGTTTTAGAACATGGTGTTTATTTAGTGGGAATTTTGGATCTTCAGAAGAATTTGGATAGTTAATGGAATTCTTCTTGAACTTGCAGTCAGTATCTTATTTATGCTGGTCAGAATATAAATGGGGCTCAGAACATTTCTCACTTTTAATTATACTTTGGAGGATTTTTAGTTTCTTCAGTAATTTTTATTAATTGTCACTGTACATTAATGATGATACAGTAAGAGCTTAATGCTACATGATAAATGGAAACTAGTGTTATTTCCGAAAGCAAACCTGTTATGAATTTTATATTGGCATCTTTTTAGCATCACTAAATAGTCCATCACATTTTGTGGTCACATATCCAGATTGTTTTCTTCCAGAAACATTTTATAACTGTAAGCCAATATGTACTGGAAGCCTAATGCAAAGATTAAGATGACAAATATTGTAATTAGATACACAAACAGCAGTAAAGCCCTGACTAATATAGTACTTACAGCCCCATTTGTATTTTTGTTTGTGCATTAATCTTTGAGTTACAGGACATCCTGTTATATAAATGCAGTATTTTTGATCTATCATTGCTTTATTTCTGGAAACAACATGATTGCTCTTTGGAGTTGATTGTGGTGCTTAATGGATATAGATTTTAAAGTATATATCTAAATAAACATGCTTATGACATTTTGTGGTAAAGGGAATGATCTTTATATTGTCAAATCTATCCATATTTTCCTTCATGGCTAAATGAGTTGAATCAGATGTTTTTCCTTGCCCCACACAGTGTTGTTCTTTTACAATTTAAGAAAACATTAAAAATGGGCTTTTCTTCCAAAATGCAAAAGATCTGATAATGCTCAGCCTTTGTTTCGACATACAGCTTCCATGTGGATGAAGCAGATACCTGCCAGGTACTTACTTCAGTGTGGAGGCTGAGTGTCAGCCTCACTACCCAAAAGCTTACTGTGATTCTGCTGGAAAAAAAAACAAAACAGAATTATTTTATCTAGTCTGATAATTGCTCGTGTATTGTGCCTGTTTGGCCCCATACTTACTTAAATTTATGATTTCTGCTTCATAGTATGAGCTTTGATTGTTAGAATACTTTTCTCACCCCCAAATTACATAAATTATAGTTTTCTATCTGATGGTATTTGATGCTTAATGTTTACATTTAAATACTTAATTTATTAAGAATTTACCTTTAACCTATTTATGAGGTGGGAAGTTTTATCTAGCTAATTGTTTCCAACATTGTTGGTGTATTAGGCCATTCTCACATTGCTATGAAGAGCTACCTGAGACTGCATAGTTTATAAAGAAAAGAGGTTTAATTGACTCACGGTTCTACAGGCCGTACAGGAGGCATGGCTGGGGAGGCCTCAGGAAACTTACAATCATGGCAGAAGGCAAAGAGGAAGCAAGCACATCTTCACATGGTGACGAGAGAGACGGAGAGAGAAGAGGGAAATGCTACATGATTTCAAACAACCAGATCCCATGAGAACTCTATCACAAGAACAGCAAGGGGGAAGTTCACCCCTATGATTCAGTCACCTCCCACCAGGCGTCTCTTTGAACCCGTGTGGATTACAATTTGACATGAGATTTGGGTGGGGACACAGAGCCAAACCGTTATCAGTTGGTTAAATAATTCATATTCTCACCATGAATTTAAAATACTGTCTTTACGATATACTGAATGATTCCATACAATTATATATCTAGCCTTTTTAGTAGGCAGCATTGATTTTTTTTTCACCCCTGTTAACACTGTAATTATTGTAGGCTTAGACGCTTTACCATATTTATTTTATATAGGGCCAGTTTTTTTCTCTTTCTTGAAACTTCCTTGCCTATTTTTGTGCAACCGTATTTTAGTTTTACTTGAGGATGACTTTTCAAGCCTCTTTCGTCTTCTCCATCTATATCACTGTTCCCAAATTTTATGTTTTTTAAAATGAAAAATTGAAATTTTAATGAGTTGACAGATTAATCTTTGAAGAACTTACATCTTCCAGTTTTGAGTAGTTGTAAAGAAAGCATTGACTTGTCCTTCATTTTAAACAGACAACAATACTAGCAAGATGAACACTCAAAGGCATCCAGGTGCAAAGTGCAGTGTGTGCAGGGGAAGGAGAGAGCCCAGGTTAGTCGGGGCTGCTGGGGAGAGGCTCTGCAAAGAGATTGCACATGGGCAGAGGCTTACAGGTGGGCAGAAACATACACAGGCAGTAGAAGATCCATGTAGAACTCCTGAACTCTTTTGTTGAGCCATAGTTTTCCAATGCATCACCCTAGTAAATACAAAAATGGACACTACAGTTTGACTACTCTACAAGAGAGACAGGGAAATACCCTTTGAGAACCTAAGTTGAAAGTTTGTAAGTTCATTGTTGGAAATGGAATGGATAAAATCCTATCAATCAAATATTCATTTTTTAAAGACACATTTTTGTCTAATTGACCTTACAGTAAGACTTTGGGGGATTTTAGTTTACTCATAATATACGTGTAAAGTAGTTACTCATGTTCAACCTCAACAAAGCAAATGTGATATAAAAATGCTGGACAGCAGATTGAAGATTTACAGTCGTTTTATTTAGAAGCTTTGTCAGCATATTGAAGGCAGTGCAGAGCATACAGCTGCCCCTGGAGGGTCCTAAGATAGATAAAATCAGCAGACTTGAAAAATAAATTAATTGCATTAGGAATAGACAAAAAGAATTCCCAAAAAACTCTGAAACAGCAAGAAATCACAGTCTAAAGACCTTGCATCCAACCATAAATGTATTACTTAAACATTTTTCACCTAGTCTGGCTGTGTTTTAATTTTCTAGATCACTAAGTTTTCTTCAGTAGAGGGTTAAGCTTGCTATAGGTTGTCAATTTAAGTTCTACCTTTTGGGATTAAAAGACTATGTCAGAAGGCAAGTGTCACTCTTTAATTGATGTCCTGCAAAGACTAAAGCAATGGAACCTTTTTTTTTAATGGCTTCTCATTTCACTGATATCACCTCAAATGCATAACACAGTTGGTGGAGTACATTTTTACTATTTTTTAAATTCATGGATGAGAGAAATACTCAAAGTTCAATCTTTCCATATTTCTATTCAAAGTTTATAGAAATAACGTAAGGCAAAAAGTACGTTCCCACATAGAGGCAGCTCGAGTTGAATACAATGAAAGTCAAAGAGATAGAAAACCTCATAGACCACTAATAAAAAATAGAACGGATGGAATTTGGGGGCAGCAATTTGGAAAGAGAGGCAAATTTACCTGTTCTGTTTTGGTTGTTTAACATTGTAAAAAATCTTTAAAGGAATACACACATGGGAAATGATGAAGGGGAAAAAATTGCAATATATACTCTATTGCCATTTCTGACTGAGGGCCAAAAGGCTTTATAGTCACACACCAAGTTTGGTAGGAGACAAAAGCTTGCATTAAGAAAAAAATAAAATAAAAAATTTATACAATTGATCTTATTCTGTTCCTTGACTCTTTAGTCTCGTGGTGGTGGATTACACATTGATTTTTACCATCATTACAATCCCTGTAAATCTTAGACTGGAGGTAGTTAATTCAGAGTTAATCTCTCTGTCAAGACTCTTGTAACATAGGGTCTCCTCTACTACTCCTCCACACCAAGATGGTGTCAAGGTGCAGAAAGAAGCTTGGGTACCCTTTCAGCATTGGTGCAGCTTGGTGGGGAGACATCTGATGTTCCTCTGTTCCTGGTGCTGGCATTTGAGTCCCTGCTGGCCTCTATGGAAATGTCACTCAGCCTGCCTGAACACAGGGCATCCTGAGTCATGGCTGTTTAAGACTGGCTTTTTGGAATGCCTTGTGAGACGCCTGACTGCTGAAGCCCATCTTTAGATACCGTGTAGCCTGCTGGTCCTTTTGTCAGGCCACTAGGGGTCCACTTAAAAAAATGTATTGTGGTAAATATATGTAACATAAAATTTAAGATTTTTTGTATACAATTTTTTTGTGTGTGTACAATTCAATGTCATTAAATACAGTCAAATGTTATGTAACTATCACCACTGTTCATTTCCAGAATTTTATCACCATCCTAAACAGAAACTCTGTAAATATTAAGCAATAACTCTTCATTTTCCCTTCCTCTCAGCTCTTGGTAGTCTCTACTCTACTTCTCCAGATACCTTCTATAAATGGAATCATATCAAATCTTTCCTTTTGTGTCTGTTCATTTTACTTAGCATAATGTCTTCAAAACTCATCTGTATAGCATGTATCAATTTCATTCCTTTTTATTATGGAATATTATTATATTGTATGTATTTTATTTGTTCATCTGCCAGTGGAGCCAGGTTACTTTCATATTTTTGGCTCTTGTGAATATTGCTGCTGTGAATATAGGTGCACAATTATCTGCTTGAGTCCCTGCTTTCAATTCTTTTGGGCATATACATAGAACTGGAATTGCTGGATAGGGGCTCACTTTATATCTATCAACTTTTTACACCCTTTAGAGACCTAAGAACTTGTGACTGCTTACTCCATACGTGACTGAAGTGGGCAGGATGCTTTGAGGCTGCCCTCAAATATGCTGGTACGGACATTTTCCTCAGTCTTCTCTCATGTGTCCTGGTGCTGGTTGAATATGGGTACTTAAATATTGCCAAGCTGTTCTGTGGACAAATGAAAAACTTCCCCTGTTCTGTTATTCCCCCTAACCTCTCTGGTTTGAGGTTTCTGTCCTGAGAGGGATGAGCTGAGACACCTCTGACCGCTTGACCCTCACATCCTCTCTCCTTTGTCTAGTACACAGGACTTTCTATGTCTCCTTCTTGTCAAAAATTTTTCCTGCATCATATTCTCTTACTTTCTATGTTAAGGCATGTAGAAAAGCATGTCCATATCTCCAAACTTTGCTTTTACTGTTCAAGGGGACTAGGAATTTAGAAAGCCTCTTATTTTCAACAAAGTCAGGCTTTCAAAACTGTTACCTCACTGAACATTAAAAAAATTTAGCTTGAGCCTCAAAGCTGAGCTCCAACTTCTTTCTTTCTGAATGGTACCTACCAGCTCCTGAAGTAATAGTTTCATCAATTCAGTAAGTGGGGAACTGCAGGGAAGAAAAAATATATCAAAGTAATATGTCAAAACTACTATCCCCATTGCATTAGCAATATCACTTATTTGGCCAATTTCTGGTCAGCTTCTCTTTTTTTGCTTTCATCCCATATCCCACTACTGCAGCTCTGATTTTGGTAAAACCACACTGCTGTGGAGGATTAGTGGGATCACATTTGGCTTGATGGGTTCTGGAGAGAGATTTTCAGTGTCCTTCTATTAGTATATGCATATGTAGGGTCTCTTTTCAGATATGATGAGTATTGTCATGTCAGAACACATCATGGCTAAAGCTTTGATCCCTGTCTTAAAATAGTACGATAAAGGTAAAGAATGATAAATTGGCTGCATAGTAAAAAAGAACTGCAAAAGTTCAGACTACTATTCTGTGTGATTATTGATTTCTGATGGCTTTGCTGTGACCTTAATTGAGCTATTAGAGGCTAAGCCAGGTTTGGAATAAAATGAAAGTGCTTGTAGCTTATGCAGGGGCTCTTCTCGTTTGATTGAAATAGTGATTGGGAAGATAGTGGGAGTCCTTACTGTGCTTGGACTCCTAGTGGCTACAGAGCTAAAATGCATCATCTCCTTGCAGGGAAACAAGGAGTTATCCTGTGCAGCATTTCCAATGTCTTCAGCTCAGAGAGTAAGGCAGAAAAAGCTGTTAACAGTCGGTGTAAAGAGAAAAAGCTAATGAAGAAATCAGCAGCCTACTTTTTTCCACTGGTGTTGACCTGAAAATACTAACTGCCAGCCCCTCTCACCCCTTTATTGTGTAATATATTGTGTATATTGGTCCCTTTACTTTCAAGGGAGAACCCTTGTCTAAACCTCAGAAGTGGGTTAGCCAGGGTCCTCTGCTCCATCTCTTCATTATGGCTAATTTCAGAAGCTCAGAGCGTCACATTAAATCTTCCCTTTAATCCTCTCTTCTCTTTTTCTCTTTTACCCCTGTTTGATCCAGGGTTGTTCATTGAGGTTTTCAATGATAGAACAATTCCTCATGCAAATAGTATTTTATATTTGGGACAAACCTTATAGAGATGTTAAATGACAGTTTCACACATACAAAAATGCTCACAGAAAAAAGACCAGAATGATGAAATTAAATAGCTGTGAATCCTTACACCTTTTCACTCTGTTTCCTTTAAAACAACCTGATCATGCCAGGCATGATGTCTCACACCTGTAATCCTAACACTGTGGGAGGCTGAGATGGGAGGATTGCTTGAGACCAGAAGTTTGGGACCAGCCTGGGCAACATGGTGAGACTCCATTGCTACAAAAAATTTTAAAAAAAAATAGCTAGGCATGGTGGCATGCACCTGTAGTCCCAGCTACTCAAGAGGCTGAGGCAAGAGGGTCCCTTGAGCCCAGCAGTTTGAGGCTGCAGTAAGCTGTGATTGTGCCACTGTACTCCAGCCTGGGTGACAGAGCAAGACCCTGTTTTCAAACAAACAAACAAACAAAAACCACCAGATACAACCTCATCTGTTCTTTTTCTGCAAATGGTATAATCTGGCCCATTCTTTCAGAGTGATGTGCTCAGTACATGTCACTGTGCAAGTAAAAATGCTGATCAGTACCAAGCCTTCTAAATTTCATGAATTCCCAGCCCAAGTTTACATTTTTAAAGGTTCTTTGCTGTGAGTCTGCAGAATGGCTGTGAACATAGATTCACTGAGGGTGACTTGGCCCATGATTTACTCCAGTAGTTCTCACACCTGAATGGTCATCAGAATCACCTGGGGAGCCATAAAAACTTTTAAAGACCCAAGGAATGAAAATTTCCGTTAATCTGTATCAATAACCTATGTTTTTAAAGATTCTGATGATCAGCTTAATCCATTTTCTTTCTTTAAAGAAGATATTTGTCTAAAACAGATAATTTCTAAACCACAAGACTGCATATGAAATGCTTACATAGCTTTTAAAAATACAGATTGGAGCCTCAACCTTTGAACATTACAGATGGCTCATTGAGATTAGGGTCTAGGCAATTACGATTCTTTAAAAAACCAAGTAGGTGATTCTAGTTTATAACTCAGTCCCAGGTGAAACACTGATCTAAATGATTGTTTACAGATAAGAACAAAGTTTAGTTTTAAAGATGCCCCAAAAAGATGTCTTGACTTAAAATATGTGTATATACTTATTATAAGATACTGATAACTAGTGACAGAATGACTGGAATTTGAAGAGCTCAGAGAATAATTTTAGAAAGTTATGGAACAAACAGGCCTGGAGTTTATCACTGATAGGAGAGGAGAACTTACGAAATGAAAGAAACATTGAATATTGAATGAACAGTAATGTCTGTCTTTTCCTTAAAGCTTTGTGATCAGGCTTCTTTTAGTTACAAGTAACATAAACTCAACTCTAACAAACAAAGAAGGGATTTTTTTTTTTTTCATAAAGGAGAAGACCACCAAAAGTTGAGCCTTCTGGGATAGCTGGATCCAGAAACCCAAGAAAAATGGCAGAGCTTTCTCTCCTTGTCTTTCAGCTGTTTTTCTCTTTGTGTTGGCTTTATTCTCAAGCAAGTTTTCTCCAAATGGCAAGAAAAAAAGATGGCTACTGACAGTCCCAAGCCTATTCCCTTAAGCAAATCCAAAGAAATGGGTCCCTATCTTTTGCATAGTCCAAATCTCAGGGAAAGCTTTGATTGGCCTTGCCTGAATCACCTGCTCATCCCTGAAGTTGTCACAATGGCCTGGAGAAGGAAGACTCTGAATAGTCAGCCTGGATGACACTCACCCCCGCCCCCAGCATACCCACCAGGACCACTGAGGGGAGAGAAGAGTGGCTCCTCAAAGGGGGAATGGGGAAAAAACTGCTAGGCAGAGAAAAACAACAGCTGTTATCTAAAAAACAAATTGAATGATTTTGCTTTGTCTGCCCAAAATTCTAGTGTTGATTAAACTTTGTAATCTGTGGGGAGTCACACACTAGGCACTTCTGGATCAAGGAGAATAAGTTTCTTATCTGGCTGTGTGTTTCTAATGGCCCATTGGGAAGGATATGTGACTGAAATGGAAACTAAATTTTACTTCATTTAATATTACCAAACTGAATTGATGAAGTAAACAAATGTTTGGACAGATACTAAAAAAGGCATTTTATAAACTTTTCCAAGATAAGTGGGCTGACCTAAGTGGTAAAGTAATAAGGATTATGCTATCCCAATATATTTGTATGCAAATATGTTCCTGTACTGAGAATACGTCCTTGAATTCAAGCCACCCACAGCTTCCCAAAACCTGTTTAGTGGTGCTTATAAGAAAAGAAATGAGGAAATGTTAAGGTACAAAATTTGTCATTCAAAATTCATTAAAATCATCTCTAAAGTACTTCCCTCACAGATATTAAAAGCAAATAATTAAAGGAATCCTTTTTTACTAAATCCAGTGATGCTCTCATGTCACTATTATGAAGTCAAGGTCAAAAAATAATTTAGTACTTTGTTCTCTGTTGGATGAGGTGCCCTTCAAGAATGTTTTGTGGTGGATCGTGATTGGTATTTGGCAATACATGTTATAACTAAAGTTTGGCTTCCAGATACAGATGAACAATAATTTGCCCTTTAGCTATCAGTAATTAGTATCATTTAAAGGAGTTCATTGTTGCCACTTCAAATTATGAAAGACTTTTCTCAGCTTCACAAATGCAAACTGTCTGTGCTATTGTCATGATTTCACCATTTATTCTGAGGTTATTGAATGACATTCTAAGCCTTGGCCACTCTGCTGTCTCTTTATACACGGACACTTAGCAGTAACACTTTAGAATTAGTTGTGTGACAGATTGTAAGCCCTTTACATGTGTATTTTGTTTAATTCTCATAACAGCCAGATGAGATAGAAGTTTTAATTTCCCGATTTTGCATAAGAAGAAGCTGAGTTTTAGTTTAAGTGACTTGCCCAGGGTCACATGGCTAATAAGTCCTTGCTCTGGGATTTTAGCCCAGTCTGGCTCCAAAGCCCAGATCCTTGATCCTTAGGTACTTTCCTTTCTTCTTCTCTTCCTAACTTTATAAAGTCCCATGACTTTATTAAGTTTTTTTTAAGTTTAAACTTGTTAAATTTAAGTGAAGGAGATAAAACGATACAAATTATAATTATGTGTATTGCCCAATCCGATTGTCTTTCATATCAAATTGGAATGGATATTTTAAAAGAATAGATGTTGATTCTTATTTTGCCTGTAATTTTCCACATGCACACTCAGACATTTCTAGATGTTTCTAAACGATACAAGGCTGTTCTCTGAACTTTTCTCATCTCCACTTATATGCTAATGTGTTCAAAGAGATACAGAATAATTTCAACACATTATTTGCCTACAAATGCTTTACCTTCTAGTGGGGGAGATGAGGCAGGAACAAAAATACCTACTAGAAGGTACAGTATGTGGTGTGCTTCAAAGCAATACTAAAGTACTAATATTCATCCAAACTAGGGGGTTTCAAAGGTAGGTGATCCTAATTCTGGCTCAAGCAATGAGGGTATGCTGAATGTAGAAGTCATTGAAAGGACTGGCAGGTTATCAGGAGAGATTTAGGGCAGGGGTCGGAGGTGGACAGGGTGCTGGGGAAATGGGGACCCTTGCTCCTTTCCCCAGCTGTCAGTACTTGCTCTGAGATGATTCCCTGGGACCAGGAAACTCAGCAACCTGTCTGGTGGGGGCTTTCAAGGTCTTATCACTTCTGTCCCTGGTTCTGTGGGTAGCCTTGACAGACTTATGCCTTTCCCTGCCCTCAGCCAATATCACATTAACTGAAAGGCACTGATTAATTATCCTTATTCTTTGATTTGTTTAACCATCCCCTCTTCCGGTTGTAGGTAGCCTGGGTGGTGGGGGTCTGTGTCTGGAGCAGAGACTGGGCCAAGCAGTTAGAACGGGATAGTATGTTCCTTACTGCCATCACATTGTGTCACCCCACCAACTCTCTTCTATGCAGGAGCTGCCAAGACTCTCCTAGAATTTGGGTCCACGTCAAAAGGGTCCTAAGGAATTGGTTCCCCCTTGGAGGAGGCTTCCTCTTGTCTAGGAGTCTCCTCAACAAGGCTGTTGCTAGTGTGGTCCACTTTCAGGGCTAACAGCTGGTTCTGATATAGTTAGGGCCTGTCAGCTCTAGCTTGGACCAAATCCCCTTGGATTTTCCTGGTGCAAACTAAAATAACATCCTTCTCACAAATTCATTAGTAATGTCCTTTGCGCAAAGCCTATGTCAACTAGTTACAGATTTTGCTAATTGTGTAATCATCCAGCCTATAGTTTTCTCTTTTTTTTTCTTTCTTTCCTTTTTTTTTTTTTTTTTTTTTTTTTTTTGAGGTAGAGCCTCACTCTGTCTCCCAGGCTGGAGTTCAGTGGTGTGATCTTGGCTCACTGCAACCTTCACCTCTAGCCTCAGCCTCCTGAATAGCTGGGGTTATAGACATGTACCACCACCAGACTACAGTTTTCTATCTTGTCTTTAAGATATGTCATGCCAAATATTAATCACGGATTTTACAGCTTGCCCTAGATAAATTAATTATGATTATGTGAATGACCTGCCTTGAAAAGTAGGAAGTTTCTCACCGTGGAGGAGTTCAAACATAAGTTGAGTTACAAACTTGTGGAAATTTAAGCATTTGATGGATGGATTTGGGGCCTAAATTATCCTGAAGGACCTGTCCAGTCCTGAAATTTTACAGTTCTATGTATTTTTTCATAGTGGTTCTATGCTGACTTCTGATGATCAAATTTCCCCCTTCTTGAGTTCATGAAAAATATGAAAGTTCAAGGAGTCACTGATGAAACTCCAAATAAAGCCAGAGAAGAAAGGTTTAAAAATTCTCCAACACTTCCTACAGGTAGGAAAAAGAATGTTCAGACATGCAAGAAAATGCTACTTGGTGTATTTATTTTTTTTCAGGCACAAATGACAAATATTTTCCTTTTTATTATGATTAAAGTTTTCTCCAATGTAAAAAAAATAAATTTCCCTTTCTTAAATTCTCACAATTCACCCATTGGAGACTAGTCCCTGCAATTGCTGTCGAACTGTCCATTTTATAGTTTGTAGGCTTTTCTTTCTTCCTTTTGGTGAAAATTAGGCCAGGCTGTGCCTGTCTTCTGTATTGTCTACCTCTTCCACTTTCTGTGCTTTCTCAAAGGTCAGTGTCAGCAGTTCTGCTGCTCATTTGCAAGTTCTGCAGTTACCTCAAGATGTGATTTATCGAGGTTAGGATACTTGAACTCACTCAGAGCAGCCATGTGCTCTCTTTTGTTATCCTTCACCTCCCTCAAATGTCAATTCCCTCTTAGCAAGACTCATTCCTGGTTCTTCAATCCATATCTCTTTCTCACAACAAAAAACTGAGGCAGAAGAGGAATGAAAGGTTTTACTTGCAGCTACTGTTTGGGAACATTAGAATGTCTTTGCAGCCCCACCTCCAGCCTCCTTTGTTCTTTGGCTACCAGCTCTAATTTAGGATGCTCTTATTGTTGACCCCCATAATTTTTAGAAGCCTTGGTTCACCGTGGTCTTTCCTCTTACTGAGGTTTCTGACTCGTTAATTTCTGTCAGATGCTTTTCCTTCATTGTCTGTCCTTCTCTCCTCATTTTGTACTTGTCCTTTAAAATACAGGCTCACTGGGAGGCTTGCCCATGCAGCTCCTTTGGAACCTCCTTCCTTTCTTCCTTGTCAGGTTCACTGGAATCATTTAGTCTTAGAAAGTGTATCATGCCTGCCTTTATTCTGACATCTCTGCTATCTTTAAAAGCATATCTGTAAAGCCTGATCTACATGTTTGGTCTACATGTCTGACTGTGTTCTTTGTTCCCCAGTCCCCCGGGACCCTAAGGTGCTGGGGCCCTGTATTGCCTTGTTATGCTGCCCTAACAGCATGCCACAGACTAGGTGGCTTAACCAACAGAAATTTATTTTCTCACAGTTCTGGAGGGTAGAAGTTCTAGATCCAGGTGTCAGCAGGATTGGTTTCTTTAGAGGCCTCTCCTTGGCTAGTAGATGACCATCTTCTCCTTGTGTCTTCACATCATCCCTCTCTGTCACTGATTGTGTTGATTTCCTCTTATGAGGACACCCGTCATATTGGATTAGAGCCTAGACTAAAGAACTCATTTTAACTAAATTACCTCCTTAAAGATGCTAGCTCCAAGTATAGTCACATTCTGAGGTACTGGGGGGCTAGGACTTCAACATATTCGTTTTGAGGAGATCACAATTTAGCCCATAACAGGCCCCTTACCTCTTTAGCAGCTGGTAGCAAAAGTCAGAATTAGAGTCACAGTCACATTTGTGGAGTGGTTTTTGTTGTTTGTTTAGCCTCTTTACCTTTTAGAGAAGAATTATCAGCAAGTCATTATGATTGTCTCTGCTGATGTGCTCTTGCTAGGCTCAGCCCAATGTTCCAAGACAGAATTCACTGGACCCTCCTCTGCCTACCTCTCCAAAAAGCAGCCTGAGTGCATGCCTTCCATGTCTTTGCCCAACAACTTCTATCAAAATCCTACTCATCCAAAAAGCTCAACTCAGATACCACCTACTGTTTTCCTGGTCTGTGCTGCCATAGTACTCTGTCTATATAAGAACATTTACGTTTATTTAATGTTTCTATTATGCTAATGTTATTTAGCTAGACCTTCTTGCTCATGTAAGATAGTGAGCACCTTTAGAAACATTTTGTTATCATGTTTATCTTTAATTGCCCTAAAGCACTAAATACTTGGTTTGGACCCAGAAACTGCTCAAGAAATACTGAATTGGTTTGAATCTTCTTATAGATTTAGAATAGCAATCAAAGCAATAAACACTTAAATTGCATTTTATAGTTACACATATTCTTAGAAGTACTCCATGACAAATCATTGATATGGTTAATATAATCACTGAGTTACTTTAATAGTTACTTTTAATGGTTACTTTAATAGTTACTTAAAGTATTTACCATAATTAAACTGCGTATCTTTTTATATATTTTTCGTGGTGATCTCACACAAAGAACTATTTATTCCTAGCACTAATTTCACATTTATTTATGGTGAAGTATCCTTTTATACATGATTCTAGATCCTTATTTTAAAATGTAGTTCCTTGGTGAAGAGAGGCTACAATTTGTAAGTATTTCCATCCCTGGCACTGTGTAGTAAACAGAGGTAATTCAATGTGGGTCACAGGGTTGCTCTCACATCAGGTATGCAGGGTTGCCATCTGACCATGGCCACAAAAGTAGTTTCTTGGGAAATAGCCCATTTGAAAGAATTATTGAGTCTAGTAAATAGGCAGCTTTCCTTTTAGGGTATCTCTCAGCCTTTTTCCTCCTTTTACCTCATCCACAGAGTGGATGTTGAACATTCATTCACTCTTCTTTCATATAAAAATATTTAATAAGCACCACTTGTAATGAATCTTATATTCAAAATAAATAGGACGTCTTAAAACAGAGTAAGGTGGCAGTAGAAGGTGTGAGGGGTGAGAAAGCAAGGCTACTGTGTTTGGTTGTGCAAGTTTACATTAAACAAGGGCATTCAGCCATAGGGGTGATGGAACTGACACCAGACTGATCAAGTCTTATCATGCCATGCATCATTGCATAAAGATGTGTTAGCCCAGAGGAAGCGGAGAAAAGGAGGGTTTTTCCTAATTAGCATAAAGACACTTCTACATTCATCAAGCTCTGCATTGAAGGACTGGATTCACCCACAGAAGGCACTTTTTTTGGTAACTTAAGTAAGGACACCCTGTGGACTAGCAGCAGCTGTGGGAATTAAGGAGAGATAGATCTACTACACATTGCACAGTTGGGGGTCCAAATGTGTTTTAAATCTTAAACCACATTTAAGAAGCTGTTGCAGAAACCCAGAAAGAAATCATGGTGCCTAGAACAAGGTAATGGCCGTGGAGATAGAATTGATGGATCTGCTGATGGGTTGGATACAAGAGGTGTGGGAAAGAGAGAGGACCCTAGAACTCTGGCATGAGCGTTTGATAACCATTTTTATAATTTACTAATATGCGGAAGACTCAGGATGAGGGCCAGAATGGTGAGGGAGAACTTGAAGAGTTTTGTTTTGAGGAGTCTCACTATAGATACTAACTGGGGATTTTATATTTTATACATACTTGGAGCCCCATAGAGCAGCCATGAGAAGGTTCATCCTTACGTATGCCCAAAACCTAAAAGAAACAAAAGAACTGGGGCTGGGAGTTCCAACAAGTCATTCAGCATCTATGAGCCTTTTGCTAAAGGAATTAGATACTCATTACTTCCAAAGTCTTTTCCTACCATAACATAATACTATTAATTTCTATTTCCTTTTGCTCATTTTTTATGATACACTCTCAGGAGGAGAGGGTGGCATTAACAACTAATGGTAAACTAATGAATGCAGATTCTCCAAGCTAAAAAACAAAATCAACAACACACACAAAGAGGCCTCAAACTGCTACCTAACCTATTTTTTGCAATAGTACTGGCTCAAAGACAGACCCTTGGAAGAGTTGTGGATCTATTTTCATGCCTTTATTGTCAGCAAATGTCATCTCTTTCACCATGACTTTGGATCTTGGGGACATTTGTGGATGACAGGGCTTCATGTTAATAGCAGTCCCCAGATAATCATCAGCCTCCAATTTGACTTTGCAAAACTGGAATGAAAGTCTTTCTTCCATAAGCCAATTTCATGAAACAAAACACAATGCCTTAATTCTTGACTCAAAGCCGAAAAGCTATAATGGTCCCATAAATGATTAAAACAGCAGCTGGTAATGTCTTGGAAACAGATTGATCAGTTGGAATGCCTTAAAATCTGTCTAGATTCTGCATGCCTTTGAGCAATATAAACTAATTCTGAGACTGAGTAAGAATGGGTGTTTAGAACTCAAAGATGTCAAGATAATTATAAAAATTCTGGCAGGGACTGAAGAATCTCTCTAGGGCAACTGCTAGCATATTTTAACACCTCAAGGTGGGTTATAAATTTTGGAAGAGCTTTGGCATATGGAAGCTCATGGATGACTCTTGTTTAACTGGCCAGGATGCTCTAAGTCAAATTTCCTAGTATTGTCATTTAGTCCTAGAAATGGGTTTTGAATGCCTACCATGTAACTGTCATGAGGATGTAGTGGTGAATAAGACAGAGTTCCCACCCTCACTGAGCATATGTCGTGGTGGGAGGAAACAGACAATAGCCTAATAAATAAAGAACATATAGAAATTCTCAAAGCAATAAAGCTGAAATGGTGAGATACTACTTTAAATTGAAATATTAAGAAAGGCCTCTCCAAATAGGTGACATTTAAGCCTCAACTTCAATGATGAGAAGGATGGAACCAACAATATAAATACTTGAGTGAAAATTCTGTCTATGTAAAGGCTCTGAGGGGAGCATGGGCTTGCCATAGTTGAAGAACAGTGAGAAGGAGATGAGGCTGAAGCCTGGTGAGGGAGGAGAGGAGTGGCAGGAAATATGATGAGAAGGGTTGGCAGAATCCAGACTAAGTGTTGCTTTCTAGAGCATAAGGATTGAGTTTAACTCTGTGAGAAATCAGTGGAGGTTTCAAACCAAGTTTTACATAAAAATAAGATCTATCAAATTAATACTTTAAGAAATACTCTAACTGCTATGTGGAGAATGGACAATGGGGGGGCATAAGTGGAAGGAGGAAGACTCACCACGATGTTATTGAAGTTCTCCAGACACAAGAAGATGGTGGGCTTGGACCAGAGAGGGAATGGGAGTGCTGGTCAGATGTGGCTAGAAGTGGAATAGAGTTTGAAGGAGGAGCTGATGGGACTTGTCAGTAGATTGGATTTTGGGCATGAGAAAAAGAGAGAGAAATAAAAGATGTCCGGATGACACATAAGTTCTTGCTTTTTAAGCAGTTGGGTGAATTGATCTTAACTGAATGAATGAAATGGGTCTTAGATGAAGAACATGTTTGGATGTGTTGAAACAGGCATTCCAAACTTATATTTGGACTTAGTAATATGAGATTCCTGTTAGATATCTCAGTGGCAATGCCTAATGGGTTGTCAGAGCTTACTGGATGAGTTACCAAATGATATGATTTGGCTGTGTCCCCACCCAAATCACATCTTAAATTGTAGTTCTTATAGTCCCTGTGTGTTGTGGGAGGGACCCAGTTGGAGGTAACTGAATCATGAATCATGGGGACAGGTTTTTCCCATGCTGTTCTTGTGATAATGAACAAGTCTCATGGGATCTGATGGTTTTATGAAGGGCAGTTCCCCTGCACACACTTTCTTGCCTGCTGCCATGTAAGACTTGCCTTTGCTCCTCCTTCACCTTCCACCATGATTTTGAGGCCTCCTCAGTTATGTGGAAGTGTGAGTCCATTAAACATCTTTTTCCTGATAAATTACCCAGTCTTGGGTATGTCTTTATTAGCAGTGTAAGAATGAGCTATTACAGTAAGTTGGTACCAGGTAGTGGGTCACTGCTGTAAAGATACCTGAAAATGTGGAAGAAACTTTGGAACTTTGTAACAGGCAAAGGTTGGAACAGTTTGGAGGCCTCAGAAGAAGATAAGAAGATGTGGGAAAGTTTGGAACTTCCTAGAGACTTGTTGAAAACCTTTGACCAAAATGCTGATAATATTGTGGACAATAAAGTCTAGGCTAAGGTGGTCTCAGATGGAGATGAGGAACTTGTTGGGAACTGGAGTAAAGGTCACTCTTGCTATGCGAAGAGACTGGCAGCATTTTGACCCTGCCCTAGAGATCTGTGGAACTTTGAACTTGAGAGAGATGATTTAGGGTATCTGGCAGAAGAAATTTCTAAGTGGCGAAGCATTCAAGAGAAAGCAGAGCATAAAAGTTTGGAAATTTGCAGCCTGACGATGCAGTAGAAAAGAAAAAACCGTTTTCTGAGGAGAAATTCAAGCTGGCTGCAGAAATTTGCCAAAGTAATGAAGAGCCAAATGTTAATCACCAAGACAGTGTGAAATATGTCTCCAGGGCATGTCAGAGACCTTTGCAGCAGCCCCTCCCATCACAGGTCTGAAAGCCTGGGAAGGAAAAATGGTTTCCTCCAGCCCCTCTCATCACAGGCCTGGAGGCCTAGGAGGGAAAAATGGTTTCATGGGCCAGGCCATGTGGTGTTGAGCCTGTAGGAATAAAGAAGTCAAGAACTTAGGTTTGGCAACCTCCACCTAGATTTCAGAGGATGTATGGAAATGTCTGGATGTCCAGACAGAAGTTTGGTGCATGGGCAAGGCCCTCATGGAGAACCTCTGCTAGGGCTATGTGAAAGGGAAATGTGGTGTGTGAGCCCCCACACAGAGTCCCCACTGGGGCACTGCATAGTAGAGCTGTGAGAAGAGGGCCGCCATCCTCCAGACCTCCACTGACAGCTTGCACCATGCACCTGGAAAAGCTGCAGACACTCAATGCCAGCCCATGAAAGTAGCATTTCATGGGCTGTACCCTACAAAGCCACAGAGGTGGAGCTTCCCGAGGCCATGAGAGCCCACCTCTTGCATCAGTGTGCCCTGGGTGTGAGACATGGAGTCAAATGAGGTCATTTTGGAACTTTAAGGATTAATGACTGCCCTACTGGATTTCAGACTTGCATAGGGCCTGTAGCCCCTTTGTTTTGGCCAATGTCTCCCATTTGGAACAGGTGTATTTACGCAATCCCTGTGCCCCCATTGTATCTAGGAAGTAACTAACTTGCTTTTGATTTGACGGGCTCATAGGTGGAAAGGACTTGCCTTGTCTCAGATAAGACTTCAGACTTGGACTTTTGGGTTAATGCCTGAATGTGCTAAGACTTTGGGAGACTGTTGGAAAGGCATGATTGTGTTTTGAAATGTGAGGATGGCCAGGCACGGTGGCTCATGCCTGTAATCCCAGCACTTTGGGAGGCAGAGGCGGGTGGATCATGAGGTCAGTGGTTCGAAACCAGCCTGGCCAATGTGGTGAAACCCCATCTCTACTAAAAATACAAAAATTAGCAGGGTGTGGTGACATGCACCTGTAGTCCCAGCTACTCGGGAAGCTGAGGTAGTAGAATGGCATGAACCCAGCAGGCGGTGCTTGCAGTGAGTGGAGATTGCGCCACTGCACTCCAGCCTGGGTGACAGAGCGAGACTCCATCTCAAAAAAAAAAATTATAAATGTGAGGACATGAGATTTGAGATGGGTCAGAAGTAGAATATGGTTTGGCTGTGTCCCCATCCAAATCTCACCTTGAATTGTAGTTCCCATAATTCCCATGTATCTTGGGAGGGACCTATGGGAGATAATTGAATCATGGGGGCAGGTTATTCCCATGCTTTTCTCATGATAGTGAATAAGTTCAATGAGATCATTGGTTTTATAAAGGGAACTTCCGCTACACAAGCTCTCTTGCCTCCGCCATGTAAGGCATACCTTGGCTCCTCCTTTGCCTTCTGCTGTGATTGTGAGGCCTTCCCAGCCATGTGGAACTGTGAGTCCATTAAAGCCCTTTTTCTTTATAAATTACCCAGTCTCAGGTATGTCTTTATTAGCAGCATAAGAATGGACTAAAATACACCAAGAGAATGAAATAGACATAAGAGAAGTCAAAGGACCAAATCCTAAGACTCCTCCATTTTCAGAGAGTGCAGAAGAAGAGTATCCAGTAAGGTCGGAGAAAACCAAGACAGTGTGGTGTCCTGAAAGCCAGAGGAAGGGAGTGTTGAGATGATGAGTAAGAAGAGGACTGATAATTGGCCATTATATTTGACAAGACAAAGGTCATGACTATGTTTGACAATAGCACTTCCTGTTAAGAGGTTAATAAAAGTTCTGAAGCGATGCATGTAAACCGATCTTTGAAGTGTTCCTGTAGAGGACTGGAGGTTAATCAGAGATAATTTGCAGGGTGGGTTTTTATCCCAGTTTTGCTTTTAAGGTGGCAGTTACAGCATAATTCTATGCTGTTGAGAATGATATGGGGGAAAATCGAGATGCAAAGAAAGAGAGCAGGGATACTTTCAAGAGCAAAGTCCTTGAGTAAATGAGAGAAGATGGAACTCAGGGCACAAATAGAGGGCTGGCACTGATCATAGGAGAGAATGTTCTTCCATTGAAACATTAGAGAAAACAGAATATAATGGGACCAGATGAAGTGGGTTTGTAAAGTATGTGATAAGTAAATGATGTAGAGCCCACAAAATTGCTTCCATTTTCAGGAAAATATGAAGCAAAGGTCATCAGCTGCAAATAAGGAAGGCAGAGAAAGTAGTATTGAAAGTTTAAGGAGAGAAAGAGATGGTAAGTTTTCCAGGAAGATGGTGTGGGATTATGGGGCAGTACTCAAGAGGTCATCAAGAGAATAAAATAGACAGAAGAGAAGTCAAAAGACCAAATTCTAAGACTCTTCCACTTACAGAGAATGCAGAAGAAGAGTATCCAGTAAGGTCAGAGAAAACCAGGAGAGTGTGTTGTCCTGAAAGCCAGGGGAAAGGGGTGTCCAGATGATGAGTAAGAAGAGGGAGGACTGAGGCCCCATGTGGTGGCTCATGTCTGTAATCCCAGCACTTTGGGAGGGCGAGGTGAGCAGATCACTTGAGATCAGGAGTTCGAGACCAGCCTGGCCAACATGGTGAAACCCTGTCTCTACTAAAAATACAAAATTTAGCTGGGCATGGTGAGGCACTCCTGTAATCCCAGCTACTTGGGAGGCTGAGGTAGGAGAGTCACTTGAACCCAGGAGGTGGAGGTTGCAGTCAGCCGAGATCGTGCCACTGCAGTCCAGCCTGGGTGACAGAGCGAGACTCCGTCTAAAAAAAAAAAAAAAAGTAGCCAGGCATGATGGTGTGTGCATATGATTCGAGCTACTCGAGAGGCTGAGGCAGGAGAATCACTTGAACCCAGGAGGCGGAGGCTGCAGTGAGCCAAGATTGTGCCACTGCACTCTAGCCTGGGCAATGGAGTAGGACTCTGTCTCAAAAAGAAAAGAGAAGGCGGATAATTGGCCATTGTATTTGACAAGACAAAGGTCATGGCTACACTTAACAATATCACTTTCTGTTAAGAGGTGGGGACAGAAGTTCTGAAGTGGATGCAGAACATTAGTCTTAGTTTGTGCTCTTTGTTCCAAACAGGTGCCAGCATTGAATATCTCAGTAAAAAGACCGTGGCACTCCAACAAGGACATGGAGGAGGCGTGTAACCTCAGGCACATCATTCCATTTTCAGATTCTCATGTTCTTTATCTGTACAGTCCAGATGATATTTCCTACCAGGCAGGTGATTGTCCATCTCAAATTAGACAACATGCTTGACAGGATTTTTTTTTCCTTTTTCTTTAAGAAACTTGCCTTCAGTCCTCTTTCAGTCTGTCATTAGACAAACAGCTGTAGGAATCAGTTAATTTCTATAGGCCCGTGTACTGAAGAAATTAGGTACTCATTACCTAATGTGCCCTTGTGGCCTAAAGTGAGCACTGAAATTTTGATATCTGCAGTATCAAAAGGAAAGGAACATCATGGAGGTTCCTTGACCAAATCAGACATACACAATAGGGCACTCAGGGGCTCAAACAGAAGTGGAGCCTGAAATTATTGGTGATGGAGAGCTGAAATAGTGTGCAAATGGAAGTGGAGTCAGAAAGAAGCAACTAGGGAAGAAAGGAGAATGTGGAAGCAGAAAAGAAAGGCCAGGAGTGGTGGAAGGTAGTTGTGGACTGGATGAATGTCACACACACAGTTCAGTGTTTCTGTTTAAGGTTCTTTGACTTGTCTTCATTATTACCAACTGAGTGCCAAGCCATAGACTTGGATCTCTGATTTACTAAGTCTACTTTGACAGAAGTAAGCTAAGAATGTGAGCCATGTGAGAGGCATAATATGGTGACTCTATACTCTCTCCAAAATGGGGAAAAGAAAATTGAATCAATGAAAGATTGGAATACTCCTGCTAAACCTTGTTTCTCCAAACTTTTTGGATCCCAATCTCAACCCTTTCCTTCAATCAAAAGAATTGCTAATTCAGGGCTGAATTTGCAGTTAGCTAATATTAAATAAATACAAATAAGGAAATACTAATACATTTGAGGAATATGGACACAGATATATTTAGGTAAGCCTTGGTACAACTTGGCCTGTGAAATTTTTACCTGATAGCTGAATTCCCATTTCCTTTAGTTAACGCATAGCAGAATCCAGTGAATGTGAGTTAAAAAGAGTAAAGCCACTTGTGAAAAAAATTTTCGTAGACATACTGACCCTTTTAGCCATCTCAAATCTTTGTTGGGAACAGAAAGGCGATGAATAAATAATCATAGTTCTCTTGGCTGAGTTTCTAGCGATTGGGTATTCAGTTTTGGCTGACTACACACTGAGCAGTTCCTGGTCATCCAAGCATTGTTGTAAAATCCCCTTCAAATGCACAATAGATGGGCCTTCATTATTTTTCAAAAGCCCAAGGATTGACTGCCAGAGATCACACTTCATCTCTTGTTCTCTTCATGCTAGGGCTTTCCTGTTGAGAAACTTTCAGTTAGCCAAGGGAGATACACCACTCACCTTCCTTTTGGACCATTTATTCATTCAATGTGTAACTGTCAACATGAGACAATATTACTGAAAAACACAGAATCATGATGGGAAACATATTCTACTATTTGTGGTTTCACTCCTACCCCAAAGCTGCTCTTTTTCCACTATGCCCCTATTCCCTGCCTTAGCTCAAGCAAAAGACTCACTCTCCTTTTTATTCCAAACAGAATTGATCATGGAATCCTATCAGTTCCATCTCTTTAGTATTTGCAGGATCTATTCCCTCTTCTTCATCTTCTTTACCTCCATTCAGGATCTCAGAAGTCTTTCACTCTTGGTTCTTAACTGGCCTCTCTTCTTCCTCTTTTATTTTCCTTTGCTGTTTTCCCTTTTCAGCTCAAGTGATCTTTCTAAAACTCAAAGCTATCATTCCCCTCTTCAGAATTCACACAACTGCTTCCAGTTGCCCCAGGATAAGGCCACATTCTGAAAACGACCTACAAAGTTCCCCCTCATTGGACTCCCACCTCACTTTCCACCTGCCTTTCTGGCCGCATACCTTTCTACATTCCTTTTGTGCTATATGCAGACCACATTATACTCCCTTCAGTATAGCTTAATAAATGTTGAGTGAATGAATGAATGAATGAATGTCTGCTTCCAAAGGGAGAAGGGGGCTCCAGGCAGGAGAGTTTGCCCCTTCCTTTTAAAACAATTCAGCCCCATTTCCAGTTTTCCTGAGCCAGAGCATTAAAGGCCTTTTTCCTCCTTATTTTGAAGGAAGTTTCCAATCAGTTGTGACTTGGGGGTGTGCATTTATCTCTGTCTCGTTTACTGTTGGACCCAGAGGGTGATGGAAACCATTTTGGTCTAAATGTCAGCTGTCATGAATGGGAAATCTGAGGGCACAGCTAGAGCTGACTCTGGTGGAGTGATATTTTTCTATGAAGATTGCTTTATGCAGGAAATTGTATTCAAATCACAAATCTCATTTAGAGAATTATTTTGCTGCCATCACCAGCCGCAACAGCTGATAATGCCACAGTGGTCATTCTTTGTCCCAGTTAAACAAAGTACTATCCTAGTCCGTTAAAAATAGCACTGAGCTTAAAACCATTCAAGACAATTACCAGCTGCCTAGTAATTATTCTAGAGTGAATTTTTCATTCTTACTAAGTGAGTAGGTGTGGTTTAGTATTCCTTAGTTTTCTCACATCTAATTATAAATAGATTTATTTCTTAAGCAGTATGTCTTTTTTCTAAAAATAAGTCGATGGCTGTATATCTCCTCTGCTCTGAGCTCTGATGCAACATGAATAGAAAATTCACAACAATACTATTACTCTTAAATAACAGCAGAGTACTTTGATTCATTCAATAAATATTTATTATCTATTACTTGCAAGCACAGTTCTAGGTGAAGATACAATGAACAAATCAGTTAACAGAACTTATTTCATTACTTCACAATTGTATAGGTGTTTGCAAAACACTTTTGTATACATGCCTACTTTTGATTTTCACAATAACCTCATGAGGTAGAGTGGGCAAGAATTATTACCATCCTCCTACAATTAAGACAACCTGGGTACAGAATGTCCTGAAGACTTAAATCAGAATACGTAACCCATAAATGGTAGCTCTAGCATCAGAATCAGTGTCTCCTGATGCTAGTGCCAGTGCTGTCTTCACTATCCCATTCTTCCAGTGGCAATAATTCCTTGAGCCAGAAATTATTTTGAGACACGTGGTACTTAGAAATAAGCCTGTTTCTAAGTCTCATGCATTGTGTACTGGGAGTGCAGATAGTTAAAAACACCCCACCATGAGGATACCCACTGTTGTTCAATCAGTTTCCCTTTCTTTGTACCTCTGAAGACTTTTTGCATCTTCCTTGGCTCCTGTCTTATGTCTTTTTTTATAATTCCCTCTTTGTGTGCAGCTTACACCTTGCATGGCTTTCCAGGGAAGTTGCTGTTGCCTGTATTCTCTCCAATGTATGTCTTATTTGATAACTAAGCTAATGTATTTAATTATGTGCCTTTGGGTAAGATGACTAGATGTGGACTTTATGTATAATGTTTGGACAAAGGGTACTATTGATGTGAAAGAAATAAGATAAGACTTTTAACGTATTTATTTTTATATATATTTTATTTTATTAGTAACACACATGAAGAGGAGAAGCAGAGGGGAGTTCCTTGTCCCCATTCAGGTGTCTCTTCCTGGTTCCCTTCATTTTCTCACCACTGTGTTTGGCCTATTTTATAAGGTACATCCTCTAGGTGTACCTTATATATAATGATGAATGTTAGTGTTGGATGGGCCGTAGATCCAAGGGAGAAAGTTGCATTAGGAAATGTGTTTACATGAAGGGGAATTCAGAAGAGATCTTGCTCATGGGATAGATCCACATTCCCTAGGGGCTGGAAAGAATTGTGACATTTGAGCAGGAAGGTGGTGAATGTGGCAGTGCCATGATGTCAGGCCAAGATTTTCTGATTTGAGGGCAACCTCACTTGCTGTGAAAAATCATCTAGAGTAGTGGTTCTCAAACTTAAGCAACAGAATCACCTATATGGAAGGCCTGTGAAAACAAATTGCTAGACACCACTGCCAAAGTTCCTGATCCAGTAAGTCGATGCTGCTAGTTGGGAAACCTTATTTTGAAAACTACTACAAAGCAAGGTCTTGCTACAGCTGTCAGCTATGGAAGGTATATAACCAGGAGATGGTTTGCATTAAGTTCTCTTTCTCTCTTTCTTTCTCTCTCTCCCCACTCCTTCTCCTCCTCCCCTCCTCCCCTCCTCCTCTCTCTTCCTTCTCCTCCCTCTCTCCTCCCTCCTGTTCCCCCCAAGAATTCCTATACTCAGTGGTTACCACTGACTCTCAGAGCCTGAAATGCTCATTCATGCAGTCTCTCATCTAAATAGAGTCAGAGCAACAAGGGGGCTGAAGGGAGTAACCCCAAGGTTAAAAATAGCCCGGTGGCCAAGAGAATATTCCAGGTAAGACATGAATTGAGACTGTCAGTGCCATCTGCCTCCACAGATTTCCACCTTGTGCATCCTGCATTGGGAGAAAATGCTCTGTGAGTGGCTGTGGTTCGCTGTAACACATGGGCAGATTGGATAGGTGTTCACCCTTGTTTCTCTTGTACTCTAAAAACAGTGGTGGAAACAACCTTTGAGTAAATATCAAAAAGCTGTGATTTGATATTAAAGAAGAGATAAAATACATTGGTATTCCTGGTTTCTTGGTTATTTTTTAATAAAAAAGCAACGCATTAGTTTGTGTATAATAAATAACATTTATGAACCCTTGAGAGCATTTTGCATATATAATGCATTTATCCTCACAGCAACCCAATAAGGTTGGTATTATTATTATACTCTCTTTATAAGTGAAGAAACTGAAGCATAGAGAGTTTGAATAACTTGCTCTAGGTCACATGAGCTATAAGTGACAGGAGCTGGATTTAGACCAAGGCAGTCTGGTGCCAAAGCCTAGGCATGCTTTTAACCACCATGCCATACTGCCTTGTTTTTATCCCTTTATCAGGCATTCTTCATACACCTCAATAAAATGGTCCCTGAGTTTTGAACCAAATAGACCACTGAGAAAACTACCCATAGTTAGCCAAACTTGAGGTTAAAGGCCCAGTCTCCAAGACTGTCCTCACTTCAGACACCAGCCTCAAGTTGAGAGGTCTCCAAGGCTACCCTAACTTCAGACCAGCTGGCTACCAATTTAGGGGCTCTATGGACTCCCTTAGCTTCAGTAATTCACTGGAACCACTCACAGAACTCAGGAAAGTGCTATTCTTGATTACAGTTTTATTATAGCAAAAGTATCAACATTAGAACCAGCCAAAGGAAGTGGCACATTGGCAAAGTCTAGGGGGGTTTCAAATGTGAAGCTTCTGTCATCCTCATTCGTACATTACCCTCCTGGTATCAAAGTGTGACAGTGTTCTGTGAGTATCATCAACCAGGGCAGCTCACGTGAGCCTCAGTGTCCAGAGTTTTTATTAATGTTGCTTAATGTAGGCGTGCTGGATTGAATCATTGGCAATGAACTCACTCTCCAGCCCCACTCTATTCCCTGATGGCAGGGCCTATATCATGTGGTACAAAGCTACAACCATCAAGTCACATGGTTGGTCTTTCTGTTGTGGCCTGCCCCCATCTTGAGTCACCTCATTAGCATAAATTATTAGTTGTGGTCCAGGGCCCCACCATGAATAACAAGGCACTCCAGTCACTTGGGAAATTCCAAGGGTTTAAAGGTTACCTCCCAGGAACTTGGGACAAACGTCCACTAAATTCTTTGTTATGCTAAAGCACAGAGCAGGAAGGTAGTGAAACAGAGTTGCCTGTTCAGATAGGAATTTTATGACATCTTTTAGGT